>NC_000001.11:175305799-175608829 GCF_000001405.40 Homo sapiens | reverse complement strand
ACAGGTTAAAATTGGTGTCTTGCTGTTTTACTTTGCACATTTCTGATTACCAATAAATTTGAACATCTCTTCTCAAACGTACAAGGCTTTGGGGTTTGATTTCCTCTTAATCTCCTATTCTTGCCCATTTTTTTCTGTTAAGTGTTGCTGCTTTTTTGTTGTTGATTTACAGAAGCTCCTTGAACATGCTATATCTCAATCCCTTGTCAGTTTTAGACATTACAACTACTTTTTCCCAATATCATCTTTCAGTTTTATCCACACTGTCCATAAATCCTTAATTTTCAATTAGTAAAATCCAGCCTTTTGCCTTATATCTTATGCTTTCAAAGTTGTGTTTAATAAATCCTTGCCTATCCCAAGGTCAAAAAGTTATTCTCTTATATTTTCTTCTTTTAACCTTCTACTTACAATTGCATTTACTTCTTTAATCTGTCCATAATTTTACTTTTGTATGTGATGTGCATTTAAAGGAATCCAGTTTGGTGTTTTTCCAGAAAGATATCTTCAGCAAATGTAAAAGGCAGATAAGTTTGTGAAATCTTCTTGTTTTCTGAACATCTTATAAGCTATGTATCCCTTTCCCATTGAGTTGTAGTGCCACTTTACTATATATTAAATTTCCATAGAATGTGTATTACCAGAAATTTTACTGATTGGATTCACTTGTTAGGGAGTAATAAGCCTTCAGAAGAATTCTTGAAAATAGGAATGACAAAGGCTTCTAAAAGCCTGTAGTACTTCCAGGGTGAGCTGCAATCTAGGGGAGAACTTGTACAGACAGCAAAGCTCCTTGCCTCTTCCTAGTGAGGCACAGTGGCTGTAGGTCAGAAAGCCTCTGCTGTCCCTTCTCTGACCACAGAACTGACTAAGCTCAGAGATAACCTGTACATCAGTTAAGCAGCTGCAGTAAGATAGAAACTTTCATAATTCCTTTAAGTATACTACATCGTTAATGTTCAGGAAAGCCTCATGAAATAGTTAGTACATCTCCATTTTACAGATGAGAAAGCTGAGATGCAAAGAGACTGAATAAGTATATACCAACCAGCTTGCCTAACAGAGAAGGGACAGAGCTAGGTTTGAACCTAGTTGAGCTTAACTCCATCACTGTTGGCCCTTCCCTCTGGCGTACTGTTCTTCACGTTCACTTTGATCCTTTCAGACATAATGTTTACTGAGTCCTGACCACTGTAACGTATTGTGTTTGGTGCAGAAAGGATTCATCAGATGAGGAGTATGTCCTTGAAGAGCAAGCATATGGTCTTACCCGGAAGATAAGATGTAGCTACAAGCCAGTACAATATAGGTCAGGAAAGCAGAGCTGCCTTAGAGGAGGACTGTGTTCTGTGATTACTCAGAATTTGGGGAAATGTTTCCAATCTTTACCTTTCTCCAAGAGGTACCCACTCTATTAGACCTCCATGGATGCTGTAGTCACAAACTTGCATGTTGACTCTTGGGTTGCACAAATGCTTAGCAGGACTGTAGTGCCAGGGATTCCATTTGGGCTTCTATGAATTAAAGGAGAGAACCTTCATCTGGCATGAAATGTCCTTCCTACTTGAGCCACTTGCAAGCTTGTCATGTGACCTCTAGTCTCAAGACGACTCAGTCTCAACAATTGTCCACCATTGGCAAAGGAAACATATGGGCCACAAATTCATAAACACTGGAGATAAAGAAAGAAGAAATAGAAAGAAATGGGATAGATGGATGTTTTGTTAACAGAACAAACTCTACCAACTTTCTGGATTTGAAAGCTGTCACAGTTTGGAGTCTCCAGAGGCAGACCGCAGGACAAAGACCCATGTGAAAGTGGCTCAGGAGAGCCTAGTAAGGGAGGAAGTGAAGCAGGACAAGGAAGGAAAGGAGCCAAGCAAAGGCAACATTTCAGGCAAAATCCTAGTCTCAGCTTGATCCTGCAGGGGAGCCCTGGAGTGCACTGGGCATCTCAAAGCTTCTTCAGACTTGACCCCATGTTGCTGGGCTTTCACACTCCCCCATCTATCAGGCATTGGTTCAAAGCCAGAGGAGAAGGGATGGTGGAATGCAAACCCCAAGCTGCTCCAGTGGTCGAGGGCTATCCTCAGAGGATAACTGGGCACAGAGAGGCAAAGGCTCACAGAAGCTGTGGGGGTCGGGTGGGGGGTCCTGGGCAGAGCATCAACAGAGCTGCTCTGGACAAGGGTCTGCAGCCCATCCATAAGTCATGTTCAGGAATTCTGCCAGCCTGTAGGCATTCCTAGGGATCCTAGGAAACCCCTTCACTTTACAGATGAGAAAGTAAAGGCACAGAGAGGTTAAAGTACTTTCCAAAAATCGTGTAAACGGATTTGTGACAAATTTAGAGTGTCAGGATCCTTAATTTACGTCTAGTTCTCTTTCATCTACTTCTTGCCACCTCACTTCCCTGCAAGCTTAAAGGAATACTGTGCCAACTCAGTCGATCATATTTTGCATTTTATTTACATTATTCTCTGTCCAGAGTCTGGCTTCTTTGAGGCCCAGCATCTGTCCTTGTAAGTCCCAGCCAGCCCACTGAGCCCTGCTTGGTGGCCCAGTAGAAAACAGAATTATTCCCTTGACAGAGGGCCCCACAGTCATCTGGAAGACTTATCTGGGTAGTTAAGGAAACCTTGGCGCCTGAAGAAGGCACGCAGAAGATGACAGGTCTGAATAGTCTGACAAATTTTTATTGCCCCAAAATCTCCAGTCCTGTAAGTCATAAAATAAATCTCAGCCTACATCAAATAAATTATTGTCCGTTTAAGAATGAAAGAGTGGATGAAGGAAAGAGTGCGCAAATGGCTTCTGCCTTTTCTTTCCCTCAGCTTTGTATCAGGATTTTTCAATCCAGAGCTTTGCCTAACCCTTCCCAACACTAAATCTCTCTCGCCAGCTCTTCTGATAGATAGACAGACCAAACAGCAGAGAGCCACCAAGGGGTTAAGCCTGCTTTTGAAGAATTGTGAGGACAACCAGGCAGGGAGGAAAGAAACTCTGAAAGATGAGAAAGCTGTCATGCTTGCTGGCTGGGCAGATGAGATGACCAGCAATTCCTTAGAGCAGTAAAGATTTATCAGCATAAGGAAAAAAAAATCAATTGGCCAGATAATCTTTAAAAAGAAGGAAGGAGAAAAAATAATGCAAGTGACTAAGGTGATGGGAAAAGAAATTTTAAGAATGAAACAGGGATGTCTTTTCTGGTCTCCTGTGGCCCTACCTGTGCTTCCTTCATCCTAGCATTTAACAGACTGAATTATAATTGTCAATTTGCTTATCTATTTCACTGGCCACAATGCTATGTTCATGAGGACAAGGTCACTGTCTTTTTTGTTCACCTTTGATGTATGCCAGGCTTAGTACAATGTCTAGTACATGATAGGTGCTCATTATATATGTGTTAAATGACTAAGTAAGTGTATACATGCGCTGGCAGTTTTAAAGTGCCAATATTGACCCAGGCACAGTGCTAGACATTGACCTCCTTGAGTCATACAAACCTCTCAACAGTGAGATAGGTATAACCATTTTGCAGATAAGAAAATTGAAATTTTTGGAAAGGTTAAATAACTTTCCTGAGGCCAGATAGTGAATAAATGGAAGAGCTGGAATTCAAACCAAGGTCTTTCTGACTCCAAAGTCTATGGTTTTTATTGGATTGACAATTCATCTATTGATAAATCTTTATGATGTGCAGCCTGGCTGCCTGATGTGAGAATGAGTCATCATCCTTCCCTATGCTGCCCACCATTTTGTCATTCCATCTTTTGCCTACACTTTCTCCCTTTGGTACCCTGGAGAGAGGATAAAGATGAGCTTCAAGCCAATTCATTAATTATACTTTGTCAGATGCTTCTTTGGGTGTTCCATTTGTGTATGCTTCCTCCTCTCCTCTAGGATATAAACTCCAAGAGCTACATCTTGTGTTTCTCTGGACATTCTTCCCCTAGGCACTTACAGGTATGATTTCTATCATAGGTGGTCATGTTGCCCTGGTTAGCGCTGCGGCAAAGGGTGACAGAATGAGGGCGCTAGGGACCCAGGGACTGTCGCACATAAATGGGAGGTGCACAGGAGCTGCCTTTGAAAGCCCTACCAATAACAGAATCAATCCATCATTTGTACACAAAACAGACTGGTTCTTGAAGGGCAAATGGAATTTAAACAAAAGGAGAGGAGGAGAGAGGATGGCATAAAGATAGATTCTCAAAAAACTGGAGCTCCATGGAGTCAGCCAGTCTGTCTCTGCTTCCCTTTCCTTCTCTCTGGGCAGCAAGATAGCATCGGGCAAGGAAGTGAGCTTTTCTTTATGCTGCCCAGCCTTCCCACTGTGACCTTGGGTGACCTTCCTTGGCCCGAGTCTTCCCAACTGTGAAAGGAAGGCTGAGACCAGGCCTACATTTCCAACCCGGAGTTCCTTGGAACTTCATGCCTTTTGAGGTCTTTGATGTAACTTACTTCATGGGGCTGGTCAGTTGTCGGGGAGAGAAGGGAGCTACTGTGAGAGTCAAGAAGTGCTGAATGAAGCCTATTATTAGAACTGCACCTGAACACTGGCCTGCTGAGGGGCCATCCATCTCCGCTGGGCTGAAGGGATGGAGTGTGATTAATGTAGCTGGCTAGCAGCGTGGGCCTGCCTTGGCCCATCTCCTCCTCTGGATGCTGCTTGAAGAATTCATTAGAAGAGGGGAGCGGGGAAGGGGAAAAGCTGCCACTGTCCTCATCTCCCCACCCCCTCACTCCTTCAGTTTGGCTTTTTCAACTAAGAAAGTAAAAGCTGATCAGGGTCTGATGGGTCTTCATGGTGGGAGCACTGGTGTGCTCCCACAGCAAGGGTTAAAAATTTTTGATCTATTTACTTGAAAATAAAATACTGAAAATAAAAGGGACTCCTTTCTCTGTGTTGACCAAGCTGGAATCGTTTCTCAGGCTGTCTCCTGAAGGAGCCTGCAGTCTAGCCACATGGACAGGGGATAGATAACTTCAGGGTGACGTGGTGAGTGCAGCACACAAGAGGCAGTGAGAGGCCAGAGGAAGGGCTGACCTGCCCCCTCCAGGCCTCCCAGAAGGGGTAAAGGAGCACTGGGTTGATGAGAGGGTTACCTATACCTTGCCACTCACAGATGCTAAGCCTAGAGTGATCCACACAGACTGCCAAGCAGCCAGTACCCCTGATTTAACCCCAAAGACGTGGGGTATGTGAGCAATGGCTATTACTTAACCACTAGCATCACTCTTCCTCACCCATGTGATTTTTAGTGAGAATTCATCAAAGCATCATTTTTAGCATCCTATAAAAACCTAACACTTCTTGCTCCTGCTAGTGTCCATTCAGTAATTGCTACAGTGACTGCTGAGAAGTAGAAGGAAGGATTAGTCCCCTCGCAACTTGAAAAAATTTCTCTATTAATGATTCAGGCCATCTTTTCAAGTTTTTGTCAATTCTTACTGACCCCTTACTATTTCCTTTGGGAGGAGGAATGCCTGGGCTTGAAGCAAACTCACTTTACTGATTTCTCAGGTTGGATAACTTGACACCAAACACTGAGGCAGGAGCCCAGTTATCTCAATGCTTTATGTATGGGAAGCAGGAAAGACTAGAAAAAAAGGTCTCTGTCACTGGAGCAAGAGGATTTATACTTTAGTGCCAGGTCTACAGCACATAGCTGGTGGACCTTGGGTAAATCACTTTTGTTACCCACCACACTAAAACAGACAACACACGTTTACTGACACCAACTTCTATTACTCGGTTATTTCTTGTCCCCTCAGAACTAGCACACGTAATTTTCACCATTTCCTTATTTTATTATGTATGTATTTATTTTTTCCTCCTTTATTCTAGGAAAGATTTGGGAAAACTTACAAAGGAGAAGAAGACAAAGAAAAAATAAGTTGAATAAAAATATATTACAGGGAAAATTAGTACCCTCAAATATGTGCCATAAGTTTCTCCCCGTTTATTGGAAATGAGCTGTTTGTTGGTCTCGGAGCTTTCTAGGAAGCTAATGAAGCAAATGAAGTCATGTAACCTGAAAGAAGAAAGCATCCCAATCATTCTGGGGATAAAATGAGCACTTCTTCCTCCTTCTAATAACTGATAGAGATTTCTTTCTTGGATACTAATAAAAGGACATTGAGAGATGTGGGAATCTGCATCCTCAACAACTTCACAAGAGTGAAGATGCCAGTCATTTCTTAAGGCCATTATTTGTATTATTCCTCAATGCAAGAGAAGGACACAGTGCAGTGTCCGTAAATTCAAGACACCCTGCTTCTACTGAGGGATCAGAACAATGTGCTACAAGTATGCATCTGTTTGTTTTAGGCTTGACCTGTTGATAAACTTGATGTTAGTCAGACCAGCTGTTCTCACGGTGTAGTAGTCCTGAACTTGCAATATCACTATCACCTGGGAACTTATTAGATATACACATTTTTTTAGCTCAACTCAGGCCTATAGAATCAGAAACTCTGGGAATGGAGCCAGGGAATCTGTATTTTAACAAGCTCTGATGCAATTTGAGGACCAGTGTGATATAGAGAGGAATGAGTAGATCGCATGTCCTTTTGACAATTACAGGAACGCTATTTTTTTTTTTTTTTTTTTTTTTTTTTTTGCCTTTGGTCCTTGGATTAGAGTCAGGCAGCAAGTAGTTGGAAGATACATTGTCTTGGCAGGAGCCTGGAGGACAAATATTTATATTATCAATTTAAAGCAGATCCACATACTTTCCAAACCCACTCAGAGGAGAGTCTGGTTGACATCCTTCCTCTTCTGCATGCTAAGTCTCCCCAGATGGTTTTTGATCTCCCTGCTCTATACAGTGGGGTGCTGGGGCAGGCCAACAGTGGGGCCAAGTGTGTCCTCTGAAGATACCTTCCTTACTGTGTGCATTTATTCATGGCTTTTCTTTAAATTGTTCATGTGTGTTTTGCAAGTATGTTCATTCTTCCTCCCAAGATGGAGTCCTTCCAAGCTGTAAAATTATATGACTATTCTATTAGGTAGGAATAGAGTTTTAAAAGCCCTAAAGCTGAAATAAACTATAGAGATAGTATAATACAACCTCCTCATCTTACAGATCATAAGTGAGTGGAGAGGGGAGCGATTTCTCTCTAGGTATTGCTTAACTCAGGCCCTGGCACACAACAGGTTCTCAATGACTCTTAGTTGAATCTGTTTCTTGACTGTATATAGCGTTTTCATAATTCTCACATGGCTTTTAACATTTTATCTCCATAAATATTCATGAGTATAATTATCCCTATTTTCAAATCAAGGAACTCAAACTTGAGTGGCTAAGTGTTTATCAAAATTGTACAGATTTTAATATTACAAATCCAGAACTGGAACTCAGGCCTCTTAAGTTTAGGCCCATTCACCTTTCTCTTCTGCCATGATGACTAGAAGTCTGTGGATCACACACTAAGTCCCCCAAAGACATGCAAACATATATCAAATTGAAAGACTAAGTTTTGTGTAATAGTGGCCATGGCCAACCTCAAAGGCGAGGGTTTCGGCTTTTTCAGCGCCTCAGGGCCGCATCTCTGAGTAAGAACTGGCCAAGTGACCTTACCCAAACTCTACCCGCTGCAGAGCAAGTGCAGGATGTGGCGGTTTTTACCAGACTCCTCTGAGAGGTATAGCTACTGGACTGTCAAAGTCAGCTAAACACAAACAGAAGATAAAGGCATTTCTGTACCTTCATGTTTCTACATATGTAAACATATTTTGGCACACATATAAATCTGTATAAATATGTTGAAACTACAATATCATTTCTGTTATAAGCAAAGTGATTTGATCTCCTCAGCAAAGTTTATCTAAACAAATGCTGCAAAAGCTAGAGGAAAGAGAATGAGGAACTGTCAGAGGAAATGCAAATTTTTTTTTCACTCAAGACCACAAACAAACTCAGGAGTTCCTCTGTAGCGTAAGTCTTAAATTCAGGATCTGCATCTGACTAAATGTCATGCTTTGTTTTCTGTTTTTTGCTTTTTGGGTTTTTCATTGTTTTCGTTTTGCTGTGACCTTCCCAAAGATCACAAGGCTACTGAAAGCCCGTAAGGTAAGTTGTTGAAAATTTTTTAAATGAGCTCCTTCCTCCAGGCAGACATAGCACTACGCCAGGGAGCATAGCTTCAGGAGTAAAGCAGGGGCTGGGGTTCTGCTCCTACTCACCCCTCAGCTGGGCACCTTTGTGCAGGATATACAACCAACTCAACTGTACATGGTGGCCCTATCTTTACGTGCAAACCCTGTGGGTATTATAGCTGTGGGGCCATTCAATTCAATACAGTCAGTGTCTGGTGGTGCATCTCATGTATAGACATAAACAGAAGCCTTGCTTTCTGCTAAGCCAAATCACCTTTAAATCAAATAGATATTGGTAGCCAAGAGTAACATACAAAACTATGTTTGCAGAACTGTTCCACATACTGCAATGGAAGATCACTTCTTCCAACCCTCTTATTTTATAGGATATCTCACTGCATAAATCCAGACTGATACTAATAATACTTATGATAATACGAGTAATAGCTAAATAGTAAAAATAGTTAATTCTTACTATATGCCAGGCATCATTCTAAATATACACCTCATAACACCTCTTTAAGGTATATTACTATTATCTCCATTGTACAAATGCAGAACTTCTCTGACACACAAGGGAGTTAAGTAACCTGCTCAAGATCACAGCTAATACAAGTGGTAAAACTGGGGTTCCAATCCCCGAGTCCAGTTCCAGAGTCTGTGCTAATTAACCACTGTGACACTTTCCTAAAATGCTGGAAACATGCAGAATGCCAGGATAAGTAGGCGTGCAGTCGAATGGAAGTCCTGCAAGGGATTTTACTCTATCATATGGCTCACTCTTTTCCTCCCTCCTGTAGAACCGGCCCCAGTCTCTTGCCTGCCTCAGCATCCCCACGCCGAGGGGTTGCCTCCATCCCGAGTTGCAGCAAGAGTTGAATCCGAATCACCCCTCCTTGCTATCTGGGAAGTGTATTTTCTGGTTTCAAGTGGGACAGAAAACGGTTGTGAGACTGCATATTGGTGGCAGGGAACCCGCCAATGGGTCTCACGAAAAGCCTGGGCTGTTTGCAGACCCCGCTCCACCTGGCCCCTCTGTCCTCCTCTCCCCACCGCAAGGAGCCGCCGGCCTCTGGAGTTAGCCAGGTCCGCATAAGCCTGCTGGGGCGACGCTGCTCCGGGCTGCCTCCGGGTGGGCCGGCCCCATTACCGCTGATGCGGGACACTAGCCCAGCAGAGACCCCATTAACCGCGCCGCCCCACCGCTCGGTGGCATCTGCGAATTACTCCGTCACTCGGCGGCGATCGCAAGACCCCAAGTCTTCTCATTTCCTCGTAATGCTCTAATGGTCTGCTTCCGTCGCCATGACAACACGAACACAGCTCCGCCGGGCCCCTCCGACTGCCTGAGGTGTGAGCAGAAGGCGCGTGTGTGCCTCTCAGGGCCCCTATGCGGTCTGCCCCGTTAGCGTTGCTGCGATGTCTCCGCCACTGCTCTTCGCGGTGGGCAAACCCGGGCGCCTGAAAGGGAGGAGCGGTGACCCGAGGTGGCCAAGGCCAAGCTGACACTTCCCATCTGGCAGCTGGGGACAGCTTCCCCTCCCTCCTGCTCTCCTTCCTCCCTCCTCTCTTCTCCCTCAGCTCTGCAAATTGGTGACCCCCCGCAACCCGGGGCCCATAGAGGCTGGAATGGAGTCTGGAGACCGCAGCTCCACCCTGCCTCTCCGTCACTGAACGTGTGACCTTGGGGAAGCCCTTTAGCTCCTGGAGAGCCGGAGCCACCTAAGAGTGCATTCGATTTAAGGACGCATCTCCTCTCTGCTCAACAAAGAGGGAGGGGTTCCTGCACACGTTGGATTTCTGCCCTCATGGAGCTTACAGATTCATTAGAGCATTCCAGAAAATGTGAAGACTTGGGGAACTTGAGATTCTAGAGTGGCAGAGTGATTTACATGCCACTGAGCGGCTGGGTGCCTGACCTAATGGAGTCTTACCTAGACCTTGGCTCTTTGAGTGCCTTCCCACAACACTTGACTAAAGTCTCTGGAGCAGGGTCAGATGTGACCCATATTCTGTCCTTCTAGAAACTAACTGCAGAGTGCATACTTCTCCTAAATGTACCTCTATTCATTTGGTTCTCCAGTTCTAGACACTCATAACCTTTTAGAATTTGGATTCTCACAGTCACCATGCCATTTCACGCATGCCTTCTGTTTATACAGCATACTGTACATTCCATAAGCATGTATTCATGCCCACGTCCAAGGCTTTGGTAACTAAAACATGCTTGCTGAAAACTATAACTGTATTGCCTGAATTCCTGCAGCATTTAATATTCCTTTTGTTTGTGTCCCATGGAAAATAGCACCTCTAATCTTGGTGAGTTGATTTGTTATTATGTTTTCAATGATATAACTAATGAAGTGATCTTGATCAAGTCATTTAACCTGTATGGCCTTTAGTTTTGGTAAATGCTCTAAAAATAATCGTTAAACTTAACTGAAATAGAGAATTGGACTAAATGAGGTCTACAGTTGAATCACCGGTGGGAAAACACCTCGCATTTGCATGGTGATCTTTACTTCCTGAGGGAAGTTCATACACTGATTTCTGGAGACTGTTACTGTTGTTCTTGAGTACACATCCTGTTTGACTAATGCAAGGACGGTCCCTTGCCTTACTGCCTTATATTGTTCTCGGCATCCTCAGGAACATGCCCTGTGTGTAGTGGCCTGAAAGAATTATTTGTTGATGATAAAGGTGAGGTCCAGGAAAGATAATCTAAGATTATCTGATTTCTTGTGAACTTCTTGAGAAGCTGGATTTAAAGACCCTAGCTGGTGCAGAGGTCTGTTCAATTTTCACTAACCCTTCTCTGTTCTCTAGTGATGACAGAGAACAATGGAAATGAGCCTAGAGGAATAATGTTACTGCAGAAAAGTCAGTAGTTTCCATTTTTATTAAAATTCATTCTTCCCTAACTGCCATCTGTTTTTCTTTTGGGCCTGGCCAAATGCTTGGAGGTGAATGGATCAATGCTAATTTACATGACTGGTCCAGCTAACTAGGGCCCCCATGCCCCCACATTTCCAATACACCCCTCAGCAAGGTTTTTACCAGAATATTCCAAACCAATAGGCCTCTTCCTCCATCTAAAACCATCAGCAGGTATAGACAAGCCCCAGTGTCTGAAAAGTAAAGGAAGGCCTCTGAAAATTCAGCTCTTGGGTACAATTTGAACTTTTAGCACAACCAAGTGCAGCTGGAAATCTTGAGACTAAACTAGCATTCATGCATTCAGCAATATTCACTGAATGCTCCCTCTATCCACAGTATCCAAAAGCAGTTTCCAGATGGGAGGACCCAGGCATTGTTTCCTATTACATGAGCCTCTGGAAGCTGTGCCAGGACATGTGGGGAACAAAGTCACTTCTCACATTCCCTAGGAGATGCTGTTCCTCACGTGAGGTTCTGTCAAGCATCCTGCAGACCAGTGCTCTATTTCCAGCCCTGTGGGGACTTGGTCTGGGATTATGGGCAGCTCATCTCACCACTGTGCTGGCCCCTGAGAGAGCCTTGTACCTCAGGGACAATCTCTCTTGTCATCACCTGCCTCGCAGGGATGTCAAGAGGATTTAATGAGATAATGTTTGCAAAGCATTCTGAGCTCCTAAGAAGAATGAATAGTGCTATATAAATGCAAAACATCATTATTATAATGATTACAGAAGCATTAACTGTAGTTAAAAGCAAGTGGGAAGGAGCCCTGATTCCATTATAATCTTCTATTTCTGAGAGCTGATAACCCTGAAATATGCACCCCTTTTCCAGCTGAAACTCTCCACCTTTATAATCAGCTCAGAGGTGAAATGTTTTGGGAAAATTTTAGAAATTTCTCTTTAGTCCCTTTTGAGAAGGAAGAACATTAAATAAGCACACTTTGTCTGCTTACAAAAAAGCTGTTTTGACCAAAATCATTCAAAAAGGCTGAGCTTTATGACTTCAAATTTAGCTGGTCTTTAGTCCCCACTGAGATAAATGGAGCAGTGTTAAATCTGAGAGGAGAAAATTGGTTTGGCAAGTTTCTAATGTTTGAAGCCACCATTCAAGTGTTGCTGAACGGAGGCTGATTTTTCCATATAATGAATTTGTTTCTTTCTAGAGAAATTATTTCAATGATTTTTTTTCCCACACTGGAAAATGAGGTTTGTTATGTTGACAATAATCCATCCTTCCAGTTTAGAAAGATCATTGATTTTCAGAAGAACTCTCAAAGTTCTTTTTCTTTTGCAGAATCAGACTTTGAGTAGCAGAAGAGCCCACAGTACAGCAGGTGTCTCAAACTGAAATGATTCTGGGAGCCAGGTAGGCCACAAACAAGAGGGAAGTAGGGCAGACGTCATGACAGCTGAGCATGGTCACCATGTTGCGAACTGGTAGAAAGTGGTGAACGACGGGTGGGGGGAACTGGAGGACCTTCTAGAAGGACCCTCCACTCCTCAGCTCCAGCTCCTTCTTACCGTGCAGAAACACGGGTTTCTTCATCTTTCGAGGGAAGTCAAAAATCAATAATTCTATATATCATCTCCCAATGTGAAATGTTATTCACAAATTCTTTTTCTTTTTCTTTTAAAAAAACATTGTGTAGCCAAACCAAAGATCTAAGCCATGGGATGTTGTTTTCAACCTTTGCCCTAAACGAGTGTGAATTTTCCAATGAAACTAGAATGGGCTTTTAAAAGTGGATTTTCTTAGACCAATAGAGTCTTAGAATAACAGAAGAACCATAGGATTCTGATAGCCCCTCCTCCATTATCATATTCGCCTGCCTCCACCACAAGTTGTTTAATTTCTCTGTGCCTCAGTCTCCTCATTTGTACCATTAGCATAATAAGAGCACCTACCTCATAAGGATGTTATGAGTAATAAATGAGAGAATAAGTGCAAAATGCTAGCACACTAGCAATCATGAGCATTCATTAAACCCTATTTGTTATTATTGCTGGTTCTCATTTTTTTAACTAGCTAACGATTTTTAACTAGCTAGGAATCGAATCTAATACCCTTTCTGTTCCATGACACTGTCTCCATTGCCTAATTCTCTTTGGTCCAATTCAGTCTGGTAATTTAGTGGGTCTACTATAGACTTAAAACAGAAAAGATGGGACAGACCATTGAAAGCCAGTACTTCTGAGGGTTGCAGGATGGGAAATAGTTGCAAAGCCAACTAAGTCAATGCAAAAGTATACCGATTTTACCCTCATGGCTTCGAAGAATCCAAGAGGTTCAACTTCATCCATGTTTCCACAAGGCAATTTTTGATGACAAACTCTAGCAGAGAGGGAGGCACAGGAGTAAGCTCTGAAATAGGGTTTAAACTGGGTTTCAGTTTTGGTATATACTTGGGAATGTGAAAGGCTCCTTTAGTAGTTGCTTTTGCATCTTATTTGGAAAAGAAAGGAGTTGGTCTGGACAACTTCTTAGCCCCTTTCAGCTTTAATTTTCTGAGGCTGTGTCTGTATCTTCTTCCACATAATGCATTCTCTACCAATAGCTGGCAATCACCAAATGTCAGTTATCAATGATTCAATTATTCCTATCCTAAAATAATTTTTTTTTGAGATGGAGTCTCCCTCTGTCACCCAGGCTGGAGTGCAGTGGTGTAATCTTGGCTCACTGCAACCTCCGTCTCCCAGGTTCAAGCAATTCTCCTGCCTCAGCCTCCTGAGTAGCTGGGACTATAGGTGCCCACCACCACATCCAGCTATTTTTTTTGTATTTTTAGTAGAGACAGGGTTTCACCATGTTGGACAGGCTGGTCTCAAACTCCTGACCTTAGGTGATCCACCCACTTTGGCCTCCCAAAGTGTTGGGATTACAGGCTTGAGCCACCATGCCCAGCCAATAATTTTTTTTTTTTTTTTTTTTAGAAACAAGGTCTCACTCTGTTGCCCAGGCTGGAGTGCAATGGTTGCAATCTTGGCTCACTGCAACCTCCTGCCTTCTGGGCTCAAGTGATCCTCCCACCTCAGCCTCCTGAGTAGCTGGGACTACAGGTGTGCACCACTATGCATGGATAATTTTTGTATCTTTTGTAGAGATGGGGATTTGCTGTGTTGCCCAGGCTGGTCTCAAACTCCTGGGCTCAAGACATTGGCCCGCTTCAGTCTCCCAAAGTATTGCGATTACAGGCATGAACCACTGTGCCTGGGCCTCTAAAATAATTTTTTATCTCACTTGAAAGATTAATATTATATATGTGCAACAGATAACAATTCAAGATAATATATGATTAAATGCATAAACAAAAGATGCAAATAAATGCTTTAGGAGATAGAAAGGGAAAAATAAGTTAGACCCATATTGATAAGGGAAAGATTGAATAATAGGTGTATTTCTGATGGACAGGAACAAAAGGGGTGGGAGAAGTGCATTCTGTAGGAATAACAGCAAGTCCAAAAGCAAAGAGGTGGGAAGAGTGGGTAGAAGCCCTTTGCCTTTCCCTATATTGACTGATATACAGATTCAGAGAACTGAAAAAAAAAATGCTCAGAGGCATAATTCCTACAGGCCCCAGAATAACATTCCCAATCCCTATCAGGAAGACCCTGGAAAATTATAGTACCTGATTGGTACACCCACCTTCTCTGTTTCTTTAGAAAGTGTTCCATGGGGCTTAAGGAACTCTGGGAAGATAACAAAATGCCCACTAGGAAATGGGAGTCTCCTAAGAGATGCTAAAGTAACAGGGAGGGGAGATGTGTGAAAAGAGAGAGATTCCTCTTGTGCTGAGCCTCCTAAGATCTACCATGTGGCTTTTTATGGGTGAATAATGACCACAGAAATAAAGTCTAATAAAAGAAATTCAGCACTGTTGCCAGCCAGAGTTCTGAAGTCATCAATGTGAAATATGCTGCCTGTGCCCCATCTGTTTGGGAGGACACTTGGTGCTGTGGAGGGAAACTTGAGAATATTTCTCTATCATGGAGAAAACAAATATCTTGGGCCCTACTTGCCAGGCAGAAGACACCCACAACATCTTCTCTGTGCAGACAATAGAAGAGGGGACAGAGTCTGGTGAAGACTCTGGGGCTGCTAGTGACAGGGTTTCTGAAGGACAGGCTCTTTTGGAATACAATTTTATTGATTTTGGTTCAACCAGTGAAGGAAGCTCATAGTGATGAGGGAATCGAGAGCCTATCAAACAATGCTAGTTTCCAAAACTTATGACTCCTAAAACCTCAGCTGACAATCTTTTATTAGATTCTATTTGTACAGGAATTGCTTGCCCATAAAGCCACTTGGTAGATATTAAGAGGGCCCTACATAAGAGGGGTCTCTATATTCTCACTGCTTTTTGAGCTGCAAACTGTTGGCTTGGGTTGGTTCCGATTGATCTACACTCTCTTTGACTTTTCTATTTCTCCATTAACTGGCTCTATGTGAGGCTTGGTTTACAACAGCACTGTGAACAGTGTAAAGGGCTGGGTTGGAGGGTGTAGGACTGGCTTGAGCTCTTTCGTGGCCTCTATCAGTGCTCTCCATACAACCATGGCAAATAAACAGACTAAGTAAAAGTAGATGGTTCCTCTGCAAGTACACTTCGAGATGAGTTCCCTACACCTGCTGCCTCCCAACCAGATTGCTACTCTTAATGCCCTTCCATAAAGAAATTCTGCCACTATTGATTCTCTTTGGAAGAGATTCAACCGGTGGCATCAAAGGAAAACCCCCAGTCAGAGATGCAATGGATAAATGCTTTCTTCCTCCCATGACCAAGGACAACAGGGATGTATCTTCCAGCACTGTAGGTAGATACCCACCAAAACAACAGCTCTACACTTCAATCAGAAGTCCCAGAAAAACCAGTTTGCCCTTGAAGAATTTCTTGCTTGGCCATTAATGAGGAGAAGGAAGGATGAGAGGAGAAGATGAGGCTTTTAAAATCACTGCCCAACCTGAAACTAACAAGAATAAAAATGTCCAAACTAGGAGACTAAGCACCAAAGGAAATGGAGGCTGGGCCCTCTTCATGCTCCAGCCCTAAGCTGTGTCCCTGGGAGAGTCACTTAACCTCAGTGAACTTCAGTTGCCTCCTCTGTAACTCACTTGATGCTCTCCGCTGAATGATGGTTAACAGCAGAGTGAAACTGTGATGTAAAGGACTGTAGTGATTGATCCTCAGAAATGTACTGCCTAGATGAGTGATGGCAAGAGAGAGTGAGAGCAAAGACTATCTCACCCAGCACCAGCCGGAAAAGTGAGAGAGCCTCCGGCTCCTCGAGCCAGGGGTCCCTCAGTCAGGCTCCCGCAGGGGCTGGGTCACCTACGTGGATCACCATCCACAGGGAGATCATTAAGAATTCCGCTGACAACCAACATAAAGTGGCATTGCCAAACCTGAGATATGTGAGCTCCTCACCTATTTATCACTTGAACTGGTGAAGGGAACACTGGCTGCATCAGAGTAGAGAGGTGCACTGGCCCCTGGAGGAGCCTAAGAAGAGAGTTGTAATAAACGTGATAATAACCACCCGAGTTAACAATTGTTGAGCACTTATTATGGACTATTTGCTAATGATTTTACATAAGTTATCTCTTATGTCTTACCATAACTCTATAATATAGATATTATTATTCCCATCTTACAAGTGAAGAAACTGAGTCTTCAAAAGATTGAGTAACTTAACTTGCCCTGAACTAGTCAGGATCACTACATGATGCTGCAGTAAAAAAACTCTCAAGTCTTAGTGGCTTAAAGCAATAGAAGTTTATTTTTTATTTACATTGAAAGCAGGTGACCAGGAGTCTCTGTTTATCTTGGTCACTTAGATTCCCAGGCTAAATCCAAATTGACACATGCTTCCTCAAATGCTACAGGAGGGGGAAAGGAATGTGGTGAATTTTGCACTAGCTTTTAAAACTCCCACTTCCACATTCATTCCCTCATATTGCTTGTCCAAAGCAAGTCACATGGCCACACCTAACTCCAGAGGGGGCAGATAAGTATAATTCTACCATGAACCCAGTTAGAGAATGGGAATATTTGTCAACAGCCCTGTTACTGGCCACCTAGCTTCACAGATGTAATAGGTGGGAAAACCAAGTTTCAAAACCACATTGGCTGACTTCAGAGCCTGTGCACTATTCTCACACTTCTGGAAGAGATCAACCAGCTGATAATCTCTGGCCCCTTCATGTCACCACCCCACACTGTCCTTGCAGCCTCTTCCCTTCCCTTCTCAGGCTGTGGGTTAAGAGATAGGCACTGGGTGATTGATAGCTCCCGGCAGTGGTTGGGGAGAGATTATCTAGCAGCATGTGCTGAAGGAGCCATGGCTGGGAGTCTGCTCATAATAGCAATTGAAGCACTAGTTTCCACAGGGTTTGAAGTGCCAGGGTCTCAAGGGCTTATTAATCCCACAGCAGTCCTGGGAGGGGTTCATTTCTGCTGTTATTTATACCTTTTGCTGTGCTCATCCAGCAAGGAGAGTCAGTTGGGATTATGTCCCAGGGACACAGAGCCCTGGCTGCCATCCAAGCTAGGGCTGTTGAGGGCTCTTCCTCCTCAGCCAGCTCCCAGTCTGCATTCATACAGAGGAGTGAATGGAGGCTATTTAGTTACAAAGATGCAGACACACACATCAGAGAGGAGGTGGCCAGGAGGATGTGGCATCTTGAGACCTTGCTTATTCCCTTAGAGCTAAGCCTAAAAGCTATTTCTTCTGTGATCTCCCCTCCCCAGTTCAGAGATCTGACTGTGCCTTCCTTGGAACTGCTGTCCTCTCAGTCTGTCCCTGCACTCCTTGTTGTTACCTGGTTTTATTGTTTGTTTTTCCTGTATGACTTGCCCTGTCTGCTATAACTAGCGTGAGATCCTCAGCGCTCATATTATGACTGATGCTTTGTGGGGACGCTCAGAACACTGCACACATACAAGGTATTCAATTAGTGTTTGCAGCCCCTGGCACCTGACTACCTCTCTGAGCTTACCTCCTGCTATTACCTGCTTTGCTTTCACTTTTCACCTTGCTGGTTGGAATGAACCACTCATCTTGCCATTGCAGTTCTCCTCACCTTAGCCCACGCTGTCCTTTGGCCTAGAATGCCCTTCCCCTCCTCACTGCTGGCCACCCACCTCAACTGAGTGGATCCCCCCCTCCTTTGTGCCAACACTGTCCTTGCACATAGTTCTATTATAGAAATATTTGTATTTCAGTTCATTGTTTACCTGTCTGTCTTCTCCACCAGGCTGAGAACTCCTTGAGAATAGACATGTTGTATTTACTTTTTGTATCCTCTGCCTTTACCAATGCCTCAACAGGACCAGGTCTAAAGTTAGGTGAGTGAGGCACTTGGTGGGGACACAAAATGTAAAGGGACACCAACAAAACTCAGCAGTTAAAATAAATAATATTTAATGCAATATTTTAAAAATCAAAATTAATACAAAAATCTATGATAAATGAAATATCAAATTTTTATTTTATTTTATCATTTTTAGAAATTTAAGATGTACAACATAGTGTTTTGATATAGACATACAATAATGACTACTACAGGTAAGCAAATATATCTATCATCTCCCATACTTACCTCTTTCTTTTTTGATAAGAGGATCTCAAATCTACTCATTTAGCAATCTTTCAGTGTATAATACAATACTATTAACTATAGCCCTCAACATTTGAAATAAAGATAGATCAGTTGCAGTACCATATCAAATCATACTAGGGTCTGAGGCAAAAGGAAAAATCAGAAATACTGATTCTGTCTTTTTTTTATTATTATTATACTTTAGGTTCTGGGATACATGTGCAAAACGTGCAGATTTGTTACATAGGTATACACATGCCATGGTGGTTTGCTGCACCCATTAATCCGTCATCTACATTAGGTATTTCTCCTAACGCTATCCCTCCCCTAGCCCCCAACCCCCTGACAGGCCCCGGTGTGTGATGTTCCCTTTCCTGTGTCCATGTGTTCTCATTGTTCAACTCCCGCTTATGAGTGAGAACATGCGGTGTTTGGTTTTCTGTTCTGGTGTTAGTTTGCTGAGAATGGTGGTCTCTAGCTTCATCCATGTCCCTGCAAAGGACACGAATTCATCCTTTTTTATGGCTGTGTAGTATTCCATGGTGTATATGTGCCACATTTTCTTTATCCAGCCTCTGATTCTGTCTTAACTTAAAATTTTAAAATTTTGTTCATCCTACCTGTTTTTTGCATTAATTATATGCATACTTTTTGCATTAATTTTTGTTTTAAAAATATTGCCCAGACTGTGATAGGTGCTCTATGAATATCAAATGAGAGTCAGGGAGATGGTGACTGAGTGAGTACATGAGTGAATGGTTAGGAAAACTTTCCAGAATAAACCTCTAATTATCCAAAGTGTCCATATTTACTTCCAGAATTACAAGTGTGTCCTTACCAACTACTTTTTTATTCTATTATCTGCCTTTTGGTTCAATTCATCTAAACCCTTTCCCAAGTTTGTAGAAAAGGAAGAAAAGAAAAATAATGCTGTAAATTGAGTCAGCTAAATGTGCTTTGCTCAATTAGTTGCAGCACCATATGATGGGGTCAAGATTTGAGATCTTGTATTTGTGGGCCAGTTGCTTGGTTTCGATCTCAAGAGAGAGTGCCCCCCTTCCCCTCCTCAATCCTAGTTGGTCAATGTACAAAAAGAAGATGTTGATTACTGTGGACACTGACTAAGAGACTAACTATTAGAGCAAATCCATCGCCACCACCAGAAACAAAGAATGGGTATCCCCCAGGCAGAAGGTTGGCATTTTTGGTTGAAATGGGTGCTTGGGCTTCTTATGCATCATTGTTACCATAGATGAATGCGACAAGAACTGGCCATACTGGGTCTACTCTTGTTCCCAGTTAAGGCATTACTGTGGGCTCATGGGAGAGGCACTGGCCCAGAATTGAGGAGATTAGGTTTGGGCTTATCTCTACTCTCATGAACTAAGTTACCCTGACCAAGTTACTTAGCCATTCTGAGGCCAGTTTATTCATGTGTAAAAAGAGAGGGTTATCTATAACAGTATGATTTTCAAAACCTGTACTATGGAATTCTAGGGTTATGAGCAGGTCTCTCAGGGGCCACTGATGGGATTGTGAGGCAGATGAACATAGCCACATGCTTCAACCAGAGCAGCCCGTGTTTGATTAATTATCAGATACCTGTATAGGATTTATTTTATTTGGATTAAAAAAAGAGAGAAAAAGTTTCACTGCTTAGAAAAAAAAAGACATGAAACATTTGTCTAGATGATTGTGATAATCCCAGCAGCTACTATGATGCTATGGTCTTTTGGCTGCAGCTTTCAGGAGTGCCAAATTTGCTTCAGCTGTGTCTGAAAGATGTGTTCACTTAACCCCATGGGCTAGGAAGGCCCAAGGTGTAAAGACACATGCAGAATGAAGGCTTGAATTTTTTTACCCTTTCATATCATCCAACATCTTTGTCCCAAGAAATTTCTTAAAATTAGTCACACTGCTACCGCCACAAAGTTTTGAGATAGGCCATTAAGAATTAGTCCAACTGCTTATTCAATGCTTGAATTCCTCCTCTCTGTTGCCATTAAGCGGTTATGGAATATCTTATTGAATTCCTCCAGTGACTGTGAACTCATTATCTCTAAAAGCAGTCCATCCCACCTTTGGTCATATCCAACTTGAACTTCACCTCTTCACACTATGCAAGACAAATCCAATCCCTCTTTACTTAGTAACCTTTTACATGATTGGAAAGTGATCATTCACTCCTGGCCATCTTCAGTCAGTCAAGCCAATGACCCCCATCCTTGAGCTCTTCACTTTATGACTTAGGCTTAATCCCCTCCACCATGTGAGTGGCCCTCACTGTTTGCTTCCCCTCTCTTAGTGGTTACATGGGAATGGAATGCAACAACCTGCACAGGCTGATCAGACCAGAGTAGAGCAAAAGGGCTTTCTTTTTCTTGTCCAGTGCTTTTCAACCCTTCTGCACATTAAAAATCACCTGGGCAGCTTTTGAAAGAAATATTGTTTTCCTGGCTCCATCCCTGAACTATTAAATTAAAAATTATTGGGGTAGGGTCTAGGCTCTGATTTTTTTTTAAAGTCCATGTAATTCTTTTGTGTAGCCAGAATTAAGAATCAATGCTTCTGACACCAGGTCCTTGATTGTTGCTTTGACTGGCCAATGATTTATTGGAGCATGCTACACAACTTTGTTGCTGGGCCAATTTGAAAAAAGGAGAGAACTATTTTTTCTATGTATCTACCATACACAAGTACTGAGCTAGATTCTTAACTACATGATTTCATTTAACCCTCAAATGTGAGTCAGGTGGTTTTGCCTCAGTTTTATAAAAGAGAAAACTGAAGCTCAAAAGGATTAAATAATTCACTCTGGGTTACTCAGCTATGCGAGTGGCTGGGTTCAGATTCAAACCTGGATCACAGTCCAAAGCCTACCTTTCTTTTATGCCACTCTGCATTCCTTAATTCAATTAACGTAACAATTATTTATTAACAATCAGGACCTACCCTATGCTAGACATGTCCTAAGCCAGCAACTGTTATGAACTGAAGTTTTTGGGGTAATCTGCCAAGCTGCACTGGGACATGGAGCATTTTCCTTTTTCTCAATGATTTGTTTATGGGTATGTTTTCTTGAAGGAAAAGTCATGTTGACGTAATGCAGGCTTTGTAGAGAAATAAGTCTTTAGTATTTGGTTGTAAAATAAATGTCAGAATAAAATGTTTGAGAAAATAAAGAGCCATATATAAAATTATTTCCCACAAAGCTGTAGAATACTGATGGGCTGTTGCTGATGTTTCATTAAGTAGAGCAAATTTGGTAATTAAGGAAAGAGCTGACATGCCCTGGCCAATCTTCATCCCTACAACTTTGGTCTCTTTGCCTGAAGTGACCAGAATGACTTCACATTGTTTCAGCCATAAGATTTATCCCATCCTTTAAAGACCATCCCAGTCAGGTGAGTCTCAGTACCATGACCAATATCCAGTGGCTCTGTGACTCTTCTCACCAAAACTTCTGGAACATACTCTAATGAAGATGGCCACTTTTTTCTCCATAGGTTGGAGGGCTATTTATGGGGGCCACCTATACACTGACAGTAGCAGCTAGGAAGGAATGATAAGAATAAAGAAAGCAGGGCTGGGCACGGTGGCTCACGCTTGTAGTCCCAGCACTTTGGGAGGCTGAGGTGGGCAGATAACCTGAGGTCAGTAGTTCAAGACCAGACCACCCTGGCCAACGTGGTGAAACCTTGTCTCTACTAAAAACACAAAAATTAGCCGGCCATGGTGGCGGATGCCTGTAATCCCAGCTACTCAGGAAACTGAGGCAGGAGAATCGCTTGAACCTGGGAGGCGGAGGTTGCAGGGGAAAAAAAAGTATAAGGAAAGTTGTCCAGAAAAGAGAAGGGGGTAGAAGTAACAAAAATGAAATATAGAAAAGAGAAATAAAAAGACAACTAAAGCTATGTTTGGAGCACCTGGCATCTCCAGATAGGATTCCTCCTGACTACAAATCCCCCTACCCAGCATCCATCTCTTTCCCAGGCTGAAATCAACCTCTTTTAGATGACATCCTGGAAAATCCCTCTTCCTTGAGGGCTTCCCTGATCACCAAAGATTGAGTCATTATTCTGCTGATATTCTTCCAGTCCCGTACTCATCTCATCATAGGACACACCATGCTGTATTAACATTGCCTCATTACTTATTAGTCACTTATTTTAGATCAAAGCTTCTTAATTATGTTCTCCAGGTGAGTTACAAGTGTGCCCAAGTTTTGGCACACCTCAGTGCTTAGGGCATCCTAGCTGCTGGAGCCCTGAGCAGCCTAAGTCTGGAAACTATTCTTTATGTGTGCCAAGACATCACAAAAGTTAGGAAACTTTTCTAGGCCCTTCATTAATGACAGGAGAGAAGGAAATGAGAGATGGAGGGAAAGGAAAGAAGGGAGAGAGGGAGAAAGAGAGAAGGAAGGAAGGGAAGGAAGTGGGAGGCTGACCATGTGAGAACAGATTTTCAGCAACTGAAGATACTCAAGAACCACCATTTACTAGGGTGTTCTTCAAGCAGTTCCTATCTGGATAGGATATTATGCTATTATACTATTAAGGTCTTCCTGTCTTTCGAGCCAGAGTGATCTGGTATAAAGAACATGGGCTTTGGAATCTGAAAAACACAAGTCTGAATCCCAGCTCTGAGACTTAAGATCTATGGTATTCATTCAAGTTATTTAATCTGTATGCCTCAGCTTTCTCATCCATAAAATGGGAATAATAGTAGTTTCATTTTTAGGCTACTATGAGAATTAACAAGATAATGTTTTTGCAATACTCTTGGCACATAATACATGCTCACGATTTTCTCTAACATTTTGTGATTTTGTTTCAGAACTACTTCAGGAATGACTTTTGCAGCAAATGATAGTTCATATAGTTTTGTGCTTAAGTTTGAGTAGTTGCATTCAAATCCTGGTTTTATATTTATTAGTTATATGACCTTAGGCAAATTATTTAACCCTCCTCCATCTTCCATACCTCTGTTTTTTGTTTTATTCCATCAAATATAGATAACTGCACCTACTTTATCAGTTTTTGTGCCCAGATCACATCATCAGTTTTTGTTAAGAAGGTTAAATGGGTTGACATGAGTTAAGGCCTCAGAATGTGCCTGCACATCATCAACACTCATGTTTGTATTTGCTATTAACAACGTTATTTAGTAGGAGGTAGCTAAGGGAAGCCAGTAAACCAATGACGTGCAGACACACCCCTGTCCAGACTGCTTCTGTGCAATTGTGGAGGAGACACCAAAGCATCTGAAATTGGAGCCCTTCCTTGACAGTTGGGTGGGAGATGTAGAAAAGTTCATTTACACTTAATATATATACAGCTATACTAATTAGTACAAGCTCCTAAGCCTAAAATAAATTAAACCAAACTTTTTTTAAAATGTGGCTGTAGGCTGGAGAATATTGAGAACTTCCTGTTATTATTATCACATGCCAATTATTATGAGTAAAAATGTTGGTACCAACCAAGGTTATCTTTGAACCAGAAGATCCTAGGCCCTTGAGCCCAGAGTCATAAAGAGGTTTAAGCATCAAATAGCGAGTATTTATTGTTATAATTTTCAGTGTTTTAGAATCTGTTATGTAGTTGATGCTTTTCATACATCACACATTCAAACCTTGCAGGCCACCTATATTAGTTTCCTTGGGTTGCCATAACAAAGTATCAAAAACTGGATGGCTAAAAACAACAGTAATTTACTGTCTCACGGTTCTGCAAGCCAGAAGTCCAAGTCCAGAATCAGGGTGTCAGCAGGCCCATGCTCTTTCTGATGTCTCTAAGGGAGAATCCTCCCTTGCTTCTTCTGGTTTCTGGTGTTTCTCTGCAATTCTTGTCATTCCTTGGCTGGTAGAGGTATCACTCCAGTCATGTGGCTGCCTTTTCCCTGCATGTCATCAAATCATCTTCCCTCTGTCATGTCTGCATCTGTGTCCAAATTCCCCCTTTTGATAAGGACACCAGTCACATTGGATTGGGCCTACCCCAATTACCTCATTTTAATTGGGTTACCTCTGTTAAAATCCTGTCTCCAAATGGGGTCACATTCTGAGGCATTGGGGATTAGAACTTCAACATATCTTTTTAGAGGGATACAATTTAGCCATTAATAGCACCCATTAAGGTTTGTATTACAGATGAGGTATTTGAGCCTAATAGGGTCAAGAAAGGTGTCCAGGTCACACAGCTCCACGTCTTCTGGACTAGATCCCCACACTCCTTGGCTTCCCTGTGCTGGCTCTTCTGGTGTGTCATTCTGGGCAGGGTGAGCTGGCCTGTCTTATGACATGGTTGATCCTGCAGTTCTCTACAGCACATATTTGTCTGAATTTGATCAATCAGTTCTGTAATCTTTGCATGAACTATCTCAACTGGAGATGTCCTTTCCCTTTTCTGTGTCTCAAATAGTGGCTGACCCTCACCATGCCTGCCCATGTACAGTCAGAGGACACCCTGAATGCTACAGGAATGAGGGGAAGGGGGTATTTGGTATCTAAGCCATCCTTTTGCCTTGCTTGTTTCCACTAAGGTTGTTTCCACTAGTTGACCACTGCTCTACTATGGCCTCCACTGACCAGTCCATGCAGTCTCCCAGTGCCCTCCTCTTCTGTCCCATGAGCTTTCTTAGACCTGCTAGCCCCCTGTTAGTCACTGTCTCAGTCCTATCAGGGGTCTCTTAAGTTCTGGGTATGGGCAGGAGTGGAAATTGTGCATGACCTTGGCAGCCGGCTCTCTTCTCTGCTGCTGCCTGCTGCTGGGTGTCTCGCAATTCTTGCAGGATGCTTGTCATTGTCCTGGGTCAGCTCAACAGGCTCCTCTAGCCAGCTGGGCTCCTACTTCAGCTCTCACAGGCACTGTGGCTTTCTGAGGCTTCAATGCCAGCTCAGCTCCTACCTGGGCTCTCCTTCCCCTGGCTACCCTGGAAGGTCTCCTGGATTTCAAACTATGGCCACCTGTGTTCTACTCGGGCACATGAGATCTCTTCCACACCCTTAGGGAGGCAGTCTAGGGGGTTGAGGTAGGAGGAATTATTTCCTCTGGCCCTCTCTTTGCCCATACCTATCATGTTGCCTTAGTCTATTTTATGCTGCTATAACAGAATAGCTGAGACAGTAATTTGTAATAAACAAAAAGGTATTTCTCATAGTTCTGAAGACTGGGAAGTCCAAGATCAAGGTGCTGGCATCTCGGGGGTTGGGGGGGCTTTTTTGCATGCCATCATATTGTAGAAGGCACAGAAATGGCAGAAGGGCAGAGAGAGGTTAAGAGGAGAAAAGGGGGCTGAACTAACCCTTTTATAATGAACCCAATCCCATGATAGTGGCATTAATCCATTCATAAGGGTGGAGCCCTCCCTTATGGCTTAATCACCTTGTAAAGGTTCCACCTCTTAATACTGTTACAATGGCAATTAAATTTCAACATGAGTTTTGGAGGATATAAGCATTCAAACCATTACACCTTTCATCTACACAACTCTCCATAGTGGTGTGGTCCTCTGGGTCCAGGCAAGAACACTGATACTACTAGTCCAGGCAAGAAGCATGGTAAAGGCCTCTTGGCTCACTATGTGGAGTTCTCCACCACCCCCTCTCCCAGGGTTTCAACCTCAAAGTAGAACATGGAGCATGGCCAATACTTACCACTGAAACTTGTTTGTAGTCATCTTCCCATCTTCTTCAGGATTTTCTCTCAAGTCTAGAAAAGGTCCTACCTCTTCTCTGTGTGATGGTGCAACTGTCTTTACATCCTTAGGAACTTCTTCCTCTAATTTGTAGTGTAAATTCTATGCTTGAGTCCTTCAGCCTTTTCTTGCCACAGTCAAAGCTAAGTTTTGATATTAAAACGAAAACAATGCAGCAATAACTACAGTGAGTCCTAGCTCTTGCAATAGCAAATATTGGCTTTCAAGAACTCAAAAACAATACTCTAAGTCTTGGTTCTCAAGAGGTTCTATGGTGCCCTGGGGCAATTAGCTTCAGCCTGATGGTCTAGTTTCAAAGGTGAAAGAGTTGTAGGTAAAAAGGCATTACCTATAAAGGAAAAGTCATGAGATAATATTTTAGAATATTGCTTTACTTTTGTTTAATCTTTAAGATTTTGCAGCCAAAAAGAGAATCTTTTCCTGGTACCACCCAGAATTTGTGAGTTTAGTAGGTTGAAGCATCCTTTTGATGAATCCTAGATTCTGGCCTGCAGGATTTGATTGGTTTTGCTCTAGTCTAGGGCCAGAGATAATATCTCTAATTCTGGCTTCTCACATCCCAAACATGTGCTATCAGTCCCTGGCATGTAGGTAGGGATGAATAAGCACAAGCTTGTCGGCTTCTAGATATACTAGTAATGGGAAATACTGACTTGTTACTGAGTTTCTAGCCTTATCTTTCTTTATTAGCAGGGGCCATGTCACTTTATGCCTGTCACCAACACTATAAACCTGATCATCTTATCTAATCTGTCATTTTGCAAATATAAAAATGGAACTCTCAAAAGGTAAGAAAAAAATGCCCCAAAGATTCCAAAGCTTCATTGTAGTGAAGTCAAAGACAATGAGCATTGGGCACATAGAAGTTCAAGAAGATCAGAACTCCCACCACATTTTCTCTGCACCACCCCATGCTGCCATGAGGGTTCCTTGCTCTTCCCAACCAACAGATTGTTTTTCTACTATAAATATCCAGTTTGGAGGTGGAGGTGGACAAGTGCAAATGCTCGACCCCAAGAAACTCCAATCCATCTGCTCATGGCTGCCGAAGATAGAATTTCTGATGAGCTGGGACCTCCGTTTCTTTGCCAAGAGACTTTAGCCCACATGCCAAGAAAGGATTTAGTCCTCTGCTCAGATGAACCCCTGTCTAAGAGTGTGGAGATTACAGTGAAGGCTGTTCTTGACGCATCTATGGCATTCTATCCAGCAACCCCTGCTCTGGAGGAAAAGACACTGGGTAGACACAGACAGTAGGCAAGGATGAGCGGTTCCCATTTTCAGTTCTAGTTGACACCACTGTGGGCAGCAGCAGCAGTCTCTGCAAAGCCTGGGCCAGCCACAACACCATGCAGAAAGTTCTGTGGATATTTAAAAGCCAGCTGTCAGTTCAAGCTTGTTCCACTGAGCTTTCAGTCCTGATGGCTAGACTGGCAGTGTTCCCACTTGTAAACCTGGAAGGAAAATTGACTTGCTGTCAGTCATAACTACCTTTTCACACAGTTTTTGTTTTCAAAGCAGAGACCCCCATCCCCCACCCCCTGACAACTTGAAACCCTCTGTTCTTTCTAGAAGAATATACAGGATCTCCCCACTCTCACAATGGAAAGACAATATTGAGAATTTTTAAAGCAATTGAAGGAAATAGATCTACATGCCATAAAATGGTGGGATGCCAGGGCAGGGCAAGCTGCCCTTAATTGACCGTATCCCACACAAACACAAAAACACCATTCCCTTCTCTCATGTAAATAAGATTACGTGAAAATATCATGGACAATCTTGTAAGTAAAAAAAATAAGTTAAATGAATCACAAAAGGGCTTCTTTGAAAGGAGGTAAAAATCATCCCACAAGCTTTCTTTTGCTGAAAGTTGCAGAAGAAGGGAGGGTTTATTCCATGTGCACAGAGTGATTGTAATGTAATAAGACTGCTATTCTTGTGTGGCTCGTTAACTAGCCTTAAAGATAATTCTAAGAGAAGTTCAAAGGATATTTTGAGCAGTGGGAGAATCAGCAAAGGCATTGCTTTGAATGACAGCCCTCCCTTGGATCTCTGTAAAAAGTTAATCACATTTCATATGCAAATAGAGACCCCCCAGGTACAGTGTCAGGCTTCATTCATTTATTTAAATGGTATTTCTGAGCTCTTACCCAGTGTGCAGCACTGTGCCAGGTTCTACGGGGCATACAAAAAAGGTAGGCTTCATTTTCCTGCCCCTGCTCTCTTTGGGGAGAAGTTAGGTTGTACAGCACAAAACATTTAACTGACACGCAAGACAGAATTGTCAAAATAATTGGCCACACCTCATGTGAGAGCGTCAAGCTGTCTTGCATCAGCTGCCAGAGCCACCTCCCCACTTTTCTCCCCAGCAGCTGCCTCCCCGAATCAAATGTCTAGATGTCAGGTAGTGGGCTTCTTGGGGTCGACTCTGTAGGTGAATGCCTTGATGGTGGGGGCCTGTCTCCAGCTTTCCTTTCCTTATGCCGTTTGGACCTCAGCATCTTTTCAGGGATCTCTGATGTGTCTAAGTTGCCATGGGGACCAATAGCCTCCTTAAAAACTGAAGCCACCCCGCTGAAAGGGAAAGGGAAGGAAGAAGGAAAGCAATGGAAGGATAAAAGGCAGGACCTGCCTGGGGATCAGAATAGAAGTTGGGTATCCAAGGGAAGGACTATGGGAAAGAAGGGTGGGTGGTGCTGCTGACCCTCTCCCCTCTATTTCCAAGGACGGAACCCCTGCCCTGGCCTCTTTGTCTCCTACCCCATTTCTTCTCTATCATTTTACCCATCACCATCCCAAACTGACCTTGTCTGTACTCCTCAAAACCTCAGTGGGTTATAACTGATACTAGATAACATCCAAATTCCTGACCTTGACCATCCCATTCATCCAAATGACTTTTCCATACTTTATGCCCACTGCTCTTCTGTCAAATCCTCAGCTCCCACCACATTGGTCTAATCGCCATTGCCCAAATGTGCCCTTCATTTTCTTTCTCAGACCCTCCCTTCTGCCTGGTCTGCCAGTCCCACCTATCTTCCGTATTGAACCTGCTCATACTTCAAGCCCCTCTCCATGCTCACCAGCCCACAGCAAGCTTGTCTTCCTGCCTTTGACTCCTCATCATTCCTACAGTCTGTAGCACTCCCATAGCCCATGTAAAATATCTTGTGTTATATAATGATGGCTAAATGCTTAGCAAATCTTAAATTCAGTCAGGCAGGCAGGCAGGTAGGCAGGCAAGAAGGAAGGAAGGAAAGAAGGAAGGAAGGAAGGAAGGAAGGAAGGAAGGAAGGAAGGAAAGAAGGAACGAAGGGAAGGATAGGAGGAAGGGAGGGAGGGAGGGAGAGAGGGAGGACTTACCTCAGCCTCTAGCTCTGAATAAATGGGACTTATGATGGGAAATGGTGAAGGATTCTCAGTCAGTTATTTTTGCTTAGTTGAGAGAGTTATACAGATAACATTTGGTGGTAGCACTGTGGCCAAGGCAAAGAGTTCCTGGCCTTGGTGAGTTGAGACAGGGCCTGCCATGACATCCAGGGTTCCTGGCAGTAGAGGAGGGGGCTTCTGCCTAGACAGACTTCACCTCACCAGGGGTAGCCACCACCCTCACCTGCTCCAGCATCAGAACCCACAGAAGTACTCCTTCGTCACAGCTACAGGATGACACACTAATTGCCAGGCTGGCTCTCATTTAAATTCTTCTCAATGGTGAGTGCAGAAGAGGTGACAAAATCCCCACAGGATTTCCATTTGTTTTAATTCTAGTTCAGCTCCAGGGATCTCCTCATTAAGCCACATCACTGAAGCCATTAGGGGCCAGAGACTAGGCAGAGGCAGTGAACCCAAGGTGGAGCTGTGGCCTTGAGGGTCTCCCTCCTCCCTTCTCTCATTCATCTCTCTCCCCACTGTTCCTGCATCGATCTAGGTAATGCTCCCCCTCTGTATGCCCATGTCATTTTCATATTCTATCCACTGAGCTATTTGCACTGTTTGTATTTTCTGCCTGTTCTGCTTTACAGCCCCTTTTCATCCACAGCATCTATCCTGTTGATATTCTGTTCTATTTATATTCCCCTCCAGTGCCTTTCCTCTCCCTCCTTTTTAATCTCTTTTATCAATCTTGTTTACCTTCTCTATGGCCCCTCATCTTGCTATTGTCTGGTTATCTATGTAGTTAAATTGCCCTCACCCCTCCCTCTCTGTCCCCAGATCTCCCCTGAATGCATCCAGTTTCCCCCGGCAGGCCTGCCCGCTCCACCTCACACCCACGTCCACATTTGACAAGTGGAACCTACTAAACTCCACTGTGAGGCGAGCCCTGCTCAGCCAGGCACACACAACTACAGACCCGAGAGGTCTGGATCTATTCACTACTAATAACAAGCGCTAACATATATTGAGCATCCAGCACACGGCAGGCCCTGGGCTGGGTCTTCATTTTCTGCTTTCAACAACTTTTCAAAGCAATTTCCTCCTTATATTACAGAGGAGGAAGCCGAGGTTCAGGGAGGTGAAATAACTCGCTCAAGGTCACACAGTTAATATGTAGGATATTGACAACCCACTCTTAGTTATCTGCATGAGCAATGGCATGGATAATCTTTCCCTGCAGAAAAATGTGAAACTCATTTCTAATAGGCTCGGGAATATAGCATTTGGGGCAGTAGATTTCCCTCCTCGTGCTGCTCTGCTGCAGCTGGACCATCAAATACAGTGCAGGAAAGGCCAATGGGTAGACCACAGATTCTGAACACTCTGACAGTTAGCGTGGCCCTCCACAGAAACGATATTATAGATGGCATTATTTACAGGCGCAGGAAGGGTCAGTATGATAGCTGCCAGCCCCTTTCCCTACCTCGCTCCCAAACCCGCACCCCCAGCCCTCCAAGCCACTTGTACTTCCTGAGCACCCACACTGACCAAGGCTTGTGTGGGGCAGTGTCAGACATCTAGTGAAGATGGAAGATTCCAGTGTGGCCTCAGATAAATCATGGCAAGAGTAATTGATTGTCTGTTGTGTGTTAGGCAGCAGGGAGATCCCGGAAATGGAACCGTCATGGCCCAAGAGGGTGACCAGGGAATCCTCAGGTCACTTGGTCAAGTAAAAGAAATGTCTTCACTCCCAGACCTAGCAAACTCCTAAAACGCTGATCCCAAGGACAAAGAAAAGTAATAACAAGACACAACCTGCCCAACAAACTGTGGGGGAAGTTATTGAACTACTTGAAGGCAGTTACCCCAAATTCTTCCCTGGGCCCCTATTGTCTCTAGAGTTGGATCCAGACTCCCTAGCCTGAGATTCAAGACTCTCTGTAGCCTACATCTTGTACCCTATATATGCTTACCCCGCTGCATGAACTCCCTTTCCCTGCCAGATGAGAATAACACAAGGTCTCTAATCACCCTGCATATGGTGTGGGGGAATGAATTGAAACCCCCAGGGGGCATGCTTGAAAAAGAATGGATGGCCCTTCTTTGGCTAATTACCAGGGTCTTTATATTAGTCTTTGAGGATTTTACAGAGTCCAGTGATGGGAAAACACATGCATCTCAATTATCATACACAGAGTAGAGAAATAATGAGCACTAAAATAAGTTGTAATTAGTGTGAATTGGGAGCACAGAGGAAGAGGAGCCTTATTTTGGTTTGGGGGTTTAAGAAGGCTTCATGGAAGAGGTGGCATCTAAAAAAATAGTGTCTCAAAAATGAAGTAGGATTATGCAGAGTCTCAAAAAATGAATAGGATGTATACAGATATTCTAAGTGAAAGGGTGAACATTTAGCAAAGGATAGTAAAGTTTATGAAGTATTTACAAGCTTGGGATGGTGTGGTGGGATGATGATGGAGGTGGGGAAAGATCATGCTTTTATGTGAGTAGCTGGTGTCACTAAGGATAAATTCCTAGGGGCAGTGGCCTTGTCTTTGTAGCTGCTGTGCCTAGTACAGTCAGGGCTGGTCCTGAAAGAATATTTCTGATCATTGGTGATAGATGGTAATCATGATGGCCTGTGCAAGGGTGGTACCAGTGCTGCTTTATGAGACTCAAGTCACTGTCGCAGTGAGGCTAAGGATCACCCACCAGCGCCCGGAAATACTGAATAGATTTCTGACTGCACTTCCTCCTCTCCTCCCACCTTGCTCAAATTCTCTCCACCTGACTTTGCATCTCTTTCAGGGAAAACCGGTGGGAAATTGCCAAGCTGACTGAGAGCCCCCTGCCCATGGTGATAGACCCTGTCACAGAAAAGTAATTTCTTTTTAAACTTCTATCCAGTGAAATCCCGCAGCTGCACACAGCAGGCCCAGCTGTGCCATCACTGCCATCCTACCACAGCAGTGCTGGGGAATAAAGGAAAATTCTTAGCATTAAATTTCATGTAAATCAGACTTTATTTGCTCTGGTGACGGGTTATTACCTTCTGCAGAGAATGAGGGGAAAAAATAGCTGCTGGCTGGAGGCACAGCTCCCCAAATGAGGATGTCTCGAATCGCAGCCCCTAGCAGAGCAGGCCTGGGCCATCCACTTTGCCACACCTTTTCCTTTGCCCCCACAGCTCCCAGGAGGATGACTTTTCCACTGGCATCTGCAGGCTCCAGCTTGGTTCAACTTAGCAGTGCAGTCCCCACCACTTAGCCTTCTCACTGCTTGTGTGGGGACAGCAACTTTTACCAACTGCCTCCTAAGCCCATCATACACAGTCCCCCGGTGCACTGTGGTGCGGGCTCTCTCCCACCTGGAATGCTCTATCCACTGCTGTCTACCTGGTTACATTCAATCTAGCCTTCAAGGCCCATCTCAAGTCCAAACCTCCACAAAGTCTTTCCTCACTACCCAATCTGAGGCACTCTCTCTCTCTCCTTTGAGTTCTACTCCTCTTTAGCCTCTGACTGATAGACTCCTATTAGCAACCAATACATTTATTGGGTGTCTATGTGCTAAAAATGATGGTTGGCATGTTCCTCATGTGTTCGTCAACCAGGCTGTGACAGGCTGAGGGTAGAGATGAGTACCCATGAATGCTTCTATCCAACCACGGTGCCTAGCACAAGGCTTGCACATAGTGGATTCTCAATAAAGGTGTTGGTCCCTGATAGAAGTATATCAGTCAGGACAGGCTAGGTTATGCTATAGTAAAAAATGCTCCCAAATGCTCAGTGGCTTAAAACAATGTAAGTTTATTTCTTGTTCACACCACCTGTCCATTGCAAGTTAGCTGGCAGACTCTGCTTATTTTAGTTTCTCAGGGACCCAGGCTGTTAGAACAGCCACCAACTTGAATATTGCTTGGGAAGGTCTCACACTGACAATGAAATAAAGCTTTGTCCTGGAAGTGACATGGTGTACCTCCACTCACAAGCCACATGGCCCCAGCAAACCTAAAGAGGCCAGAAAGTGCAATCCTGCCAGGCCTCCAGAAGGCAGAGAGCAAGAGATACTTGGTCAATAGCACCAATGACTTCTCCAGACTGCTTAGTTACTAAATTCCATGAGGAATGTGCTACATCTGTTTTGTCCACCACTGAATCCCTAATGGCTGACACAGTACATAATAGGTACTCAGTAAATACATAGGCTGATAGTCAACTTTTTCTGACCCTTTATCTTCATGCAGAACGGAGCTCATGTGCTTTCTTGGCCTTTGATCTGCCTTCCGTGCCTCTGTGACCATCAGCACTTGGAAGGAAGCAGCATGCCTTCACTGCTTTGCAGTCCTTACACACAAGGGTCAGTGTTGCTTAGGTGTATTGCCTTCTGCACCATAGGAGAGGAAAGAAAGGAGGGGAACAATTATCTGTTGAGGCTGATCTTTGTTATTTGGTAAGCAGACACTTTTTGAAAAGTATGTGTATAAAAAGGTTGTGTGTGTGTGTGTGTATGTACAAGTGTGTACTGGATGGGAAGAAGGTAGAAGATAGCGCCATATCTTATCGCTGCATATCTCCCACTAGCAGTTAATCAGTGTCATGTTTGATGCAACTCTTGGTAGTGGGGATTGGAGGGAAAGACCTGAGGAAATGGTGTGATTCTTTGACTCCTACTCCCATCTTTTCTTTCATTTGATCCTCTTTTTTCTCTCTCTTCTTCTTTTTTCTGTACTTTGATTATCTTATACCTTTTCTTAAAACCACAGGAGCAGACAGAAAAGGACAATGGGGACAGGACGTCTTTTCATTTCACCCAGGGTGGGGAGAAAGGAGAAGGTTTTGGGAATGCGAGAACTGGACTTGGGTCTGGCTGGAGATTGGTCATCATTTAAGGCCATGGTAATGGCCTGAAGGTCCTTGTCATGGTCACAGGTTAGATCCACAGCACTTAACTAGGTTTAGGATCCCTGACAGAGGAAGTTGGGAGCAGACATCATCCCAGGTCTTCTCTCCACGCCCACTCCCACCACCTCTCATCTTCCTCTTCAAGACCTGAGATAAAAAACAACTGGGATCTGATCTCCCAACTCATATCCAAGGAAGGGCCCCCTTGGCCAACCATCCCATATGCAGGAAATGGGAAGAAGACTGAGGTTTTTTGTTTTTATTTTAATTGCTCATGCCAAGCCTTATTGTGGGCTTTTCTAGCATCTCTGACCAAGGGCTGCCATTCAGAGAAGGCAGAGCTCATCCAGTAGCATTGCTGCCTCCACAGCCTCCAATTCTGGACATCTGCCAAGCTCACCATCTGTACCCTACGGCCAGGAGTATGCATTGCCAGCTTCTGCATCAACTCCCACGCCCACCCTGCCACCCCCAGCCGTGCTGGAAATCTGCCAGTGCCCCAGATTGCAACATACAATCGGATAAGCTTTGCCAGGTTTATGGCTGGTAATTTATGGCCTTCTTTAGCAACATCTATCATGCTGTACAGTCGTTAATCCCACAGTCTTTGCCCACTTTGCAGAAAATAGCTTGCAATTCCTTACAGTGTAGCATTTGCTAACTCACCTGTTGGGCTGTCAGGCTGGGTGGGTGTGACAAGCTACTCTCCAGTTACTTCTTTCCATCTTACTTTGCTTAGCAAGCCAGGCCTTCTCCCTCCAGAAAACAGCAGCCAGGATCTTTATTACTCAGCCACCATCCTGCTCTCCCACACGACTGCTGCAGTGCTAGCTCCATACCTCACCTCCCTGCTTCCTGGAAAAGCCGCAGGGCTCTGAGGGAGGGTGGGCTCACAACCCTAGCAAGGGCAGAATCTTTTACTGGTACAAAACAGAAGGCAGGTTGCAGGTGACATAAATTTATTTCTTCCTTAATCAAAGTCAGAGAGTAGCTGGTGGAGTGTGGCTGGAGGGTGTACACACACACTTGTACACAAGTACAGGGAGTATGAAATACCTCTATGGTCAACGTCTGCTTAGGCACGCTAATCAGAGGATCAATTTGGACCACTAAAAACTGCCAACAAATGCAAACAAGATGATATATAATGCATTTAGCTTCAGGATGAATCGCAAGATATTTAACAGTCAATCTTCTCAACTTAAGCTATTAAAATTAAGCCTCCTTCTCTTGAGGCATGTCTCCCTGGACGAAAAAGAAAGTCACCTGGGAAATTCTAAATCATGGTTAGGGAGGCTAGGTAGGGTGAAAGGATATGAGCTCTACTCATATGGCATCTAGAATGCATATGGATGAATTTATTTTATTTTATTTTATTTTAGAGAAAGATGTGAATGAGACAAACATACTGGAAGGGAATACACCAAAATGATAAAATAGTTAAATTCAGATGTTGGAATATATATATATATATATTCTCTCTATATGTAATTTATATGTTATTCTGTTACATGTAATTATATTATGGTATATGTATCTTTCAATTTTTTTATGTATTCTAAGTTTCTTATAATAAGCCTGTACTTTTGTACTTGAACTAAACACAAACACCACAGATGGATGACAGTGCCCATTATGATTGACTGACTGATTGATGTGACCCGCATCAAAGGTGCTTCTCCCTCTCCTGTACACTCTTCAGAAAATATCAAGAGGAATATCAAGAGGGACATTATCTGTCCATTTTTTTTCTTTGGGCCCATTCTCTACTAAAATACCTCAGCCTCTTCTGGTTTCATAAGTGGTTTTCTGACAGTAAATATAGGAATGAAGTCTTGATTACTAAAGAATGTAAATATTTCCAGATGTAAATGTCATATTCTTTATGGTATCCTCACTGCTTAGCTCAGGACATTCAAGAAATTGTTGAATGAATGAATGAGCAAATGAATGAAATGGCAGTGGCTACTCTTTAAGCCAACTGAGGCAGTAGGCTCAGGCTGAGGTCGTTCTGCTGACCTCGGTGTGAGCTCATTAACATTAGTGCACATCAGTGCTGTCAGTAGTAGCGGCCCATGATCTTTGTTCCTGTCCAATCCAGGTGTAGAAGGTGCTCAGACAGCACAGACTGCTGAGGGTGAGGGTGCTTCTCATGAGACTGCAGGCATCATGAAGTTTGTTCAACAACAAACACCTAGGGTGTTTGTTTCCTTATTTGTTTTATTGGTGGCTACTTCCTTGAGGGCAAATAGGCCTGGTTCCATGGAAAGCATGCATACTCCCTACATAAAGTTTCACTTGGACTCTGGTGGTTGTGCCAGGGTTGCCTTTGACAGTCCCTACTCTGCCTGATGCTCTTTTTGGAACTTGGCCTCTGAAGACACAAGTAAAGTGGCATTGACATTAGATTTCAACCCAAGTATGAATCTGGGGGGCTCATCAGCCCAGGGCTGGAGTAAAACATGCAGGTAGTTGGATGAATTCACGCCTGGAGGTTAGTGGGGTGACAGCAGGAGAAGGACATGGAGTGAAAAATGCAAAGGTGTGGCTAAATGGAGGGCAAAGTCATGCATCCAGATTTTCAGGGCGGATAGGAGAGGAAGTGGAGTTATGTGTGAGTTAATGGAGTAGGCAAAATGGAAGGGTTTTAGCATACAGGTTAGCAGTATAAGCTCTGGGGCACTTGCCAGCTTTTTAACACATTTGTTAATTGTGCCACTTTGAGGGAATTGCTCTAAGCTGAGGCTTCCTCATCTGTAACATGGAGATAGTAATAACACGTACATCTATAGAGTTGTTGTGAGGATAAATTAGATAATATACACACAGGATTTGGCACATAAAAAGCTTCCAGTAAACATCAACTATAGAATTATATTTTTACTGAGATTCAAAAGAAGATGGGGCTTTAAAAAGGCACTAAAAGAGAGAGAAAGAGAAGGAGAGGTGGTCAGAGAGTGATATGACAAAGTGAACATTCTAAAGGTGGAGCAGTCCCATGTTATGATAGCTTCTCAACTGGGCCAAGGTCATGGGACTCCAGGATGGGTTGCGGACAAAGGTGTTTAGTTCAGAAGGTAAAGAAACTTTAAGGTTGAGGTGTTAGATGGGTTAGAGCTAACTCTGATGATGAGTGGGGCTGGGTGAAGAGCAGAGAGTGCCACAATTCTAAATGGAGGTGGGTCTGGAAGACAGTAAATGACATCAATCTACATGCACCTCAAGGAATGTCAACACCATCTCTGGGTCCTATTGGGTGAGAGAAGGAGGAGTAGCCTCCAATGAAAAAACCTGGAGATTCTGGTGTCATGTGAAGAGACATGTTTCTATTTAGGAAAGGTGTGGGAGAAAAAACATTATGGAAATATTTGGAGATATTGGTAGTGAGTTTTGTTTTTTGCAATGGAGTCTGGAATGCAATTTAATTTTGATGACTCCTTTTATAAAGGAGTCATTTGTGCTGTAAGGAATAGATTTGTGAAAGGGGGAACATTATAAAGAAAAAGAGAGAGAAGGAAGAAGGGACAAAAGGAGAAAGCGGAAAAATGGAAGGAAAAAAGGAAAGAAGAAGGGAAGAGAGAAAAAGATAAATTCAATCTTCGTACATGAAAAGGCACCCTCACTCTGATTTGTGGGGAATCTTTACATATCAATCTTGGTACCCTAGTCTTTGGGGGTATAGTCAGCTATGGCACAGACTAAAGTAATAAAATCCATTCATGTCATATCATTCATGTCTACCCTGCACATGAACACCCCCCACACACCCTCTCCAAGTGGTAATGAAAACAGCTGCCTTTTTTAGCCTCATAAAAGCTCAGCTCCTTTCTTTTTTCTCCTCCGCACCCCAACTGCCCTCAATTACCATTTTAATCAGAGTTTGAGGGGTGAGAAAGATGGACAGAGTTGTGCAAATGACCCTGCCCCTCGGCCTGAAATTGAGGTGGGTTTGTAAAGTTCATCCTGGGCCTCTGGAGACATTCACAAAGATCACAAATCAGCAGTTTGGTCTTCTCCACACAAAAGGAGCGGGGATGAAAGAAGCAGAGTATAAGGGCCAGGAAAGTGTGTGTGTGCAGATCTATACAAAACCTATAGATGGAATTCCTAGGACTCCTATTTATAGAACTTGAAGGAAAGCCTTTTTATCCATAATTGTATGTGAAGGAGGAGTGGGTAGGATGCATAAGGTCTTGGCCGCCAGCTAACCATATTGACTCAAATGTACAGCCATTGTTTATGGCTGAGCCTGAGGGGTAGACTGGAAGAGGGTACATGGATGACTAGAGAGAGCTACAGTCTTGGATCTCAGGCTTATCAACTTGGTAACCTGGAAAACGACCTAACCTTTCTGAGTCTCATTGTCTATCTCCTGTAAATCTGCCTGCCCGATAAGAATCAAATAAGTCACTGTGAAAGTGTTTAGCAAAGTGTAAAGCTCTTTGCAAATCCAAAAATATCATTAGAGTAAGTGCTTAATAAGTACTTGTTGAATGAGTGAATAAATGGAGCTCAGCCATGGTGTGCTATTAATTTTGATGACATATTGATATCACCGGCAAGCATTTTATCGATCGCTGACAGTTCTATGAGTACCGGTCAAAACAAAACTGCAAAAACCACAAATTTCATCACAGAGTGATATATGGTTTTACACTGGTTTTTCTTTGTTTCATTTGTCTCTGTCTTGTCCCAACAATTATATCGTCAGCTGCTTGAAAGCAGAGATCCAGTTGTATACAGCTTGCCTGGCATCAGCTAGGAACAATAGTTGACCTTAGTAAATATTTGGGGATTGAATCTTTGGTTCTTTTGTGGACACAATTTGGGATGCTGGGAGGACATTCATGCATGGGACAGCCCTCTGCTGGTCAGACTGAAGGGGTGGGGAAGAAGGAGGGCTAGTGGAGAGCACTCTTGAAGCGCTCTTGAAGACCTGTCTGCAGATGTCTTTATCTCCTGTGTTCAACTCATGTGCCTCTAATTAAATAAGAGAAAAATGGGATGTCCACAGCAAGTGCAATTGAGATGCAACTTTCTTCCTAGCCCTTTGGGTAGCGTTTTGCCATCTCCTAGAGGGTTAACTTATCGGCTTTCTTTGCCTTCTCTCATCCTCACTTTCAGTGCTGTGTTTCCTCTCCTTCCCGGCCAACCACGGGCCCTTCCTTGGCAGTCCCTGCATAGAAGGTAGAATAAAAATACTGAGACTAGAAAAAAAAGCCTCTTACTTAAAAAAAAAAGTGGACAGGGCAAGAGAGAGAAACCCTTCAAAGGAACTTTTCCTTAGTCTTGGCATCAAAATGAAGGCAAGCTCTTCCTTTTCAATGCAGTCTGCACTGAAGAGAGTGAAACTGCCTTGCCTTCATTGTATTCCATTTCATCTATCTGGAAGCCATTATGGCTTCCTTCAAGAGTCTCAAGTCCCTAAGAGGAGGGTTCCTGTGAACTCTAGCCTCAGCACATTGCTCTTCTGTGCACTGTGCCTTGCAGTAGAAACCGTGAACAGAGATGAAGTGACTTGCAGGGCTCCAGCAATTGATCCAGGATTGGATGGGAGGCCGAGGACTGGATACACGAGATAACAGGCTCCAGAACCTCAGAGAGTGAAATAAGCAGAAGGACCCATGCAAAGGGAGAGCACATAGTGCAAAGAGGCAGACAAGAGGTGCAAAGGACTGATGGATGGAGGGAGACAGATCATTTCAAATCTGAGCACCTCTTGTAAAGTGAAGGATCTTCTCTATGGGAAGGGATGGAGCTATTAACAGGACAAATTGATTGCCGAGGAATGCCCACAAAGCTTGTTTCATGGGCCCGAGGCTCTTTAAACAATTACATGAAACAGGTAGAAACTAGCTATCAACAAGGAAAAAGAAAAAAAAAAACAGCAGTTAGGCTTGTATGTTTAAAGAGAGAAAAGCAGTGATCCATCATCATACTTCAGACAGCTAAATAATTATTTACTATATGAGGGTGATAGTATATGAAAAGAAACCTGAAAAGCAGTCCTTGAATGGGCACCTGCCTGTCCACAGCTGGACCTGAGTGGGACTTTGCTCTGGGACCACAGAGGCTTGGGCTTGAGATGATCTGTCAGCTGTAAGAGCTCATGTTGCCTTCAGCAAGGTCAAACAAGAAACTTGAAAATATTTTGGCAGACTTATGTTATTGTAAAGAAATATACCTGCTAACTTGTTATTATCCCTGGTTTAGGGACATAAGGATGACAGGAAAATTGAAATAAAGAAATGGCCAGACTGCATTTTCATCATTAATTTCTCCAGTCTTTGTTTTCCTTGATTTTTTTTTAAGTTAAACTATAGGAATTGTGAGACTGGCAGAAGCTCATTAAGAACGTCCATCCCACTTCATTCACATGAAAGTATCAGAGATTCCTAGAATGATCAAGGAGTTGGAGGGCCATGCTTAGAAAGCCCCTACTTCTCTTGCAATTTCACAGGAGAGGCAAATGAGTTCCAGAGCAGGGAGGGGCTTGTGCAGGGCATACAGGGGCAGAGGTCCCAGGTTCCTCCTTCTCACTCCCCACTCTCTTCCACAAGACCACACTTTCCACCTTAGATAGAAAGAGTTCTTGATATGACATGAACATCACAACAGAGATGCTCCTCCCATGGCCATGTTAGACCCGCAGATGCTTCAACCATCATTTCCTCGTTGCCCTGGCTCTGAGGTGTTTTCTAAATAGCACATCACCTGACTGCTTGGGGGATGGCACAAGGTTCTGCTGCAAGTCAATCATCACAGTCCTCCGTGGCCTCCTGGGAGGCAGCCCTGAAAGGCTGTTTCTGTCTAGGTTGAACTTTCATTGTGCACATGCTAGCCCATCAGCCCGCAGCACTGTCAGCTCTCAGGGACTCGCTTGGCAGATGGTCCAGTGGAAATGCCTCGACATGGGCCACCTTTCCTTTTCCAATGCATACATCCCAGGCTCTTCTTTTCTCATAGGAAATTTACACTTAAATATTGTTCCAAACAAAATTAAACGTAATTATACACACATGATTTTTAGGAGATCTGAGGTCTTAAATTTTTCATGCCAAGGCTTGAACAGGAGGACTAATAAAAGGGTAACCACTGTAGGTGTCTTAAAGATCTTGAGATATCATTTTTAAAAATGCAACTCAGGCTGAGGGAAACAGGGCAGAAAATAAAAACATGAGTAATGGTTTTGTGGAAAAGAATATAAAGCCATGGGGGCTAATGGCACACAAGATGTGCCACATTTCAGTAGGGACAGTAGCTGCAGACATGATTTGATGCATTCTCTTTCTGTTCCCTAAAGAATACTTTGAAAAGTAACAGTCTAGGGACTAAAGTTATAAGAATTATTTTCTCCTTGTGGACAAAAAAACGTAGACTTATGATATTCAAGTGAGTAGGAGATTGCAGAGGGATGGAATAGATGGCAGGAGTGAGGTTGATTAATCTGGGGAATCAGAACGTGAGCATGCCTCATTCAGCAGCTGCCTGGCCATCCATGACATGGAGACTTCGTGTCACTCAAACACTCCGTGGTGACTGTAGGAGTCATGTTTCTGAAAAGAAAGAATTCAAGGGTAGGCAGTCAGAAGAGGAAGATCCCCTTCCAGCTGAACCCCCTTTCTCACTGGCAATCCCAGAAAATCTGCAGCAGGCAGCATGTGGCTTGGGGGCCCTATAGCTCCAAGGACTACACATGGACTCCCTCACTCACCTTCTACTCAGGGCCCATGTGCACCGCACAGGCTGTTCTCTTGCAAGGCGGGGCCTCTGCCAGAGACTCTCAAACACCGTGTTGTCAGCACTTTTCTCTGCCTTCACCACCCGCTCTCGTCCATCATACTTAACATGTAGCAAATGGATTCATTTGGATTTCATCTCCTTTTTATTTCCCCTACTCACCCCATTTTGGGATTGCTAGTAAACTACATCATAGGGTAAAAGGCTGGCAGCCAGGGGAAAAGAATAAAAATGCAAGTGCAGAGCTAATGAATTAATTGGATTTTGATGTACTAAGAGTCCATAATGAACTCTCGTTTATTCAGGGATATGTTCCCAAGCTAATGTGGTCTTCTTTATTTTCTTCCTTCTCTGCTTGAGGCTGAGTAATTTAGACCTTGTATAGAGCAACAAGGAGTTTTGTGGAAATAACACAAAACAATCAACCAGGATCTGATTGTCTTGTCTTTTCTTTTGAAAGCCTTTTCAAGATTCTACCTGTTGTCCATCCCCTATTAGATTGCCTGCTTTTTGAGGGCCAGGTCTGAGTCCAGTTTCAATTCACATCCTTCCTGCCTTTCATTCCCACCCAAAATACCTTATGAACATGACAACAAATGTAATTCGTTTTTTAGTAGTTTCATGGTATTTCATTGTATGATACACCATAATTTATTTAACTAGAATCATTATTGGACACATAGATCATTTTTCAGTATTTCTAACAGTACTTTGATGAGCATCCTTTTAAGTAAGTCTTGTGCACTTTCTTAATTGTTTTCTGAGGGTAAAGTCCTAGAAAGTAATGCTGAAGAAAAAAGTCAATGTGTGTCTATAAGGGTTTGGATACATGTCACTGATTTACACTCCAAAAGTATTATGCCAACAATGTATAAGTGTTCCGATTTCCCTGCACCCTCACTCAGGGGATCCTGGGAGGACATTTTCTAGGGTTGGATCTCAGTGAGAAATAACTTCCTTACGTGGAATTGCTCCCAGTGGGTGGCATTATTATTCAGTGCTTTTACCCTCGGCTCCTGATCTCTGGGTTCAAGCCCTTTCAAATCTAATACTGTATATTTGTAAAGGTCAACCTATTGTTTTCATCCTCCACCGGTTTGTCTGACCTCGTTTGTAGATTCACCATTTCTGTTCTGTGATGTCACCTCTGGTGGGGATGGGAGTGGAATGAGGAGGGAAATGCTAAAAAGACAAGAGCCCCAGAAAGAAGCAACGTATCCTCGCCCACTCTTAGAAAGACAGCACCCTCAGAAACAAAATGTCTGGCTTGGCAGAGTCATCCTGTTTGTCCTTATTTGTAAAAAGAAAAGAAAGCCAAACTTTTGTGATTTTCTTAAGATCCAGGATTCTTTATGGGCTGAACCATTTAAAACATTTGCTCTCAAACTAGAATAGTGAGCTCAGCTTTTAGCCTTGGATGCTATGTCATAATTCTGGTTTATGGCAGTCCCTTGGGCATTCCTGCCTTTTAGCCATTTATTACTAGACTGAGATAAAGAGGAGATAGATTTTGAAACAAAGTTAGTGGTGAAGGAAAGGGCAAGGGTGCAGGTAGAAAGCTGAAGAGGGAAGCCAGACATAGGGCAGGCAAAGAGCCAAGGGCAGAACAAGAAGCTGGCAGAGGGGTGAGAAAATTGGAGGTGAGTGCTTTATCAAAGCCATCTGGGTTCCCAGGGCCTGCCTGCTTCAATACAGCAAGAATGCAGAAGGGCTCAGAAATCAGTGTGTAGGTGTGTTCAGGAGTGGCCCCAGTCTCCAGCTGACCTCCCCTCCCCAAAAACCACCCCAAATAAACATTTAATTTCATGTGTTCCCTAAGCTCCCCCCTTCAAACCAAATTGCACCCTGAAGCCCCTCCTATATGGAAATTCTGGAGCTGTCCCCAGGAATGTCTAGAGTCAGCATCAAAATGTGCAACCAATACAACATTATTTTTAAATATTCTGAGCCTCTAGGTACCATTTGATATATTAATTATGTAATTTACTGATTAAGTGGATTAATAAAGAACCACCACTCACGAGATTTTCTAAGGCTCTTGACGAGGGATTTCTTTCCCATCCTGTAAACCACAAAAGGCCCCAGGAAAGCATAACAACTGAATGCTAATGAGGGAACCTCTGGGGCAATGGATCTGAATCCAGGTGCCCACTTCGCAGCCGCCCGTCCTGCTTGGGGTGGTCAGAGAGACAGGGCAGGCAGCAGGAGGGAGGCCCCAGGGCCTCTGGCAGGGAAGACACAGGTACAATTCATTTTCCATAAGCTGCCAAGTGCCTTGAAGAAGTCAGGGTCTTGGAGAGCAGAGTGGGATTTCTGCAATTTGGCTTGTTGATGCTTACAGATTGCCTTGAGAGCACTTTTAAAGCTAATAATTATGCTTTTGCTAATCGTTGTCTAAATCAACAACTGGTTCTCTAGAAAGTCTGACTGTGACTCTGGTCTAAAGAATGAAGATTCAGCACACACCAGTTTCTGAAGTGATGGAGGAAAGCAAACAAGCCTGGCTTTTCCAGGAGGTTTTGTGAACTTTGGAGAAGGGTGGCGTGAGCCTTAGAGAAAGCACTTTGCTAAAACACAGAGCTGTAAGACAGAACCTTTATCACCCAGCCAACATGTCAGAAAGGACCCAATTGTTCACAGTTGATTGGAAAATAGAAGGCAGGAGAGTGTGTGTGAGGACAATACCAGCACTCACAGCTCGTCTTTCTCATGCATTCCAATAGCGATGCGTTTTCCCAGCAGAAGTCTCCATGTTGCTCCTTGCCAAAAGCGAGGAATGAATTTGGAACTTGGGCCAAAAGAGCTTAGTATATATGTCAACACTCTATAGAGATTTGTAAGGCTGCCCTAATTTAATTGATGGATGCCCTCTTCATTAGGGACTGGGGGCTGTCAAAGTGGACATTGAGGAGGCTAAGCAAAGGGAGAAATTGGGCTTGTGTCACCTCTTTTGTTCTCAAGGCTAGTAACTGGTGTGTCTTTTAATACCCTTTGATAGGCTGTTGAGGAGCATGAAATAGGCAAACCGTTAGCTAAGGAATGAAGTGCTTTCGTGGGGATTGCTAGTTTGCTAAGTGTTGATGGATCTTGTCCAGAAAATACTGCAAGTAATTTTTGTGTCCCAAGAAATGTGTTGACTGCTTTGAAAACTTTTTGAATCATAGCCTGTGTTCATCCACTTGCCTTTTTACTGGCTTTCTCCATTCCCTTTTTCTGTTCCTGGTGTGGCCAATCTAAAAGAGGGCAAATTCCTGCCCTTCCGTTAATTGTATGAAAACATACTTTAAAAGAAGGAAAAGAGAGAACCATGTCAGATGTATTTCAGGCCCGTGCCAATGTCATGGACTCATTGCAAGACAAATTTGTGGGCACCCAAGAGACCCTTTCATGGACAAATACATTGCCTTGCTTGGCTGACTCTGCATGGGGTTATGGGATCAATCATGCTTCCTGATTCAACCTCTCCATTTGGTCAACCACTGATTCTATCGATCTCTTCGTGGAACTTGGCCAATCATTTGATTGAATTAATCAACCTGAGTGGCTGTTTTTGTTTTTGTTTTCCTAGTAGACACAGCCAATACCTCAGGTTATCATTAGATGTTTTACTTCTGGTGTTTGGAGCCTGGCAGAGAAAAAGCAAAATGGACTGCTCATGACAGCAGCTAAAACCTGCAGCTTGACATAGCCAGCCAAATCCCTCTGTCCCTTGTCAGACAGTCTGCCTCAGGAGGGAGACTTCCCAGTAGTGGCCTCTACTGAGCCCCAGTAGCTCTCCTTTGGCCATGCTGTTCTACCACATCCTGTCTCTTGTTCTCTGCAGGGTCCACCCAAGACTTGCATTTCTGCAAGAATTCCTTGGGTATGGTGTGTGTTCTCCCTTGCTTAGTCATTCAGCCATAACCTTTCCATTTAGAATTCTACCCTGCCAATGGTTCAGCTCCCTAGTTCAACATTTTACATTTATCTCTATTGAATTCCAGTTGCCTTCTGTTACAAGAGGTGCTTAAATTATCTCAGCCTTGCTCCTTAGGCTCAGACTCCAAGTCCAGAACAAATCTGTTTAGCACTTAGGAATCACTGGCCATGTGAGGCACTTGGGCATATAAATGTGTCTGAGTTGAGCATTTATTGAATGATGGTGAGGGTGGAAGGCTTGGTTAGAGAACTTGGGAGCCACTGAATTTATAAAATTTCCATCAGGCTTCTTCAGTGCTGGAGAAAAAATGGACCAGAAAAATTATTTAGATAGTGAGAAAATAAATATAACAATATAGCTTATAGGAAAGGAGAAGCTAACATTGTGAACACCTACTAGATTTGAGCACCATCATGTACATCAAAATATAATGTAGCCTCTTTTGCCAAGGAGATTTACAATATATTAAGTCATTAGCCCTCTTATCCTTCTTCCACAGGTGATGGCAGGAAGTCATGTAATTTTTCTCATATTTCACGGCTGGAAGTTTGCTTCAGAAAGGGGAAAGAGCTTGTGATATGTGAGGAGTGGTCCCTAGCTGAACTGGTCTATTCTAATATTCTTGCCAATGGATCATGGCCACTGAAAACAGACTCAGGGGCCCAGGTCTCACGGGCCTCACAGGTCTCCAGAATAAGGGACTGTGTACTACAACATTATACATACCAAGCCATTATAGAAAAGTCCCAGCTCTAATGTGGGAAGAAATGAATACGAATCATTCCAACCAGTTTCTTTCCTTAGATGCACTCCTATCATTTTGCAATCTAGATTTGATTGACTCTTTAAGGTCTGGACACAGCAGAGTTTGTTAGCTTCTGTGTTTTCCTCCTCTGAAAATCAGGTCTTAATTCAGGCTTAAGCAGATGACTATGGGATCCACTGAGCATCTCTAGTACCATAAAACCCTACCAATTATGGGGCCAAAGAGCTCAAGGAGGCTGAAAAGCCTCTTGCATCCATTAATTCATGATTTCCTTCTGGTTCTCTGCTATTCTTTGCCTCCATGTGAGTGAAGGGAACAGAAGAAAGGAGGAAGAAACCAATCATAGGAGGTGGGGCTGGCATGGAAGGCGATCTATGTATGATGATTATGCTGCTTTCCGATTGTTTGAATATTGGGCCCCATTATCTCCTTCAGAAGCAGACAAGCAATAGCATTTTTTCTGAAGAGATAGGAGAGAAATGAGGTGACATCCTGAAATAACAGTGAGGCAAGCCAGAACACTGTTCAGTGAATTCAATATATTAATACTATGTAGAAAGGATGGAAAGAGAAACACATAACCAAGGACAAATACAAAAGAGTATTATAAGCCTGTAAAAATAGTGCCAGACAGGCTAACACTCAGAATGAGCAGAGACTAGAAAAATGCCAGAGACAACAAAAACAGCTTTCAGTAGCTATGTTCTGAATTAGAAGAACAAGGAAGGGACAAGCTCACTGCTTGGGGAACGTTAAAGATGCAACGTTAAAGATGAGAAGAGAAAGGAGAATCACTCAAGTATTTTGTTTCTTTACCAAAAGGCAAGATCTTTCAACAGAGAGGAACAAAATCGATTTTGTTAAAATAATCTTGAAACTCAAACTGGATAAACAAATTTAAGTGGTCACCCAGAGGCTTTAAAAGTTTTCAAACCTGACAAGTTTTATGCCAGAATTTTAAAAAACTTGTACAAATGCTCATAAAACCACAATTTAGAAATGATTAAGGGAAAGATACCAAAAGACTAGAGATGAGAAAAACTAGATTTTTTGTAGAAAGAAAGCAGATTTCAGATTGTACAGCCTGCTGGATTTGATACTGATCATTATAGAAATCCTAAGATGAATTACTATTCAAATGGTTTATGGCCTCTTGGATGAGAAGCAGTAGTCACTAGAAACTAGCATGGGTTCACTGAGAACAAGGCATATTAAATGGAATCCCATTTCCATATTCCACCAGATTGCTAGTTATGTAAATCAGCTAAATACCGCCAATATGGCAAGGCCCCTGACAAAGTTTGCCTTGGTATTCTTATGGATTGAATGGAAATTGAGAGCTACATCATGGTTAATTGACCAGCCATGCGCAGGCAGCTGATTACATCAACATCTGAGAACATCTTGTCATAAATCACAGGGCTTCATCTTTGGCTGTATCCTCTATTTTATCAAGGATTTAGATGAAGATGCAGAAAGCATGATTATTGAGTTCATGGATGGGATAGCAGAGTTAGGACTCAAAATATATCTACAGACTATGGGACTGGCTAAAACTAACAAGGTGAAATTCAACAGGGGTAGAACTAAAGTTCTGCATTCAGGCTTAAAACAAAAGCTGAGCAGGTACAGACTGGGGATACCTGGTTTAAGAATAATTCATGTGAAAAACACTTAAGGTTTACTGTCTGACAAAAATATCAATGGCAGATTACAAGGTATAAGACTGATAAAACATTTTCTGCAATCTCAGACCACTGCTAGATGTAGTCTGCCCAGGACAAAAGAGGCAATCATCTCATTTCCCTGGACCAGTGTTCCTGACAACCCAGAACTTCTCCAGGGAGGACAAATACAATGATGAGTCATCTCAGAAGGTTGCCATAAGAGTAACTAGGCAATGACTGGTGGAGCTAAAGATATTTCTAGATATATAACCTAAAAAATTCTTGCACTTGTGTATAAGAAGTCACATATAAATATGCTCCTAGCAGCATTCATTGTTATGGCTACAAACAGAAATAACCTGAAGGTCCATCAACAGGAGAATGGATAAAGAAAATGTGGTATATTTATGAAACTCACAAACATAATCAGAATGGAAAAAGGAAGTTGAGTAAGAATACCTACAATATGATAGCATTTATTTACATCTAAAAACATGTACAATACTGATATGTATTCTTCAGTGATACATATGTACGAAGGAAAGTAATAAAGAAATTCGTGGGAGTGAGAACTACCAAATCCAGAGTAGTGGTTATGTCTCAGTGGAAAGGGAGGGCTAGGTAGTATGTGGTGGAAAAACACAATTTTCATTCTATTTAAAATGTTTTCTTTCTTAAGCTGGTGGTTGGATATATAGGTCCATATTATTTCACTCTGTTTATCATTTTCTATGTTTGAAATACAAATAATGCATTTTGAGGGAGGAATTTTAAAAACATATTATAATGAAATTCACATGGCATAAAATTAACAATTTTAAAGTGAACAATTCAGTACTATTTAGTACATTCACAGTGTGTGGAACCACCAACTCTATCTAATTTCAAAGCATTTCTATCACTACCAATGAAACCACATATCCATTAGCTAGTTTCTCTTCATTCCCCATAGAAGAATTTTTGTTCATTTGTTTGTTTGTATAGTGAAATTTTTTTAAAAAATAGATTTTTAGTTTTCAGAGTGGTTTTAGGTTCACAGCAGAAGTGAATGAAAGGTACAGACACTTCCCATGTGTCCCTACCCCAACACACGCACAACCTTCCTAGCTATCAACATCTCCCACCAGAGTGGCACATATGTTATAATTGATGAACCTAAATTGACACATCATTATTATACAGTTTGCACTAGGATTCGCTCTTGGTATACATATTTTGGGTTTGGACAAATGTATAATGACATGTATCCACCATTACAGTATCACACAAAGTAGTTTCACTGCCCTAAAATTTCTCGCTGCTCTGCTTACTCATCCCTCTCCATACTGAGTTTTTAAGTAGGGTGCTTTAAAAAAATTATAATAAAGAAGGAAAGAGGAAACATAATAACTATTTTTACACATCTTAAAATTTTTCCTATGGAAGAGAAATACAATTTTTATCCTGTAAAACTCCCATGGGATCAATAACGGTGTATCAGAAGAAGGAAAAGTTTGGTTTAACATAAGGAGGAACATTCTAACAAGATTGGAGCAGTATGTCATAGTAGTTCAGAATATGACTTTGAGTTAGAGTTGGGTTAAAGTCTGTTTAATGCACTCATTTTGGAAAAGTTGCTTAACTTCTCTGAGCTTTAGTTTCCTCATATTTATAGTGTAGATAATAATAGTACTGACTTAATGGAATTACTGTGAGAAATAATTTCAATGAAGCATATACATTATGGAGTAGTGAATAGCACAGAATAAGTGTGGCATAGATATAAGATAATTATTTTAAAAAAGAAAGAGTTGTCCATAGATAGAATGGCTATCTTTTTTTTTTATTATTATACTTTAAGTTTTAGGGTACATGTGCATATTGTGCAGGTTAGTTACATATGTATACATGTGCCATGCTGGTGCGCTGCACCCACTAACTCGTCATCTAGCATTAGGTATATCTCCCAATGCTATCCCTCCCCCCTCCCCCCACCCCACAACAGTCCCCAGAGGGTGATATTCCCCTTCCTGTGTCCATGTGATCTCATTGTTCAATTCCCACCTATGAGTGAGAATATGCGGTGTTTGGTTTTTTGTTCTTGCGATAGTTTACTGAGAATGATGATTTCCAATTTCATCCATGTCCCTACAAAGGACACGAACTCATCATTTTTTATGGCTGCATAGTATTCCATGGTGTATATGTGCCACATTTTCTTAATCCAGTCTATCGTTGTTGGACATTTGGGTTGGTTCCAAGTCTTTGCTATTGTGAATAATGCCGCAATAAACATACGTGTGCATGTGTCTTTATAGCAGCATGATTTATAGTCATTTGGATATATACCCAGTAATGGGATGGCTGGGTCAAATGGTATTTCTAGTTCTAGATCCCTGAGGAATTGCCACACTGACTTCCACAATGGTTGAACTAGTTTACAGTCCCACCAACAGTGTAAAAGTGTTCCTATTTCTCCACATCCTCTCCAGCACCTGTTGTTTCCTGACTTTTTAATGATTGCCATTCTAACTGGTGTGAGATGGCTATCTTGTATGACACTAAGCTTCTCAAAGCTATCAAAGTTCAAGTTGAGATTGGATGTGAACTGTCCAAGGTGCTGGGGAGAGGGAATTCTGCAAAAGGGATGTTAGGGTAAATGTTTTCTGTTATCCTCCTCACACACTGTTGAATCTAAACAGTCTTTGAAACTGAATAGCCATATTGTTGAGTGCTTCAAGTATGATGTATATTGGTTATTTATTGCTGTGAGTAATATTATCACAAACTTAGTGGCTTAAAACAACACACATTATCATACCACTTCCGTGGGTCAGGAGTCTGTGCATGGCTTTGTTGGGTCCTCTGGCTCAGGGTCTCATCTGAAAGCTGCAACCTAGATGTTGACCAGGACTGTGGTCTCTTCTCAATTGGAGAAAGGTCTGCTTCCAGTGTCATGTGGTTGTTAGCGAATTCATTTCCTTCTGGCTTGTTGGGCTGAAGGCCTCAGATTCTTGCTGACTGTCTGTGAGAGGCTGCCTTCAATTCCTGATTATTGGGCAGTGGGGAGACATCCTCAGCTCCCTGTCTTATACTGGAAACATAGACCTTTCCAATGTGCCTTCTTGCTTCATCAAAACCATCAAGGGAGGGAGTCTGCCAACAAGATGTCACAATTGTACACAACATAATCATGGAAGTGACATCTCAACACTTTTGCTATATGGTGTTGGTTAGAAGAGCATCAATGGTCCCACACACACTCATGGCGAGGAGACTACATAAGGGGATGAGTACCAGGAGGCAAAGATCATGGGGACCATTTCTGAGTTTGTCTATCCAAGGAAGGGGACTGTGCTGAGGACACCGGAGTATTAGTGCCTCCCTGGGTACCATGAGAGGGGGCAACAGAGGAGTCAGACACACATGCACAAATACAGAAAAGCACAGCTGAGACTGAGAAGGAGCAAGAGGAGGAGAGTCAGGGAGGCTGAGAGGCTAAACAACCAAGAAAGCAGAGTTCAGAGAAGGTGAGTGTAACAGGGACGCCCAGGCTTACTGAGCAGCCATTGTGGATAATGGGGTCCTGCTTGAAGACAGGACAGGCTACACCAGGAGTCTTGCCAGAAAAGGTCTTGTTTTCACAGAGTTTAGAGAGACAGTTTTTCTCATAATGTATTTTGGTACAAGTTGGATTTAGAAAAAGATGAAAGATGCATGCTAAAATCAGGCTTGGTTCTGTACCAGGCAGTATACCAGTCCTTTACGCACTTGAATATGCTTTGTCCTTCATGGACATTACTTGTGTTGTGCTATATGTGGCTAAAACTGCCTACTAACTGATGTGGGTGTGTTGAGCTTGGTGTTTAGATTGTTAGCCTTCTGATGAGGAGGTGGAAAAGAATCAAAAGGCAAGGAGCTGAGGCCAAAACCAAAGGATGGCCTTCCCCAGTGGCCAAGGAGCCCATCTTCAGAATGGCTCTGTATTTCATTACATGCCAAAAAGGCCGTCGGTCTTCTTATTTGGAGATGTATTTGCAGAGGGGCCCAGGAACTCAAGTTGCAGCCCTGGCTGCCCTCAATTCAATAATTTCTACATGATTATTCTATATAAGTATCCAGGGGTGGAGCAGGCTGTCTGAGCCTATACGCCTTGCTTTGAATAAGATCTAGAGAAGCTTCAAATCATTGAACAACAGATTCATGTAAAGCTGGCACTAAGATGGTTGGTGATAATCTTATAGCCACACAACTCATGGTTGGAAGGAGCCTTCTAGCCAAATCCTCCTATCAAGGCTGAACTCAGGGATAAGCTGAACTTGGGTCAGCTACTTTAGATTCTTCATGGTTTTACGCTTCTTGTTTTTCATTAATAGTAAAGTAAGGAGATTTTTAAATCTCTGGAAAACGAAGATTCTATTATGAATTCAGAAAATGGGTACAAGAGCTTGGGTTTGAGACCAAATACCCTTGACAATATTTTCCCCAGATGACTAGCTCATGGTGTGTTTCAGTTATCATTCCATCAGTAGAGCTGAATTTTGCATCTTGTAAGTGTCTTCATCTCAACTCAAAACCTGAGGAGATTTTTTTTTTTTTTTTTTTCTCTCAGTTGTCGGTGAGTCAGCACTAATGTGCTTATGAATCAGGCAGTGTGGGCGAGCCACACATTCATCAACACTCTGGAATAGAGGGGCAGCCCAGGAGCTGATGTCTTTATAGAATACCAGGGGAGTTCTTCCAGGTGTGGGCCTAGCCTGAGAGGTTTTATTAGGAACTAGAAAATGTGCTTCTAAAGGAGTAACTGGAGTTGTCTATCAGCTCCCCTTCTGACACTTGCAAGAATTTGACTACCTCAAATATCTGAGATTTTTCCCCTCTGTATGTATCTATAGGGGGTGGGGAAGAGCAAAGGGGAGAAAAGCAGGGACCCATGGAATATCTCCTCTGGGCCAGGCACTGTGTAATGTTCTCTTCTAATGTTGTCTCATTTGACATCTACCATTCCCTCTTTTTTGGCTTTCTTGAGCTTGCAGCACCTAGGACTATGCTTAATCCATACTGGAAAATCTATACAAGTTGCTTAACTAAAAAGAGTTAAATCATCACATGGAGGATAAAGGAGCACTGGCCAGAGAGTAAAGAGACCTGTGTTCTAGCCTAGCCCTTCCCGACTGCTGGATGACCTTGGCATAACCATTCACTGTGCACCACAGATTTTCCATTCATAAAATGAGAGGGTGAATAAGATGATCTCAAAGGCTCAATGAGCTCTAACTCCCAATGGTTTTATGATTGAATAAACATAGGAGTGGGAGAATCCTGGATTTCACAATGGAAGAAACAACTAAAACAAAGAGAAGCATTCTACTTAGCAGCTCACTCTCCTCAGATATGGACAAGCTCAGGGGTGGGGGCTGGAGAAATCATGGAGCTGGGAGCCTGTCCTTAGCAGGGCCAGCATCCCCATGAGCCATGCCCAGAGCCTTAGCCACCAAATACTGCACTGCCACAGCCAGCTCTTGGCAAACACAATTTTGCTTGAGAAGGCAACAAGTAACTAGCTACAGGAGAAATAATTACCAAATTGCCAGAAATAATTATGATTTCCAAACAAATAGAACCCTATGCTATCTGTCAATTCCCTGAGAAAATATACACTCACAAAATTACAAGCAAGAGCTCATTACCTGTACTCTGATGAGCACCAGCCTCAAAATATGCCTTGATTTTAAAAAGTCAGAAATGAAGAAAGGATATCTTTTTTTTTTTTTTTTTTTTGCCATGTAGGACATCTTTTTGTTAATCCCTTAGGAAGATGTATAAGCATGTATTTGTGCACTCATGCACAAACCCAAGTTTAGAGATAGGAGTGCCATCTGTAAAGTAGAAATGATAGCACCTTTGACTCTTGGCTCAGCCTACAGCATTAGATTTTGTCTGGCAATGCAGAGCTCTGACTCCACTCCATACTTAGCAAGAACAAAAGCTAACACAGAGTGAATATATGCAGCGGGCCTTTGAAAAGTATTGAAAATGCCAAGTCACTGGGTGTTTGACCAGCAAGGAAATATGCCCATTTCCAGCCATCCCATGAGAGAAGAAAGGTGGCCTGTTTGTGGCCATTTTTCATCAGCATTCAGCTCACTGCAGTTGTTCATTTTGTGGGATGCCTAGAGTTTAAGATAATGCATTTGTTCTGCCCACAGAATGACAGTATTTCCATTGGTGCATTTTGAATCCTGTTTTTCCAGAATTGGGTAATTATTGTTTGTGTGTGTGTGTGTGTGTGTGTGTGTGTGTTTGTTCTTGTATATGCATATGTATGATATGTATGTATATCTACACGAATGTGTGTGTGTGTGTTTTAAGATGGGCTGAAATTATTTATCATACACTCAAGTCCCCTAACAAATTCATTCTTAGAGCCACTTTATATTATTATTGTATTTTTCTTTCTTTCTGAATTAAAAATGCTGCAGAACTGAGGAGCTACTCTCATCTTAATTACCACAGAAATATTGCTAATTAGAAACAAGGGAAGAAGTGTTAGGGATTTCTCAGAATCAAAGACAGCATTATTTTCCAATGGATATTAAAAGACTTGCAAAAGAGGCTAAGATGATGTGGTGGATAGAGTTGTGAAGTGGTTTTAGGGCCCCAGTGGTAAACGGCTGGAAGAGGAAATTAAATATCTAGGAGGAAAATGTTCTCAGATGTTGGAATTATGCCTGCAGCCATAACACTGGATGCTGTGATCCTGTCTACCTCAATCACAAAATGGATCAAGAAATCTCCAAGGAGTCTGAGGGTGGAAAAAGTGTTGGTGGCTCACACATGAGCCTTTCTAATCCCCTTAGCCCTCAGCAGCCATTGAGGGTGGACACAAACCCTAATGTTTTGAATACAGTGTGTTTCATCCCCACCACTTTTCCCATCTCATTTTTTCCACCATTTCTTTAGCCTCAAACTTAGTGTGTGCTTGAGGAATAAATCAAAAGATTAAAATATGATGTGAAATCTATCTTCAGTGATGTATTTCATGTGCCAGAGCCCCTGTGTTTGTGGAAGACTGAACTGGATGAACAGAGGTCCAAGCAGATCATATGTGATGGCCTGGGTGCCTCATGGTTCTCATCAAGAGGGCTCTCAGGTCTAGTTCAAATTCCCAGGCTGTAGACTGGCCAGGGTGGCCACTTCTAACCATGAAGTCAACACTATACTCACGGTTTATCTGATTAGGCTCAGTGTTCAAATGTTTCAATTCCTGAAGCCAAGAATTAAATCTGGAGGCACGAGAAAAGAAGCAGGAATAGGATCCAAAAAGTCAGAACGGGAGTAATTCAGGAACAGGAAGGAAAAAGTTAGGAATTGATGTGGTGGACAGACAGGGGAGATAAAGAATAGAAAGACTCAATATCACAAAATTAGAAGACTTCAAATAGACAATGTACCAGAGATAATGACTTCTTCCAAAATCGTGCCGTATTTCCCCTTGCCTTACATAGATGGCTTCAGTCAGCCCATGAAGTAGCAGATAGTTTGGAGTCCAGGCTGTGTGACAATGAATAAGCCAATCAGCCTCTAAGAGTTCCAGTTTCTTCTCTGTACAAATTCCTCACCCTGAGTACTGCACATGGTTGTTAGGAAGATCAAACGAGATAACATATGTGCAAGGACTTTGTAAACTGGACAGCACCATATGGGTAGAAGACATGATTACAGTTTTGTCTCAGCTCTCTGCAGTTGGGTCCTGCCATTCAGAGCATTGTGGGGGTTAGCAGAAGGAACTGGAGGTATATGCTCACCTGCAAGGACATCACTGTCAAGTCAGGTTAAAGTTATCAGAAACAATGCTTTTCCACCTCCCACCCCTACCATGGGATGAGAGGAGAGTGTTCTTATTATCAAGGTACTGTGTAAATTAGATAGTTTTCTATGGCCTCCTACCTACCGACATGGAATTGGAAAAGTCAAACAATACTATAAGATTTTTCACACATAAAAAATGATTTCCTGGCTCATTCCTCCTCAACCCTGAGGGCTGTTCCTCAGGGGCAACAACTTTTAGCCATTTATTTTAGTATTTACCTGAATAAGTTTAGATAAGATATTTATAAGGCTATTTCTTGAGTATGTTTTTGCTTTTCAAATGTAGAAATCATATGTTGATTTACAACTGTGGAAGGTAAGGATTTAGACCCTTACAACCCTCCCTCCACTCCATTCACCACACACACTCACACAGGTGCACACACGTTGCCCCTCCCCATTCTTCCAATATATGTAGTTAATTACAATCATTGTTTAAGTTGATATTTTGTATTTTCATTATTTTACCTTTGTTAGTATTATTCACAACAAAGCAGTGTCGAGACCAATGATCACATTTCTCCACTTCTATAACTTATTGGTTGTCCTGGAGTTTAATTTTTAATCTTCTCATTTTTCTTTGTTCTTAATTACAATTGTTAGCAAACCCTTTGACAAACCATATTGAAAACAAATAGGTACTCCAAGCCATGTGTCATTTGTGCAATTTCCTGGGAGATGTTCCCGACCTGTTGACTGGTTGCTTTCTAAGTCTGCAACACTCAGCCTTCTGAAACTCCCTTCACTGGCACCCCAGTAACCCTTTTCCTTTGTCCTCTTTGAGATTCTCTGATTTCCAGACCCAGTGCTTTCCCCCTTTTTGGATTATTCCTTTGTTTTGTGGCCTGCATCCTCCACTAGCTTCCTTAGAAATGGTGCATCAGAGGTAACTTTTTTGAGACTGAGGGCTTAATATCTGAAAATGCAATTATCCCTCCCTCACACTTGATAAGTAATTTGATTGAGTATATATCATTATGCTGAAAATTGTTTTCACTCAGAATTTTGCAGAAACTCCTCCATTGTCTTTTAGAACCCAGTGTTGCCTTGGAAGTCAGATGCCATTCAGATTTCTAATATTTTGTCACCTGCCTTTTTTCTCTGGAAGTTTCTAATGAGATCCTCCATAGAAGAGAACTTTCTTATATATTTCTTTAATAATTTTCACTCAACCATTTTCTTTGCATTTCTCTTTCTCTGACTCCTGTTGGTTGGAAGTTGGACCTCCAGGGATGGATCACCTAATTTTCTTATCTTTTCTTTCCTATTTTCTATCTTTGTGTGCTATTTTCTGGGAGATTGCCTCACTTTTATCTCCTACACATGGTGTCAATTTAAACATTTTTCCCTGTTATCTTAATCTTTAATATCCAAGAGCTTTTTCTTGTTTTCTGAATGTGTCCCTTTGTAAGTAGGATCCTATTTTGTTGTTTCATGGATGAAATATTGTTTTTGCTTAGGTTTTTTTTTTCCTGTTCCCTGCATTTTCTGACTCTCATTTTCTTCTTTGTTTTGATTTTTTTCTATACTAGAGATTTCAAATGTCTGCTAATTTTTTTTCTAGTCATGTCTTAAGTATAAAAGAGGTACAAAAAGCTGATTATATGCTGTGTGCATATCCGTGTGTATACATGTGCACACATGGAGTGGAAGTAGGGTAGGGAGAAGCATTATCAGCTTCATTTCTACAGAGACATTGTTCCAGTCTCCTTCCCAAGGGGGTGAGGGAAAGGGGAAAAGGATGGGGGGTGAGGGGGGAAGAGTTCCATGGCTCAGTATAGGGGCCTCACTTAATACTCCTGTTTTAGTACTTCACCTCACACCTACTATTCTTTGTGACAGATGTCCTCAAGTCCAGAGTCTATCTGATTCAGCATCTCAGAGGGTAACCATTTGCCTCCTGTGGAGGTGAGGGTTGGAAAGTTGTTTGGCTGGGTAGGGGCAGAGAGGGGACTCTAGGGAGTCCAGCAGCTCCTCATGCAGCCTCCTGCCTAGTCTTCCGGTTTGCAGTGTCATGTGCACCCCATTCTTCAGAGGCACTTGTCTCTCTACTTCCTGAGTCCCAAATCAGATAGTTACTTTTTGGCTTCCCCTTCTGCAGGTGCTTTTTCTGTTCTTCTAAATTAGTGACCTATGTCTACCTGTTTCTCATCTTGCAAAATTTGTTGGCCACCTCTCCTCTGTTGTAATAGCCTCCCTTTATGGGCTTAAATCTTTATTACTTTTAGAGAGTGTGTTAGCTCTCTATTGCTGCACAACAAATTATCACAAAAATAGCAGGTTAAAACAACACAAATTAACTATCTCACAGTTTTCCTGGGTCAGGAGTCCAGGGTGTTTTAGCTGGGTACTTAGCTCAGGTTCTCAGACTGGGATCATGGTGTTGACCAGCTGCACCCTCATGTGAAAGCTTGACTTAGGGAAAGACTGTTCCAAGCTACTCCAGGTTGATGGCAGAATTCATTTCCTTGTAGTTGTAGGGCTGAAGTCCCCATTGTTTTGCTGGCTGTTGATGAATCTCAGATCCTTGCTATGGGCCACCTCCACTCAGCAACAGAGAACCTCTCTTGCATTGTATTTCTTTCATGCTTCCCTCTCTGCAACAAGCTGAAAAAAAGTAAGGCTTTTAAAGTTCTCATGCGATTAGGACAGGCCCACCTCTATAATCTTTCTGTCTTAACACCAAACTGTGTCATGTAACATAACCTCATCACAGGAGTAAAATCTGATATTCATAGCTCCAAGGATTACACAGAGCATGTGTACCAGGAAGGGAGAAATCTTGCAGGCTATCTTAAGATTCTGCCACCACAGTGTTGAGATTTTTAGGAGGGAGCAGAAATAACTATGTATGTCTAATCCACCGTGTTTGATTAGAAGGTTCTCATACCCTCATCAATGCATTGCTATTGTTATTGCCTTGCCGTTTTTAATATCAGTGTTTGAGACATTACAACAAACTTGACTCTGAACATTTCATGTGTGAGTGGTGCTCCCTTTAGTTATGGCCCAGGAAAAACAAGATTTCCTTCTCTCTCACCCAAATGAGTAAACCTCATGTACCTAAGGACCCAAAGCAGACCCTCAGTGGGCTCCCCTGTTCCCTTCCTATCAGGGGCCTGGGGGCCAGACTGGAGCAATGGAACTCTGTTTTGTTATTAATGGCACACATAATCAGGTGGCTCTGCTGCTCCTGGCACGTGTATGGATTTTGTGTGCTGGTCCTAGCAGCTGCATGAAGATATTACCAATGAGAGACAGCTCCTTGGCACAGGGACATGGTGATTTTTCCTGTCTTGGCAGATCCCAGTGCTAGTTGTTGTATTCAGTGATGAATCACTAATTTCCAGAAACCTTGACTGGAACCTGAAGGCAGGAAATAAATGTGATTGGGAGTGTTGCTCTGAGCATTCCAGCAGATAAATGGCCAGTCATGACTAAAAGGTGGTTTTACATTTTCTAAGTGTAATCAAGTGAGATGTAACCAATATTCTGTAGTTCATTAGCCTCATGTCTTCTAACCTTCACTGTCGGGTGCTCCCCAGTAGAGAGGCTCCCTGCCCATCCCGCCTTTTTTTTTTTTAATTTTGCTTACAGTAAAACCAGGAGGAGAGCCAGTAGCAGGTAACCAGCAGAAAGAGGGGCCCTGAGGGGAGAGAAAGGTCATGCACAATTTGGTCTTAGATTACAGGGAGAGAAGAGAGAAAGAGCGGATATAGGAAGAGGGACGAGACTGACACAGGGGAGAGTGGTCTGTTTTGGAATCTTTCTGATGCTGGCACATTTCTCATTATAGCCAACTTGGCATCAGTAAACCAATGAAATGTGTGCAATATTTTGAGGAAATTCATCGAGGAGACTCCTCGTGCAGCTACTAGATAGAGTAGCAGCAGGGCATGTCTTACTCTATATACCATTCTGCCTTCATTCTTAGCAAGGGTCTCTGTGCTTCCTCTTCAGAAAATCCACTTTATTCACTGTCCTGGGAAAAGGAGAGTGGAGAGACAGGGTTCTAAAACTGTAGACATGGGGTTCTAAAACTGTATTCTAGGGAGGATCTGAGATTCCTCTCCGCAGAAGTGCCCAGAGCCTCTGCGTAAGAGCCGCCTCAGTTGTGCCAGATGCATGGTCCACCTGGTCCACCATGGACTCAACGAGGACCTAGCTGTTGTCTCGCCTGGATGTGATTTGAACAGCTCCCCACCAGGTCTCTTTGCCTTTGGTCTTTGCCCACATGAATCCACCTTTCACGCAGCTACCTTCAGCTTTCTACAACCCAAATTTAATCATGTTAGATCCATACTTAAAAATTTTTTATGGACTTTAATTGTTGACAGAGCCAAGTCCGAGGCCAAATTTCTGAGCATTGCATTCAACGCTCTCTACAGAGTGGCTTTAACAGTGTCAATTCCAGCTGCTGTGCCCCATACACCTATGCTATAGCCCCACTGACTTGCACTTCTCATGGAATCACTCTGCACTGTCACACTTTGGTGCCTTTGCACATGCTTCTCCTTCTGTCTAGAGCACCCTTTTCTTTCTTTTCTCTTTCTTTTTTCTTTCTTTCTCTCTCTCTTTCTTTCTTTCTTTCTTCTTCCTTTCTTTCTTTCTCTTTCTTTCTTTCTTTGTTTCTTTGTTTCTTTCTTTCTTTCTTTCTTTCTTTCTTTCTTTCTTTCTTTCTTTCCTTCTATCTTTCTTTCTCCTTTGTCTAAATGAGAGAAAGCATGCCACCCATCCTTCAAGTATCAGCTCAGTCTCACTTCCTCTGCAGATCTTTCCTTACCACTGATTCCTACTTCATCTTTTCCTCCTCAAGGCACACAGGGGTCTGCAGACTGGGCTAGCAATTAATTAAGGAGAAGTAAAGATTATAGAAGCTCAAAGTTGTGGGGAAGGGGTTGAAGTTATAGACTCTTCCAAGGAGGGTGGCGACAGTCCCACATAAAAGGGATTTCAGGGCCATGTGGCTTCAACATGACCCAGGTGGGGATCAGTCAGATGTGGAGGACACTGGGGCAGAGATGCTGATATCTGAGCTGCTGGAATGAGCTGTCTCGGGTGCTCCTGGGTCAGGAATCTGCTACGCAGGCTTGCAAGAGGCAAAGGGGCCTACTTGAAGACAGAGGACCTCTGCCATACATAAGAAAGCTAATGTGTATGCTGTGCCTGTCTGGATAGTGGTACCTCCTAAATGGAGTGTCAGGATGAGCTAGAAAGACAAAGTACTGTACAAAGTACTATACAAAGTGCAAAGGAAAGAAGGAAGGGGGAAAGTGACTGGCACTTTGCAGAGCAGTGCCCATTGTTACTGGCCTCCAGTTCCTTATCTGGGAAAAAATTGACTCTGGTCAACTTGAGGTGAGCCTGTGCCCACTTGCCCACCTCCATGACCCTTGTTTTACTCAGCTCACTGCCAATCTTGGGAAATTCACCTGCTTCCCTTGCCCGCATATCTTTATTTACAATGGAAAGAAGTCTTCAGACTTCTGAAGAGGCCAGAGGAATCCTCTCCAGTTCAGAGCATCCTCTGAACACTGAGCTGACATGGGGTGATCTGACAACTCACACCATGTCCCACAGACTCGATAGTGATGAAAGGCCACTCACACTTTGAAATGCCTCCTGAAAGGCACGCCACTCTTGGGTACTTGGTTATGTGATATCGTTTTAGATTTCTCCAGCTTTGAGCGCTGAAAAGCAACTCTGCCCTCGTGGCCTCCCTGCCTTTAGTCCAGGTTGGAGGGAAGTTCCACATCCCATTAGCCGTGTCCTGATCCTCACAAAGAAACAGTGGACAGAAGACATCTTTAAGATGTGAGATGGCCGGCAATTCTGCTTCTTGCTTGATGGCCGCTACACCAGCAGATTCTGTCACTCTGTAGCCTATTTTTCCTTAGCTGTTCATATACACCCCACTTAACCTCACCCCCATGTTAAAGCAGCCTCTTTATGTCCAAGTTGCCCATTACCCTGGGTAACTCATTTCAGAAACAGCCGGGTCTTCTTCCATGTGCCCTTGCTCTGATGCAGTGCTGGGCACATCATGAGCACAAGTGCACCACAAAAATGAGCTTGGCTTCCTCCTCTGTTCCTGTCCTTTGATTCTTCTGCCGTCCCTTGTAATCTAATTTTTCGCCTCTTCATTTATTTCTTCTCACATTCCAACTCCAGTCTGGCTGAAAGGGGCTGAGGGGAGGCTGTGAACAAACCAACTTGGTACCCCAAATGGAAGCCTCAGTGTTCTTCACATTCCAATTCCACTCTCCAGGAAGCCAGAACTTTCTCCTTTGGAGGCACACTCTTTATACTTCCCTGCCACATCCCTCATCTGTAATGCATATAGCCCATCTCTGGCATATCCTCTTCCCAGGCCATGCTTATAGCTCAAAATCTTTCTGTACCTCTGTGAGAGGCAACCTGGCATGGTAGTGAAGGACCCGCTCTCTGAAGCTGGATGGCCTCCGTTTGCTACTTATTAGCTGTGTGAATCGGAATAAGTTAATCAAAATCCCTATGCCTTCTTTTATTCATCTGTTTGATGGGAATCATAGCTACAGTACCTACTTCATAGAGTTGCTTTGAAGATCAAATAAATTAATACATGCAAGGCAATCAAAGCAGTGCCAGACACTTAGTGAGCACTATGTGTTTGCTATCATTATTTTTAATATTAAGAGGGAATCAGAGGTCCAAATGTTTTCAGGCATATAGCCTCAGTGCACTTTCAGTCTCTCCATTTCCACCAAATCTCCCTCCTCAGTCTGTGGTTTCAAATCTCTTCTAAACTGAATAGTTTTATTCATGCTCTATTTCCATCTTAAGCTGTTTCTCTCTATATATTTCTTTCTTTTCACAGTCAACATCATTAAATAAGTAATCTACACTGATAATCTCCACCCACTCACCTCCCATTCATGCCTCAATCCATAGCAATCTGGCTTCAGCTTTTGCCACACCACTAAAACTGTTCCCACTAAGATCACCATTAACCTACCTATTGAGACACCTAATTACCTCTCTGTCACTTTTGACCCTATTGAACACTCACTTGTTCTCAAAATGTTTTCTTTTCTGAGGCATTATTCTTTTTTTGGTTGTAGCAGTCAGCTTTTGTTAGGTTACATTCAAGTAATAATCCCCAAATCTCAGTGGCTTACGACAATAAATGTTTTCCTTTATGCTCAAATTTTACATCAGCTGAGGGTTAGATATAGCTCTGCTCCACATACCGTCTGCATTTAGGGATCCAGGATGAAGGAATAGGTGATCTTATGGCAGAAAAAAAGGGCTAACACTGACCCATACAGAGAGATTCCTAAAACTTCTGCTTGGGTATAGTGTCTATCACCTTTGCTCACATTCTATTGGCCAAAGCCAGCCACATGGCCCAAGCCTGATATCAAAAGACTTGCAGCAAGCAGGGACATAAAGTCATCTCCCAAGAAAAACAGCCAATGATAGGGAAAAAATAATACCACACTGGTTCTCCTTCTACCTTTCCAATAGCTCCTTGATCGCTTCCTTCACCAGGTTGTCATGTTCAACCCACTTCCTAAATATCAGTGTCCTCAAGAGCTTCTTGCTTTGCATCCATTCTTTGAGTACTCATATCCAATGCCCTTAACACCAATTAGCACCAATATACCTATGTTCTTATGACTTCCAAAATCTCTAGCACAGACCCTCGCTGAACATATTTAGCAGTGCCCTTGAATTTAATATGTCCAAAATTCAACTCATTTTCTTATCTTCCTATTCCCTTATTCTCCTTCCTGGTTAATAATGTTTTTAACCCAAATGTTTAAATCAGAAACCTGAGAAGGCTTAATTGTTCCTCCCTGCCCCTATCCCGTCCAGTGAGTCAACTATAATTCATTCTACCTTTGAAAGAAGTCTCTACTCTCTTCCCTACTCTTTACTTACTCTGCTATTGCCTGAGTTTGGGCTCTCACTATCCTTTGCTTGAATTTTAGCCATCAGTTATTCTCTAACTGGCCTGCATGCTTCAGTCACTCTTCCCTAGAGACCATTTCTGCATTGCAGCAAGCAATATCTCCCATCTCCCCCAAAATCTGATCTTGCCTCTTCGTTGCTTAAGACCTTCAAAGGCTCTCCCACATACCTGAAGTAAAATTCAGGCTCCCTGGTGTGGCATTCAAGGTTTTTCATAACCAAACCTTGCTTGTCTTTGCACACCCATTCCTGCTGCTGTCTGTCTTGCACCCTCTGCCCTGGCTGTTTGGGACTTCTTATTGGTAGCTAAATGCCCCATGAGGTTTCTCATTTCTGTGTATTTACTCACACTATTCTCTCTGCCCAAATGCTCTTTTTTTTTCTCTGTGACTTCCTGTTGATCCTTCAAGACCTAGTCTGGGCACCTTTCAGTAAAAGGTGAAAGATTAATATGATCTGAAGAGAAACCAGAGTATAGTCTGGGCATCTTTCATAAAACTTACCCCAAACTTGCCCATTCCCCTTGCCCCTACTTCACAATAGGTAACATTAACCTTTTTAATAACATTAATCACATGATGTTATTGCTCACATGTCTTTCTCTTCTTATATAAATTACGAGTTTCCCAGAACAGGAACTGAGTCATTATCATCTTTGAAATTGCCCAGGAGCTAACACAGTACATACACATTAGATACTCAATGTATGCATATTAAAGGAAGGGATAAATAAATGAATGATGTACTCCAGTTTGTGTTCCATTAGCTCAGTGGTCAGGTTTTTCTACTTGTCAGTTTTACTCTCTGGCTGCTCTCTGGCTCTGGCTGCTCTCTGGCTCTAGGTCCCCTTCCTATGCTGGAGGACTAACTTCTTGTCTTCATATTAAAAGTACTCTCTCTGAAGCCCTGACAGCCTGAATCTGACAGTGCTAGCTTCACAGGATTCCTTAGCAAATCTCCCTTTTCTAGAACCTGTCTCTCCCATTAAATGGCTCCTCTGCAGCTGCATTCTCTGCTCTCTAGCTTTCCTGAATGACCCCCCACAGGCCAGCTCAGTCACTCTTTTCTGCTCCCCCCTGGGAGTTCTCTAAACTGGACTACCCTATTACCCTTTCTGCCCCATTTTGTTTTTTCTCACTGTTTCGTTTCCTCTAGTAGCTGTCTGAACCAGCTACTAACTTTGCAGGGCCCGGTGCAAAATGACAATTTGGGGCCGTGTGTTCAAACGTTATTTATAATTTCAAAATGGCAACAGCAAAGCAGTAAACCAAGCACAAGGCCCTTCTGAGCACTGTGACTGCATGGTTGTGTCTCATGCCCATGAATCTGGCCCTGAGCTCTGTCTGACAGTTCCAAACAGTAGCTACATTCAGAAGGTCAAACTAGAAATATATCAATGCTTCAGGAAAATGAGTTAGCAAGGGTGAAGAGAGGGGACCCTACATGTGGGCAAAAGCGTTGGAAAGAATTTAGTGGAATAAGTTTTAGTTGAAAAAAGAGAGTTTAAAAAATTATATGTGTGTGTATATGTATGATTAATATATATGATTATTTGATAAGTAAAGACTTTGGACCAATGCCATGTAGAAGTGGTTTTAGTGAGAATAAGTTGTCTCATCAAAAGCATTTTTAATTATGAAAAAATTGCTTGTCAATGTTTGCATCTAATCAGGAGATGTAGAGTGATTACGTTAATTCCATTGCTTGGAGGTGTGGGTGGGAAATGCCTTTATCCTCTATTAGGGCTCTGTCAGATGGCAAAAGAACAAGCAATAGGATAAGCAGTGTTGGAGAACTCACTCATTTGTTCATTCATTTATTTAACTAAACACTTAGACAGGACTCATTGTATGCCAGTCACTCAGATTAGAAGGTTTCCTCATAGCAGGGGCAGCTACATGATGAGACATGGGGACTGGCCACAGGAACCCGAGGTGGGCTAAATGCCTCCAAGCATGCAGCACCCCCCTTCCAAACTTCCTGTGGATTTACACTAAATAAAGCTTACACTTACAAATAAAATACCAGAGAGGAGGGGTATAGTATTTTTGAGGAGAGACAGAGCTGAGAGAGGGAGGGCCTGCATTCGGGTTGGAAGAATTCTTTTATTTCTTTTGGTCTTTCTCTTTTCCCTTCCTTCAACCTAACAATTAATGCAAATGAGGAAGGTTCGTAGTTCCCAGATTTGCCCCAAACCCAGTGGCATGCCAAGCTGAGCACCACACTGCTGTCCGTTGTCACAGTCTTACCCTAGTGCCAGGAGGTTCTTCTGATGGCTTGCATTGGTAGAGCGTCTTTGGTTTACATTATCTCATTTTGATCCCCATAACAGCTTTGTCTGGAAAGTTTAAGCTTAAACCATATGAACTTGCCATCTCGGTAGGACAAATGTGGTCAAACGTTGGCAATTTCATATGGTTCAGACTAACACTGGTGGTGATATTAACCCCATTTTTTCAGTAGCAAAAAATGGAAGCTTAGAGAGACTTTACCAGTTTCATAGAGCCAGGGGTGGGGTTGAACCCTAAGCAGAACTCCAACTCAAATACATGCTTTTCTCCACACCTGGCATCCCCCTTGGTGTAAATTGTAAATCAACCTCATGCAGCAACATATACACAGGTTGGGAGTTTCATGTTAATATGCTTTAACTGTCTTTTTTTTTCAGCCCCAGATTCAGTAATGGTTCTCTGCACAAACTCATTCATTTTTAATCAGTTGACTATAATGATTTGTTACAAATGATCTTTAATTCTCAGCTGTGGTTAATCAGTACTGAAAGGCACTTTTCCTGTTATTTTATTTGGATAGGACTCTTAGTGAAATACTTGCCTGCCATTACTTAATCACTTGTTTGTTTTCCCTCTGCACACAGTTTCTAGCAGCATACAGCAGTATTTAATGTGAACATTTTCCCTTTACAGAGCGAATTGAGTTTTCCAAGCCATAGGGGCAGGGAGCTGCCATGGGGAGCCCTAAGCCTTCCTGCTTTAGTTTAATACTTATTGACCCTCTCCTGCAGGCCAAGCTAAAGCTGGGTGCTGAGGATATGCTGATTTATACATGGCAACTGCAACACAACTTGGAAAATGTTATTGCGAGAGTTTATGGTACAAGGAGGGGAGGTGGAGGGAATGGCATCTAACCCATCCCTGGAATGTCAGGACGTCTTCTCGGAGGAGGTGAATTCTGGAGAATAAATAGTAACCAGGCTGGTGTTTCTATGCAGATGAAACAGCAGATGCAAATGTCCAGGGTGAGCAAGCCTGGGGATAGGGAATATGTATGCAGTCAAGCATGGTTAGAGTACAGAGAGGAGGCAGGGGAGGGTGGGCATTGAGAAAGGAGGTTGGGGAAATAAGTGGGGTCAGGTTGTAATGGGCCTTGGGCACACCTTAAACCTTGAGAGGTTTAAGAAGAAATAACTTACATGGATTTGCTTTAGAAAAAATCCTCTAGGAGTAGCATGGAGAATGGATTAGAAGCGGGCTGAGAGTGGAAGTAGGAAACCCAGTGAGGAGAAAGGAGGTAGAGGCGGTGAACCAGTCCGGAGATAACAAGGGCTGAGAGAAGTGGCTACCTCTGGGGAAGGGGAGAGTGGATGGATTTGAAGTGAATGCTGGGTGGGGCAGAAAGGATGGTAAAGGAAAAAAAGTGCCAAAGTCAAGTGTCTAGCTGTACTCTTTCAAAGATGAGCTGGGGTACTTGTCTGCTCCCAAAGAAACCAAACCATCTAGCTGTAGGCCAGGGCTATCTGTAGCTGAGACTGGGCTGTCACAGCAACAGAGCTGAGAGCTAGGCCCTTTCCTTAGCCATAAGAATTACATCACTGTGTAATTCTTACAGTGATCCTGACCAATGAAAGGAAATTGAAAACCTTTCCCTTCTCCTCACCATCCCCAAGTTCTGATAAATCTGGCCCTCCTGGGAGTCTGGCATCACCATTCAAAGATTTGAGTCAAACCCTGGAGCTGAAGGATTCTCTGGGAGTGTGATCAGTGGTGCTCAGCTGCAGGGAAAGGTGAATCTCTGCCTGAGATTTCTTCCACAGCTTCTGAATGCAGGGTCACATGGAGCCTCTGTTATCAGGATGACACTTGTTAGTGGGATCAGAGGAAGGACTTGTTGATGAGGGAATTGCCATGGTAATAATGTGGTTTGACTACAAAAGCAAAAACAGAAAACCAAAACAGTGCCAGTTCCCTCCCCACTCTACATCTGAGACTGATTTGTTAGTCAGTGCCTCTTTTGCCATCCTTTCTGGAAAAGCACAGAAAGTGTGAGGGAGATTCAACTTGTCTTCTTTATCTCTATTCTTGGTGGTCTTACAATTTCTCCTCTCTCCTTTTGATGTCTTCCATGGCAGTCCTTAAGTCCCTCTTCTCTCTGGGTGTCCCAGACCAATAACTTATGAGACTAGTTTATGCTATAGTGTGAGCTACTTATGATTTGGTTTAAAATGCAAATATCTCTGGGAAGGGCAAATCATAACATAAAGGTATAAACCTAATGGTAGTTGTAGGAGTTTTAGAAACAGAGATTTGGAGGGTTTTGCGAAGACCTTCCAATCACACTGCATGAGCAACAGCCTGGCCTCAGGATATGCCTTCTTGATTCTGGCACATTCCCGGAAGGAACTATGAGGTTTCTTCAGAAAGTCAATGAGGCAAATGGGAGAGGGTCTGTGTTTCCCTTCAACTTCATCCTGAGGATATGGATCCTAGGTCATGAGACCTTCCAGAGCCAGCAGGTCTCAGTGCAACTGTTTTTCTCTGCCTGAGATAATCTTTCCGATTTCTGAAACTTGACACTTCCGTCTTCATCTGATTCCTCTCCCCTGGGAAGGGGAGCCTTCCCAGATTCCACACATGGGTTTCCAGGAAGTTTGTTTACACCTCCATTAAATCTTTGATGCAAAACCATGTGGACATGTCTCCAGGTGTACATGACTGTGTCTTCTTCATGGGCTGTGAGCTTCTTTCTCAAGAGCAGTAGCCATTTTCTATTATTGTCTTTGCCTCCAGCAATTTTTAGCTCTTGCTGATAATAAGTGATCAGTAATTTACTGTTTGTTTCTTTTTTCTTTTCCTTTTCTTTTCCTGGGGAACTGTGTAAACAGTTGACTGCACTGTGAAAAGCTGAGTGTGATTTTATTTGGGAGCATGCCTCTGGTGTTTTTCAAGGCTATATTTTCATATTCATCAGGCCCTCACCGACTGGGGAGACCAGAATGAAAAAGTCATTATGTGTGTCTTCAAGGATCTCACAATATCAGTTCAAACATAAATGTAAGAGGGTGAAAGTGTTGAAAGCATGGTTTTCTCTTCCCCCATGAGGATGGCCTTGTCCTGAAAATCCACCACTTGGGAATTGGCCAGCTCTGACTAGGTTGAGATCTCAGGGTCTGAGGAGGCTGTCAAGCCTCTGCCTCAAGTTCTTGAGCATAATCCCAACATCTGGGACATTAGCAACCTTCCTGTATGCCAAGAAAGTAGCTGGATTAGCCAGAGTCTGTCTTGACTGCCTCCTCCCTCCCACCCTGGGAATATTTGGAAATGTGTATGTGGAGGGGTATCGTTGGTAGTCAAAATGCTGTCAGAAGGCATACCAACACAGCATGGATGGAGGCCAGAGGTGGAAGTCCACCTCCAGCACCCTGGACAGTCTCATCCAAAGAGGAATCAACTCACCCCACATGGTAATCATGCACTCTAAAACATAAGGCTACACAACAACCTTGGATCATACCAGGACCCCAAGAAGTCAAGGTTTTAGATAGAATTTTAATTTTTGAAGACCCAGTTGCTGCCTAAAGAAAATATATTTTCATTTTCCAAGGCCTACTTTGTATTAACCCACAATCAACACTCCTCCACGTTGGATTAATCTCTTATACTTCCATATTTGGGAACGAACTGTAAGGAAAATATCTTCAACCTTTTTTTTCTCAGGAAACTTTCTGACCTGAACACAGGTTCTGCTAAGTTGAGACTCTACTCAAACCATTGTAGCCGAAAAGACAGTGGCCTTGTAGTCACACTGTAGCTGGCCACTCTCTGCTTTGATCTTGTACCTCCCCTTCCCATTTTCCACAGGTTGTCATCTGCACAGAGCAACTGTGAACACCCTAGCCATGGTCACAGCCCAATGGACCCCTTGTGTCTTGTTCTGGCCTGGTTTCCGACATCTTGGCCTGCTCCTATATGCACTAAGCTCTTAAGCTCCAGCTTTACCTCCCATATTTTGCCCTTGCTCAGGTTTCTTAAATACTCTACTTCTCCACATTGTGACCTTGGAGAGTTTCACCCAAAAAAGAATTATCCCACTCAAAATGGCAATCATGTCTCCACTGGATTTGCACTTGACTCTTAGTGGGATCCACTTCCTGTTTGACTGGAACCGCCCCCCACCACCAGTTCTGCACCATTACCCAACCAGTTCACAGTCCCAGAAGCAGGCCCTGGCTCACACAGATGCCTGGCTTGGCCCCTGACGAGGGAGAGGGACTTAGGTGCTATCTGTGCCATCTGCTCGGAGAATCCTCTGTTCTCTGCTCTCAGGTTGACTGATGGGGATACAGAAGGGTTTTGGCTCACAGCCCAACCTAACCCAGAGTCCTTCATCAAATGCCTGGAAAGTCAAGCTTTTATCATTCTAGCAACTCATCCCCTCTTAAATGCAGATCCGGGGGAGATGATGATATCAAGCAAATTAAAATTGAACTTGTTCTGAGATGACAGAGATTCCTGGGCCAGTCAGGTCAGTCCCTCAAGTCAGATCCTTTGGTGGGAACTGGCTACCTTGAAGGATGGCCTGAGAGCCACCATTAGGAAAAAATGTACTCAGGCTCTGCTCCTGAAGGTCACAACTTTGCCAGCCAAGCACTGAGTAAGCAATTACCTGCCCTACAAGAGCCATTTAAAGGAGAGAAGAAATATTCCCCTAGGTCCACACCCGGGCAAGGAAGGGCTTTATATCAGGTGAAGAGAGGACCAGAACTCTCCTTCATTCTGAAGCTTTCTCTTTCATTTTTGGCCTCATTTTTGGCTCTTTCACTGAGGAGAGCACATGTCTTAAGACAGGAAATTACCCTGGTGATTGATGGCTAGCAAATGCAATTAGGACCCATTAAGTGCTCTCCAAGGGGTGCCCTTCCAATGTGGCATTCCAGGTTTGGTGATCACTTAACGATCGTGCACCAAAGCCTCCTGGTAATGAAACATTTGTCTCTGTCAAGCTTTGGCCACCCGAACTTCCTGCTTCCTTTAGATGCAGAGAGGCTGTGGGCAAAAAAGTGGGAATGGAAGGTGGAGTGGGGAAGAGACAGAGTGGAGGCTAGGGAGCACTCCCAGTTTGAAGGAAGGCTCATCCCAAGAAGAATGGGCCCACTTGGCCAAGAAGGACATTCCCAATATGGGGCCCAAACATGAATTGGGGGTTAGTGGGTGCCTTCAATGACTGAATTTCTATAATATTTGCTAATTATCCTAGTGCTCAGAGAAGTAGAATTCCTTAATTCCACTTCCTTTGGTGCCTGGAAGAGATGACCAAAAACCTCAGCCCAGACTCTGCTGCCCTAGAGTTATTTGTATTCTAGCTGAGAAGGTCAAAAACACTGCCCTCAAACTTCCAGGCATCAGTGGATAACCCGGCCTCACACAAACACATGAAGGAGTACATTAAACATTGACTCATCTGTGGTGCTACCAGAAGGAAGGACAAAGGAGGCCATCTGGATCCTGTCTGCCTGAGCTCTCATTTCAGCTCTGCCACTTGGAAGTTCAGTGACCTTGAGCAAGTTACACAATCACTTTGTGTCTCAGTTTCCTGACTGTAAAATGGGGATAATGATGGAACTTTCCTTCTTAACTCTTTGTGAGGATTCTGCAGGTCAGTGCCCAGGACACCCAGGCCCTAGCCATGGCAATGTCCACAGATGCCAGTCATTTCTTCCTCCCAAGGCCAGGGTTCTGACCCTTTTTAATGGCTTGGTCCATAAAAAATATGGATCATGCCATAAAAAAGGCATGGTTGAAAAAATTCAACCAGCCTAGTGAAGCACACGAATCCTTCTCAAAATAATGGTATAAATGTATAAAATAAAATATATAAGATTACAAAGGAAACTGCATTTTTTATTGAAATATTGCTATCAAAATATTAAAAAACAGATTTGTGGTATAGTAATATATGTGTTTCTTTATTAACACAGTAAATAACAAGATCTGCTGGCAGGTCTAATAACTAGTGTGATTCTGAAGTTAGTAATAAGCTTAAACAATATTTCAACATATCTGCAACAACTGTAATGAGATATAAAAATATCTGTGATTTCTATTGGTGAAAAATTATAGTTTCTGCTGATACTACTGTGACTTGCTGCCTACATTTAAAATTAGAGGAGCTGCTAAATTTTAGCTAGAGGTTGATGAAATTAAAGATGCAGTTTTTTCCGTATAAGTTCATGGACCCTCTGTGAACCCCAGGATAAGAACCACTGCCATAAAGCTTGATGAAATAATGCTTTCTAAACTCCATCCTTTCTAAAATTTTAAAATATTTATTTTCTCATTACCAAAGCCAAATATAAACATTATACCAAAGTTAAGAAATACAGCTAACACAGTGAGACCCCGTCTCTACTAAAAATACCAAAAAAAAAAAAAAATTAGCCGGGCATGTTGGCGAGTGCCTATAGTCCCAGCTACTTGGGAGGCTGAGGCAGGAGAATAGCGTGAACCCGGGAGGCAGAGCTTGCAGTGAGCCGAGATCGCGCCACTGCACTCCAGCCTGGGCGACAGAGCGAGACTCCGTCTCAAAACAACAACAACAACAACAACAACAACAAAAAATAAATAAATAAATAAAAAAGAAATACAGATAAAGCAGAAAAAGACAAAGATTTAAACACACCATCCAGAGAGAGCCACTGTTAACATTTGGTATAGTAGTTTAACTGTTGAGACGTGGAGCTCGTTGCTAATCTATTTTTCATGCACTGAATCTGCTGCAGGTAGGATTATTCGATTGTAACTTCTTCACTTGGAGGGACATTGAGGAACAGGGAATGCTGATCAGGGACTTCAGCAAGGAGCCAACTCTAAGCACCACAAATATAGGCCAGAAACTACATGCAGCCCCCTTTCTGGAAAAGGGCTTCTGCCCTTCTCAGCATGGCCCCTGTATTAGCCCATTCTCACTTTGCTATGAATAAATACCCAAGACTGGGTAATTTAAAAGGAAAGAGGTTTAATTGACTCACAGTTCCACAGATCAGGAAACTTACAATCATGGTGGAAGGGGAAGGAAACATGTCCTTCTTCACATGGTGGCAAGAGAGAAAAGTATCAAGCAAAGGGGGAAAAGCCCCTTATAAAACCATCAAATCTCCTGAGAACTCACTCACTATCATGAGAACAGCAGCCATGGAGGAAACTGCCCCCATGAATCAATTATCTCCACCTGGTAGTGTCCTTGACATGTGGGGATTCTTACAATTCATGGTGAGATTTGGGTGGGGACACAGAGCCAAACCATATCAGCCACTATAGGCAGGGCAAGCCAGTCTTTGCCTTAGCAGCCCAGAAGCCAAGCCAGAATCCTGCAGCCCCTCTAGTACCAGCTGTCCCACAGATCTCAAATCTCTTGTTAGACCTGATGAATGTCTTGTCTGAATCCTGAATTATGAATAATGGAAATTGCTCACTAGATAAAGGATACCAACTGACACCACTTAGAACCTGCCAGATACCGGGGTCAGAGCCCTGATGCACTTGGGCAGTGTGTGAGGACTCATTCAAATAATCCATTCAGAAATCAGGAGAATGAGGTAGCACTAAATCTAGGAGGTGTGATACAATCTGCACAAACACACACCTGTGTGTGGATAGTGACACTGTGCAGCTCTCTCTGAGGTGAGAAGGTAGTCTGACATATGTTCAGCTGTCCCAAGGAAACTCTAGAAGACTGAAGGCTTAGAATGGCTTGTCTAGTCATTGTCAAGCAACTTCTGTGGAGGGTCCACCCCATGTGAATTCAGGACACAAGGGAGGCAGGCCCCAGCTTGCTTTCCTCAACATCCCTCAGGACACCCAACCCTGTGAGTCCTCCAGGCATGGCCAGCCTCAGCCAGGATGGTCCATTGCTCTTGTGTGAGCATGAGGTTGTTGAGCCACCAACATAAGTTAGGGATTTGCTGCACCTCCTGGATGCAACTTCTAAAAGACTGAGGCCAATATCATTATGGCAACATTTAAAAAGCTCCTCTCTTCTCTTCTTCAGTTCAGACCTTAAAGCAATGTCTTCTGACCTCCAAACCAAGACCTTCCCTGGGAGGAGGAGCGGGGTGTTAATAAAATGCTGCTGGTACAGTCATCAAAATGTGACTGTGTGCTTTTCTGGAGGGACCCTGCAACCCCATGGTAGCACACCAAGCTTCCTCTATGCCTAGTTAAAGATCACCAACAAAGCTCCTGCATGCAAGGCACCACTCAATTTCAAAATATTTTTAATAAAACAATGTGGAAAGGGCAGCCTGTTCATTTTGATCCTCCACTGGGTCATTCAATTAAACCTGAGATTCTGGGAAAACTTGAACTCCCTGATCATATTTTCCATTAGTAATAATAATAAAAGATAATTATGGACTCTGTCTGTCAGATATTCCAGACACCAGCACCTCCACTTAATTAACTGCTAATTAAGATATGAAAGAACTTCAGCGTCTCTCACACATCCTGACTTTATTAAGCCTCAGCAAATCTTCCTCAGGAAATGAGAAACCTAAATAGCCAAGGCTGAGCCCTTCCCTGGATTTACAAAACAGGGTGGTGTCGGGTGAGTGGGGAGGAAGGCTGACTTTGAGGACTAGCCATTTAACTACAGCATTCAGTTGTTACACCATGACCCTGAGAGGAAAGAATGTGGGAGAAGGGAAAGGAACTAAGAAGTTTCGAGTTCCTTCCTTCTGCTGCACACTGAGCTGCGACTTTTACATATATTACCTAAGTAAATTCTCTTAGCAACCCCGTAAAGAAATATTATTATTCCCATCTTACAGATTAGAAAATAAGTGCTTAGAGGGATTCAGTAAATTCCTTTCCAAGTCTGTGGCTGGTAGGAGCTAGGATTTGAGCCAAATGTTACACTTTTCATTTGTAGTTCCAGGTAGGTACAAGAAAGAGAAATGTCTTTTTCCTTGTCTTTACCATTATTGACAAAGCAAAAGCGCAAAGCATTTGTGGCAACTAGCCTTCAAGATGACCCCCAGTTGATCCTTGCTTTGTGGCATTCATACCCTTCTGCAGCTTTTTCCCTCATTAAATGGGGCTAACCTGCATACCAATAGAATCTTGCAGAAATGATGGTGAGCTTAGTCTTATAAGACACTGTGGCTTCCACCGTGCACTTTCTCAGATTGTTCACTCTCGGGGAAGCTAGCCACCAAGTTGTAAGGACACTCAAGCACCCTTGTAGAAGCCCACATGGGGAGAAGCTGAGGCCTCCTGCAATGACCAATATCACACAAACGAGCCATCTTGGAAGCAGATCCTCTATTCCTACCAGGTTGAAGACTGCAACCTTCAACATCTTGACTGAAACCTCGTGAGAGACCCTGAGCCAGAACCACTCAGATAAACTGCTTCTGAATTCCTGACCCACAGAAATTATGAGATAATAAATGTTTATTATTTTCAACCACTGAGTTTTAGGGTAATTTGTTATGCATCAGTAGATAAATGGAGAATTCATGAACTTCTTACACTCTGCTGAATTGCAAAGCCTTGCCAATACCAGTGGGTCAGAGAAATCCCTCTAAGAAACATTCACATTTGTATGCCTGAAAGTAGGAGTCTGAAATAACAGCCATTCAAGATCCCTCCTGGTAGGAAGCCTTGTTTATTTAGAAGCAGAATATGGGTCAGATCACCAACAGTTGCCTAAATTTCCCATTTTCACATTAAGATGACTAAGAACAACTTGAAGGTTGTTCACAATCTGATCCATTGTTCAGCAACCAACTGCTGTGAGAATTGAGAACAAAATAAATTGACCATACTTTGGGGTATTGGGCAATCTTGTCTATAGCTGATCAGCATCCTTGGGATCAAATATCCATTACTGGAACATCTCCAGCAATTTGCAGTACATCAACCAAAACCTTTCAAGCAACAAGGTTTATACTGGATGTCAAAAAGAACTGTTACTGTGAAGTCTGAAATCTCTGCAGTTTTTGATTGTTGGATCTCACCTGGCCCAGCAGGTGTCTTTCTTCTAAAGTCCATGACTCACCTAAGCCAAAGAGGACAAAAACACAAAGCCCTGGAGAAAAATCTGTGATTGAGGTCAACAGAGTCTCTTGGGCTGCACTTTTTGGACTGTCCAGATCCTCAGCTCTTGCCTAGGCAGTCAGGGGCAGGGAGCCCATGCTACAAAGTCCAAGCCAATCCCCTCTGATGGCTGAACTCACCTGTGTTACAGAGGGGTCAGCACTTGATGAGGAAGGAAAATATAATGCACATTTTCTAGACATATTTCATAGGATGTTTTTTCCAAAGATGAGCTGTTGCAAGTTGACCCCAGATAATGCAGAGCACTGGAAAGGGTACATACAGGTAAATGAGTAGGTTGCAGCGTGGACAGAAAGAACACACCCATTTACTGAAGCTGCTGGAGAGTCAGGTCAGCATGCTCTTTACTTTTGTGTATGTCTCTTGGGGTGCCACTTCCCCTCTCCCTCGGGTCCCTCTGAAACTGTGTAAGCTAAAAGGATTTGGGACCATGAGCCCTGTACCCCATATTTGTCTAAGCCAGTGGTTTTGCCTCTAGAACTTGCTGCTGCAGGAATATATGACTACCTTGAGACACATCAGCTTCAAGAATGGCTGTGATAATAATCCTTTGCCTTGTCACCAGTTATATGAATCTATCTTAAGATAAGGCCTTTGTGTGATATCATTAGGGCTGTAGGACTTGTTCATCAAATTAAGTGGATCTACTAGTGAGGTAATGCGTGTTTATATCACAAGGGCCAGTATATGGGGTTCACGATGAGCTTCATTCTATCAGAACAAGTGTGGTAATGACTTCAGGAAGATTGGCACACACACTCCACTTCAGTTTGGCAGTTGCTCAGCCAACAGTTGGAAACCCGTTTAAATAAATAAAACTGGTTAAGTGGAAAAGAGGATAGGACTGGAATACAGAAACCCCACATTCTAATTCTATTCCTCTAAATCACTTTGGAGGTGCATGCCCTGACAAGTTCCCATGTCCCTCTCCCTCAAAGACAGGAGCTTCTTGCAGGTGGTGGCTGTATCCTCTTCTTCATATTCCTGGTGCCTGGCATGGGCCTGGGTACTCACAAGGCTCTCAGTAAATGGTTGCTGCCAATGACTAAAAAAGTAAATAAGTGCACATATCCACATTCACATATGTATATATGTGGTTAAATGAGCGTGAAAGGAAGTCTAAAAGGATGTACTCCATGCTGCCAACACAGGGGCCGAGGTAATGTGGATAGTTCAGGGAAGAAGAGGAGGTAGAGAGAGGCAAGCAATGGAGAAAAAAAAAAGAGAGTGCACTAAAAATTCTACATGTATAGTATAATCTTGTAAAAGTATGTGTATGTATGCATAAACAAATTAGAGGAAAAATGATGATGTTTGTATGTTAAGTCAAAGCAAGTTGCAGAGTATTTCAGTTAAAAACTATAAACAAAAACATCCCATATATCTGTTATATATGCATAATTAGGTTTAAATGAGCAAAAGGGAGGGTGTATATTTGGGTGCTTTGAGACACCACCCAACTGAGGCACTCAATTTTGCAGCTGCTGGGAGCGTTGGCTGCTGACAGCTCACAGCTGAGTCCCTTTTCAGGAATCACCACCAGCCAAAAAGAGCTGCTTTGCCCATCCTCTCCCTGGGGGCAGCCCAGAGCCAAAGAGAGGCGGGTGTGTGTGGGGCCCTAAGACCTGGATCCTTTTTCAATGCAGGACACCTCCAACGTTCCCTCTGGCCAGTTCCACTTCCTGTACTTCCCCCAGGTGCCGTAGCCCTCAGGAGTAAGTCTCAGTAAGCCTTCTGTGTGCATATCCAGTCTCAAGCTGTTTCCTGGGAATTATGACAGTGTGGAAGGATACTTACCAGTGTATTAAAATGTTACTTAAGGAACCGAGATTGGGAGAAACGATTAGCGTCTTCTGCATACATTTTTATATTGACTTTTTTATTATAATAAGCATGTGTCACTTTTATAATTTTAGGAATATCAAATGAAGAACTTTAAAATGTAATAAACATGTTAGTTGAATGAGTGAATAACTGTGCCTACATCTAGTTGGAGAAATAGGTAACAATAAAATAGCATGTCAAAAGTACCCGGTGTTTTTAATAAACTCAAGTGAAGGGGATTTTCATAATTTTTTTCATGACTTTTGATGCAGTTGGTTCAAAAGATATTGGACAAGCTTTCTGAGAGTGAGGTTAGCACCTCACAGGTGAGGATGAGGAAAAGAAAGGTCAGTGGGTGGAAGCAAACAGGAGGGGGAGTTGTAATTCCATGGAAGAAGAGATTTTCTAGTCTCAGAGCTATCTGCCCCCCAAATAGGCTGCAATCTGTGGGCAGCTACCATCTAAATTACACTGTCCAAAGAACCTGCGATTCTTCCATTTGGTGAGCAGCCAGATTAGAATTGGAAGAGAAAAATACCTGGCATTTATATCACCTGCAACACCTCCCAGTCCTGGGCCCTGGCAAACCCATTGATGACCAGTTCTTTCCCTGTGATGCCACCTCAGAATTATTGTCCCCACTCGCCAGGCAGCCACAGTGGATGCACTGGAGTATTCACTCAAGATGGAAAATGTTTGCCCTTCCAGAACTAAATAATCTTTACACTTCTTCCAATTCTGAGGGTTTCATGAGGTCCTCCAGGGAAGGTTAATTTATTCACAGATGTCTTAGATGAGCAAGCCTCTACCTCAGCCAAATGCTTGCTTCTTCCTCTCTCAGATGTCGCCTGATTTTTGCAAATCCATCCTCTTGAAGCACCTATAAATGATATCCCTGGGGCTCAGTGTCCCATTTGGAGAAGGCTTAGCAGGGTTTGTGAGAAGCAAGCCCTTGAAGGCATAATTATCGAGCCACCAACTGTGTTGACACTTCCTTGGAAATTGTGTAGCGGAGGCCTGGCTGAAGATCTGCGTAGGACCCCTGGTTACAGAAGCTGACAAATTTGCTTACTCAGAAGGCTCTCACTTAACAATCGATGCCACTGCTTCTGTTGGAGGTTGTTCTAATCTGGGAGAATTACTTTGTTTTGCATGCATTTATTCCTTCTTTGTTGAACTTTTATGCACTGGCATTGTGCTTGGGACAGGAACTAAAGCAGTGAGAAAGTTGAAGACTCTGACCCTGAAGAGTTGGGAGTCCAGAGTGAGCATGGCACAAATAAAGAGGTTTATAGTACATGGAGATTTTCACAACATAGGAATGCTTAGAGTGCCAAGGACATTAAGGACATAAGAGGGGGTCAGGTTGGGGAGGAGGTTTGTATGGGAGGCCTTTTGGAGGGAGTGTCAAGCATTTGTCATAATCAGATCAGCTAAGCATGTTATTACAGTCACTTTCAAAAACCTAAAGCACATTTCTGGATTTATAATCATTCCATAGATTTGTTTACCTCAAATATTTTCCTTTTTATTGAAAACTATGAGAATGAATGAAAGAAAATCAATGAAATAAATGAAAGTCTCTGGAGAGAAAAAGCAACTAAGCAACAATTTTCTTTGCTTTGGAAATTCACATGGTGCACCTACAAATTTATTTTAAAGGCGATGTGGTACTTAGAATAGAAAGGGAAACCAGGGTTTCTTATTTTGAAACCATTAATATATTTCTTCCCTCCCTTATTTCTGTTTCAGGTGGCTGTATCGTTTTAACTGCATAGAGGGCAGGTCTCTTTTGGAATTAGGATTAAAGAAAGTGCAGTAAAGAGAAAGCATCGAAGACACCATCACAAAAGGTATTTCCTGTGAACATTTGATCATTCATCATTCCCATGGCCAGTCTGTGGCTTTCATATGTAACTGCATATTCCCAGGGATCTGAGACCTTTTGTTACTGGAACAACACCCTGGGGGCTAGTCTCCTTGAAATGAGGTGGTCAACAGCATTAGCTCCTCTGGGCTTCATGCAGTCTCTGAAAAAGCTGGAGAAACCGGGTACCAAGGCTTTGGCTTCTCATAAAATATTTCTGAATGCATTTCATGATGCGGTTGGTAATGAAAGTGTGTTACTGTGCTCAGTCCCTCCAAGAAGCTAGACTTGACTCCCAGCCTGCCTGTGCCTGCACTGGGCCCGCATGAATCAGTGATAAATTATTCACCAGTCTCGCTCTAAAATTTCTGGAGTTCCAAAACCCCTAATAAAGTATTATGAAAAAATATCCATCTCTTTATCTCTATCCATAACTATATGGCTGGAGGAAAAACCTGTCATTTTATTTCCTTTAATTTAAAAGCTTTCCTAATTCCTTTTTCATACCACATATATATGTCTAAAGAATTTTCAGGTTGAAATAATAACCTCTAAAAAATGGTCCACAGGAGAAGGCTCTTAGGATTCATAGAGTTGTCAGGCACAGTGAATATTTTGCTCCTTTAATAACTTTCCATGGCACTCAAACTTGATATACTGAACTGGGAACTTTTCAAACAGGTGTGGCCGTTTTTTATTGCACAAAACAATAATATAGCCACCAGTCTTCTCTCTGTATTTGTTATACAGTTTGTTATACAGCTTAAGTTTGTTGTGAAAAGTTTGTTCGGGAGCTCATTTTCTTCCTTAGACTCACTACAGTCTCAGTATCCCTCATGCTACTCTACAGATTTAAGGCAAGTCTTTTCTGAAGCCCCATGTTTGAATCAGCCCAGAACACCCTCAGTGGCAGCCTGCCTTCCTTGGGGGCACTTGACTACAAAGTACCCCATGCCATTTAAAACACCTTTGAACATTCCAATTCACAAGAGACATCATCACATCACGCTGGCTATCAACCATTCACACTTAAGGGAGAATTGGTTAATTTGTTGCTTCTAGGATACCAGCTGGTTCAGATCAAGTTCTCTGCAACCAAGCAGACATGGAAGGTGGACCAGGGTGTACCAACGGCTAAGGTTGCCTGTCGCGAAAGCAACACTGGCAGTGTATTACAATGAAGACATTTTTACTGACCTGCACTCTGCTCAGGGAAAGCACTTGTGTGGATAAAAGAATATTTGACAAACCCTGCTGATTAAATCTCAAAGCCACCTCCTGGCACAGAGGGCAGTCCATCTTTCCCGGCCAAGCCTGTCACATGTGTCTGAACCACCTCACAGGAGAACATAGCTTGTCCAGATTAGTCCCCTTCCCCACACACTTACAAATCACTTTTCACTAGCATGGCTTGGTGTTGGAATTGCAGGAGTTACCAAATAGGTAGGCAGCCAGGTCCCCTCATGGCTCCTTGGCAATTCAAACCCAGGTGCTCACAGGCTGGCCTGAACTGCCTTGCTTGCCTGCTTCTATCTCACCTTCATTTCCCATGCATTTGAAGCAGCTTATTTTAAAAGCTGATTAGATGAGCCCTTAATAACATTAGAATTTAAATGGTCCCAGATAGGTTTTCAGCTTCTTGCCAAATTGAGATAAATGTGATATTTGGGGAGTTGAGCTCCCAGCTTCAAGCCTGTTCTGTACTGCAGACAGGTTTTGAAGTACCGTACTACTTTCTCCCGTTTTGCAGCCTAAAACTGGGTTTGTGTGTGTCCATAAGGTGCCCTTCATCTCTAAAGGTCTGTGATTCTCTGTGTAGATATGTCTCCATGATCATGCATTTTCAAAAAATGGTAATCTGGGGGAAGGGGCCCAGGACAGAGTTCTGTCCTTCAATTGTGATAATCTATGGAAAAGCTTCACTCTATACCCCCACACCTTATGATAACTTTCAGTTCCAGACAATAACCTTTATTGAGCAACTATTATTTAGCCATTTACTTTGATATTAATGCTGTTAGTACCTGACTTTGGCTGAGAATAATGTAAGATAGTCAGAAATATGAATGTTTCACTTTATGAATATGTTCAGCACCCTCTGTAACTCTTATGGGTGGGTTCACTCCCAAAAAGGAAAAACACACTTATCAAGCCAAATAGATATAGCCTTTCAACTTAATACCCTTCCGTCAGATTTTATAAAAATAAAAGCAAAATGGGAAAGGGGAATTTAAAAAAAAAAACCAGCAAAAGTGGACATAAACAAATGGTTCAATGTTTAGGTAAATATATTCTTACAGGCAAACAAACCGAGTTATCTGCTTGCTATACTGCCCCAACCAAACTAGGCACCTGGCTACCCCCAGAATTAAATCTTGAAACTCCTAAAAACACGATTTGCCCTTCTGTATATGGGTGGTCATGAAAGAGGTGTTCCTGAATTTAAGCTTCTTTGTGAAATGCTTAACAAATGTAGCTGCTCTTACAGACTTTCAAGAGAAGCTAAACCTTGAGCTTAACCCTTGAGCATTAGCACTCAGGTGGGGAACGACGGCCCACCATATTTCCCTGGAGGGATGTTAAGGACTCCAAGGAGCCAGGTAGGTGAAGGAGGGCACCCGGGGCTTGGGCATCGCTGTGGGCAAACCCACTTTTCCTGCACTGGCCCTGCCAGTCCAAAACTCACCCCAGATTTCAGGAACTCTTGAGGGGTTTCAGGAGGAAATTACTTGTAATCCATTTAAACTATGGCTTTGATCAGAAACTACAGTTAGAGTGTAAATGTCTGCTTTCCTGCGTGGTAAAACTAGGTTGAGGAGGCTGAACAAAGTACAACTCCAGAATTGCAGTGTTTGACTCTATGCCAAACCTCTGATCAGTCAGAGCTCAAATGGCTGTTCCCTATGTGTATTAGTCTGTTCTCACACTTCTGTAAAGAACTGCCTGGGACTGGGTAATTTATAAAGGAAAGAGGTTTAATTGACTCACAGTTCAGCATGGTTGGGGAGGCCTCAGGAAACTTACAATCATGGCAGAAGGGGAAGCAAACACCTCCTTCTTCACATGATGGCAGGAAGGAGAAGTGCCAAGCAAAAAGGGAAAAGCCCCTTATAAAACTGTCAGATCTCAGGAAAACTCACCCACCATCATGAGAATAGCAACATAGAGGTAACCGCCCACATGATTCAAGTACCTCCCACCAGGTCCCTCCCATGCCATGTGGGAATTATAGGAACTGCAATTCAAGATGAGATTTGGTTGGGGACACAGCCAAACCATATCACTATGGAAGGGGAAAGAGGAGTATCAGAGGAGGTCTTGGCAGAGCCTCCAGGCCTTGGCCTACCCACATCTCAGGAAATTAAGCATTCTGTGCCATTGTGACAAGGCTTTCATTAAGACCATATTATCTAACAGGCGACTGCTTGTCCAAGTACCTTCCTAGTACTTGTGTTTGCTCTCAACATCTTATGCTTTACATGTGCAAAATGTAATGGCATTGGATGCATCAACTGGCAGTTTACATGCAAACTCACCTCCTCCTTCGCTAAGCCTGGAGCTATAAAGAGCTTGCTCAATTTCACTCTCCTTCTCAGAATGCTTCTGTGCAATCATCCTGCCCAACTTGCTTTTGTCCTGTCTCTGGAGAGAAAGGGTTCCTCCTGGCCACAACTAACTCTTCCAATGAGTCCTTGGTCTCTTCCTTACCCTTCTCCTCTATAGCCTGATCCACCCATTGCTCTCCTTTCCTCACTTGCATTTTCTTTCACTCTCTGTAAGTTCTTTTTCTTCTGCTTGTAAACAATACTTGGTCTCCATTAAAACAAACAAACAAAAAGCTTTCCCTTGATTTCCTGATTCTCTCTCTCTTTCTCTTGTCCTGGATTCCAGGGAAGAACATTCTCCATTCACTTCTCACCATTTACTTATCCCTGAATCCTATGGAAAGCAGTGCATCCTACCTACCCGTGCAACAAATTCAACATAATTCGGCAGACATGCATGTAGCATATACTAGGTGCCACACCCCATCTGGACTCTGAACACAAGGAGGACACACTCTTACAAGGAAGGCAAGGCATGCCTCCCTCACGCCTAACTACGGTGTGATAGTGAGATGGTGAGGCTATGCACTATAGAGAGGCAGGGTGGGAATCATTATTAGCCCTGTCTTGGGGGAGGGGGCAGCAAGGAAATTGTCAAAGGAGTTCTCCAGCAAATGGGGGACCCAAGAAGAGAAACGAGAAAAAGAGAGAAGAGGGAGGCCAGTCCAGTAGGAGGAGCAGCATGGGCAAGGTCATTGAGATCATGGGACCAAAGCAGCCTGACGTGTAGACGCTGCTATGTACATGGCAGGGAGGCAAGGAGTATTGAGGCTTCACAGAATGACAGACATTTAGACTTTGAGTGGAGATCCTGAGAAACTTTAACCCTTTCTTGCAAACAATGGGAACAATAGAGGGTTTAAAGGCAGGAGTGACATGATCATGTTGCCTTTAGAAAGATCACTCAGGACACAGCAATTAGAGGGGCAGATGAAATAGGAAGTTGCTCTAATAGTCCAGATGAGAGGTGATACAGACCTCAACCAAAATAACCTGTGCTAAGGATGGAGAAGAGGGGATTCTAACATAATCTCCTCCGTTCTCCATGAATCCACCCAAACAGATGTTATCTCTTCTGCACTAAACCCTCAGAGCACGTATTGTACTTTTTCTTACTGTGCTTATTCAACTTGTATTGCAATCATTTGTGTATTTCTCTAACGTTCCTTATCAAGTTGTATCTTTGTCTCCCTTTCCTCAAATTACAGTACCTTTCTCATAATAAGAGCCGAAGAAAAGGTTATTTAGTTGAATTGAATTTTCAAGGGCTTCAAACCATGAATAATTGAGGAATCAGCCATGTATAAGTGCTCATCATTTGCATAATTGTGTAAACAAGCTTATAAATTTATTTTTATTTTTCACATTATTTTTGTTATCCCACAATGCCCCACTACCTTTGCAGTTCTTCAGGTTTTGGGGAAATGGTAAACAAGTATTCTCTAATACACACAAGTGACAGAGGCGCTGCTGGATTCTCACCTCCCCAGTCAAGGGAAGTGGTTGAAAGGAGAGAACAGATGATTGTATTGATTGAATATGAAAACCATGTACAAATATTGAGAAATATGCTGTCTAAAGAGACAGAGAATTGCAGAGCACGCTGCATGATGGGACCCACGTGCAGAGTCCCGAAGGTCAATGTGCAGATACAAATTGATTAAGCTAAGTACTTACTGAAATTGCTTTCCAACATACAGATGAGAATTGATCATAGGCAGGACCCGTATTTCTGGTGAAAAAGCTTTATAAAATTATCCATTGGTATGCCATAAAGACAAATTTAAATTGTCTGGATTTCCCCAAATGAAAGTATCTATATTGTTAACAAATATGTCATAATGAGTGAACCAGAACTTACAATTTTGTGAATGAGTTTCTTTATGTGTGGACCTAAATGGCCTCATAACAGCTTTATTTTTTGTGGGGGGGCATCTTTTTACAACCCTGAGGTTAGCCTCTCTGTCTCATGCCAAACCAAATGATTCTTTTTTTTCCTCCAGTACTACATACTGTGTCAACTTCATTGTTTTGCCTACAGATTGTAGTTTTGCATAAGTTCTATTTAAGAAAGCAATTTTTTTTTATTTTTTATTTCCATAGGTTATTGGAGAACAGGTGATGTTTGGTTACATGAGTAAGTTCTTTAGTGGTGATTTGTGAGATTTTGGGGCACCCATCACCTGAGCAGTATATGCCGCACCCAATTTGTGGTCTTTCATCCCCCATCTCCTTCCTACACTTTCATGCTGAGTGTCCAAAGTCCATTGTGTCATTCTTATGCCTTTGCATCCTCATAGCTTAGCTCCCACTTATGAGTGAGAACATACGATGTTTCAAACCAAAAGACTTTGGCCATGAGTTAGCCCTATCTACTGTGGTACCCGAGTTTTCACTCTTAGACACAATCCCTAGCTCCTAGGAAACTAGGAGTCAGAAATCTTCTAAGCCCACATGGCATCCAGCACACTTAAGCAGTGGCTTCGAGTGCCGCCAGCCTGTGGCATTTAGGCAGGAGAAAAAAAAAGGAGAAGTGGAGTGGGGTGGATAAAAGGAAATGCAAGGCAGCTAAAGGAAAATTAAGAGAAAGGAGTAGAAGGCATAGTTAAGCAAGTCTTTGTTGAGTAATTTTTGTGTCAAATATAAAAGTATGCATCACAGTCCACACAAAAGAAGTATGTATCATGCTTGCTGCACTCCAGGGGCTAAGAATTTATCCAAGAGGGCAATTCTAAACCCAGGAAACAAACAAAATAGCAGTGCATGACAATATAATCAAGCCCTAAATACTACTTCCTGGCATTGGCTGTGTTACAGTAGTGAAAGCAGAAACAGGGCAAGTGTCACAGGGTTCATGGGAGAGGAGGAGACCAGAGAAAACCTCATGGGAGAGGCCACAATCATTGAGCTGGGCCTTGAAAATAGAGGTGATACAAACCCAGGAAGGCCAAATGAGCATGACACCTCAGACTATGAAAAAAAGTAAGAGGAAAAAAGTAAGAACAAAAGGAGGAGATGAAAGAGAAGAGAAAACAGAAAAGGTTTCTGAGGATGTTGATGGTAGAGCAGCTACCACTCACATCTCCCTGGGCACCTGTGCCAACCCTTGGATTGCCTTGGCCAAAGACCAACAATTTAGAGGCCGAAAATATTTCTGCGGTCCCAGTGATCTACGCAGAATTGGACCAGAGCCAGTCGGGTTTTGTTGCCTCAGTAATCACAAAGTGAGGCATCTTTTTCCTCATGTTTACTTGAGAGGAATGCTGTTTACACTGAAAACATCACACCCTTCAGAGTGACCATTGACAACTGAATTCTCGTATGACTAACAATTGGGTGTAAAGAACCCTCAGAAGCTCCACAACAAATGAGATGGCTTCATTAGCTGGAGGTTCTAGGAGGCTCTGTGAGAAATGAAGAGATTGGTAAAGTAAGGACAATATATTAAATACATTTCGAAGGGTTCTATGGAGAGCAGGATATCGCCAACAAAATGTGTTTTGATTGGCACAGTGGAATCTTCCTGCCCCTCAAATTACTCCCCATCCCATCCTCATCCCCACCCCAATTTTAAGAAAAGGACACAAACTAACAAATGAGTAACACCGGTTCTGCCAGGTTGTCTGAAATCCTACTATTTGAGGTATGTTCTTGTCAAGGTGTTGCCTCTTCCAGATTTCCCTTCAGAAAGGTAGGTGTCCTCTGAGAGACTTGTTTATCCACAATGGAATGCTGGTTATGTTAGTAGAATTTCTGTCTAAGGACCACAGAAGGAGGAAAAAGCAGAGAAGAGGAGAAATAAGGATGAAACGAGAGGGAAAAATAATTTTAGAACATGGCACCCTGCTAGGAAAGACAGGATTGAGGGTGGTGGATGCAAGTGGTGAACGTGGATGGCTAATGAGGAGAAGAAGGGGAGAAAATATAGCCAGAAGGGAGGAGAGAGGGAGAGAGAGAAAGAGAGAGAGAGAGAGAAGAGCAGGAAAATCACAATGCAACAAAGCCAGAATCAAACTCTGTATCCTTGGCTATGTGGCCTGGAGCAGCCCTGACTGATTGGATAGCTCCAACATTAAAGTTGGACATGTTCAAGTGCCACCTGAGAAGGCTCAGCATTGTTTAATATGGAAAAACAGAGCAGGGCTATTTGTGAAGTTGGCCAGGTGGCAGGGTGAATATACGAGTATGTGGCTAAGTCCAGCAGTGGCAAAACCACAGCAAGTTGTTTGTTAGGCCTGAGGAAGAAAATGCCTGGAAATCAGCCCCAGTGCAGAACAACGGTGGCCATGGGCCAAGGGAGTGCCACGCTTCTCTGCTGAGTCAGCAGAGAACAATAAAGCTGGGAGATGATTTAAGAATTGTAATGTAAGGATTCTGCCAGAACTCTGTTCATCTGATACCAGAATCACAGACCCATCAAATGTTCAGCCTAGGACTTTAGAGCTCAGTCTACCTCAACCCTCATTCTCAAGCTAGGGAAAAAATAGAGTCCTGAGAGGAGTTAAGATTTATCAAGTGCTTTCTATATGCTAAGCACTTTTTGATTACTTTATGTTTATTCGCTCATTTACTTCTCTTAACAACCAACGATAGTAGGAAATATTACTATCTCCATTTTATAGATAAGAAAATCCGTGCAGGAAAGCTAAATAATTTGCATGAATTCAAACAGCTTAGTAAGTGGAAGAACAGGGATTTGAACCCAAGTAGTTTGAGTCCAGGGCTCCTTCACACAAGCACTACCCTGAATGATTTATCCAAGACCATACAGCCAGACACCAGGAAGGAAATCAGGCAGGCTTTTGTAAGTTGAATCTTGTCACTTCCAAGTTAGGGTGTAAATATCACTTGTGCAATGATGAAAGCATGTTAGGGGAGAAATCACAATAGTTTTGGTGGCAAAGAGACCACTATTCCTTGTGGGAGCTGAGGGCTGTTCTGAAAGGAAAGCAGGGCACCCCTGTAGAGCAACCTATCTCTCCTTCATCAGAAGAGGTAATGAATTGTAATGGAGCCACTGCAATTGAAGCTGTGATAATTATTGTGATAATGGCCAAGAAATGGAAGAGCAGATGCATCTCTCCATGAAGAGGAAGAGCTTGAGGTAATGAAATGGTAAAGAGTATATTGATGAGGTTTTGATAGTGATCAATGCAACAGCAATAGACTGCAAGTGTAAAGATAAAGGAAGCATGGTGATGCATTTTTGGTCCTTCAATCAACCACACCTGCTGAATGCTAACTTTGTCCAGATGCTAAGTGCTCTTGGAAGGAAATGAGGTCTAGTCCACCATGAGCTCAAAATTTAATGGATAACACAGGACAATTGTAAACAATTTCCTTCCCCTGAACACACACACTGGAAGATCAGAAATGCCGGTATGCACTGCAGTTATATTAGTATGGTCTTGAATTGCCTTAAGGAAGACATTGGTAGTTAGAATTCTTAGAGTCAGAGCGGTAACTGTAACAGAGGACTGTGTTTGTGTCTTTAAGATGAGGATTATTACTGTCTGGCTGTTACAGAAAGAGAAATGAGGATGAAGGAGTGAGTTGTAAATAAGAGTGACAATGGCAATAGTGAAATTGCTGTAGAAAGTGGCAGAATTTTGTAGTTAACATGATTTGGTGGAAGAAAAGAAGGGAATTCTAACATTAATGGAGATGTTGGACTACATGTCCAGTGTATAATAGAGATGCCTGTAGCTTTATCAAAGGTGGCCAGGTTCTTGCATGGCAGAGGGGTGGATAAAGACATTGAAATTTGTTATGGTAGCAATTATGATTGTAACTGAGGTAATAATAAAGATAATGGACCTGTAATTGAAAAGCTGGTGGCTGTAAAGGAGAAGGTGAGGGCAACCGAAATGTAGAGGGGGCGATAAGGGAGGTAATGGTGGCTATGTGAAAGATAATGGAGTTATAATGTAGATGATGCTAAAAGGTAATGGAGTTATAATGAGGTGATGACTACAGAATGGGGGGAAAAAGATGATCATCTTAATGGCAGCAAGAGGGACTGTGTGATACAGGTGAGAATTGTATGCAGAGCATTCATCATGACAACTAGAGCTGTGGGTGACCAGGAAAGTAATGAACAGCTGCACCCAAAGTTCTCATTACAGCAGGAGTTCTAATGGACCCTGGAATATGATAATGACATTAATGGAAAAGATGATGACCCCATGAAAATCAGGAGCCTTGTGATGGTATTTAGGACTGTAGGGGGAGACATGAGAGGAGGAATGGGGATGGGATCGAGGACAGACCTGTGTGGACATATTTGTGTGTCCCAAGACTGCACAGTCTGAGAGACGTTCACTAGACCTGGCCCTGTGGGTGACTTGGCTTAATGCAGCTGCTCTTGCTTGTACAAGGCATTTGTTGTGCATGAGCCAATCCAGGATGAACAGACCTAGCAGAAGCAGCAATTCAAGCTTGCAATCTAAATTTTGTTCTTAAGTCATGACAATACACATGATTACAGATGTGTAAACACAACTGCTTACAGAAGTATTATATTTCAATGTAATATCTGGGAAATCTGTGAGTTTTCAGAAGAAGTGAATGAATGAAGGGGATATTTATTTATTTATTTATTTACTTAAACCATCAACACTCCTCCTAAGTAGAGAATTAGAAGCTTGTTTCTCCAAGGCTCTGCAGTTCTTTCTTGTGCTTGTCTAGCACACTGGGCTCTGGGAAGGAACCTAGGGAATGGGTATGCACTAGGATCTCCAGTGCTGCTGGTGTTTCCGTGCTGAGCAGCCTGGAAACATGCACAGTGGGTAGACTAGCTAAAAACAGACAAATGATCCCAGACCCACATCACACATGTGGAGATGTGAGCAAGACGCACAGCAAATAAAGGGATCAGAGTCAGCTAAAGAAACTTATCATCTGTGCAAGGAAGTGTGTATGAAACACAGGTTCTCTGCCTCTGGGACCTAAATGCTACCTTTTTGACTAACTATACTAAAACCAAAACCAATAGGACAGCTTTTACAAAAATACAGATTCGTAGGTCTCACCTCATGGCGAGTCCAATTCTATCCATTGGGGACTGGCCTAGGAATCTGTATTTTAAAAAATTCCCCTGAGATTATTCCATTTTTTCAACTGCCTAAATGCCAACCTGTGTCCCTTATAAGGAGAAGATTAGGGAAGAGGTAGGGAAGGCATATTTCCTGGGAGTAGGACAAACCAAACTTTTGAGATCAGTCCTCACAGTGGAATATGGGTAGAAAAAAATCATCCTCCACCTGCCTATTCCTCCATCTGCACATGGGTGTACTTTTCCCCTGTGAAGTCACACAATTGACTTACACAGTCTCCCAGAAAAGAACTCCTAGAATACCACTATGGCGATAGGCAGCACTGAGCCACAGGCCCCTATTTTTTTCTGGAATATAAAGATAAAGCAGTACAGGAGCTGAAGCATATGTGAGAAGAGCAGAGGAGGAAATGTTGGGGGGAGGTAGGGGAAAGTGTCCAGAAAAGATATTTCAGCACCTCTACTTGTGGGGATGGATATGGATTTAGAGGTGAGGGGTTGGCACCACTGTGCTGTATTTGAAGGTCTCTCTCTCTTTCTCTCTCTCTCTCTCTCTCTCTCTCTCTCTCTCTCTCTCTCTCTCAGCTTTCAGATGTACTAATTTGTGCTTCAGAATTCTCAGGGATTAAAAAGTGTCAAAATCATGAAAATATTCAATTTATGTCTTGGGAAGTACAAATTATCTCTGTCCTTATATGACATATAAGTTGTGCACATGTCCACATGTTTATTCTTCTATCAACAAAGAAAACAGGCATAATTACTAAAAAATGCACTACAAATAAAATGTATTTTTTCAATTTCTGAACAAAATAATAGAATATTTATTAATAGATAGTGCCCTAATTCTTCCTGTTCCCTCCGACTCAAACTCTTAAATCAGCAGCTAACTGAAAGATCCTAGCATACTGCCATAGTCACTTTGGAAAAGCTCAGGTCCTGCTGGCATCAGTCTGCCTGGATCTGTTTCAGAGAAACAGAAACCCAGAAGGGAGTGGAGAAGTTCAACCCCTGCTTGATCCATATGGGAATGGTTCAAGCAATTAGATTGAGGCTGTGTCAGGGAGCGATATCATGAGCACGGTCATTTCTCCCTCTCTCCTTGGTCCCCAACCTTATCAGGAAATGGACCACACAGTCCCTTAGAAACCATTCCTCATTTTTCCAGGATGCTGACCCACCACTTGAGAAGTGCCACTTTCCTCCTGGGCCACGCTGTCATTTGTTAGCTGCTAATCATTCATTAACCTTCCAGGTACCTTGCGGAAACCAGGACCTTGCCTCATTTGCAAAGGTGGTTCACTGAGTCCCCCTTTAATAAAATTACAACTTCAGGAAACAAATCATTTGTATCAAATACAACCCCATGGCTTCCTCTTATGTTAATCATTTCAGGCAGGTGCTATTAGGTAATTCAATCACTACGTTACAGAAAGCCACTACTGAATTAATGAGGAATAAACTTGAATTCTGAATAAGAAATTTTCTGAATAAATGGTTCTGAATAAAAAACCAAGAGCCAAGCCTATAATCACAACAGACAGCAACAATATAAAATTGGATATTAAACAGTCCTCACATCCATCCATTCTTAGTCCACAAATTCTTTTGGAGCTTAAAGAACATATTGCAGCCACCAACAAGAACCTTCCAGGTTTGCCACTTTCCTACTATTTTCTTCATACTTTTTCAAGTGAGCTGGATACATTTTGAAGCCCTCATCCCAATTTAGAATACACTTTAGTTTAGTCCTAAGGTGAGTCTTTCCTTAAAAAGAGCATCCATGCCTGTAGCCCCATTCAGACTCTGAAATTCCCTTTGTTCCCATCTGGCCTACCTGCATCCAGACTCCCTCCTGTCAGGACACTTTCCCCACAGCACCCTGGTGGCTGTTCACATCCCTGCCTAACACTCACTAACCATTTTCACTGTTCTCACTTTCTTAGCAAGGAATGCACAACAATTCAGGACCAGGCTTGTCTTTCCAGCCTCATCTCTTCTTAGACCCCTATAGGAATGCACCCTGTATTCTGGCCACACCCAAGTCCAGAATGTTCTATGCTCTTTCATAGTGCCATGTTGTTCCTTGCACTAGAATGCCTGCTCCAAACTAATTCTCTCCTTTTAAAGTTCATCCTGAACATTGCCTCCTCCTCAAACCCTCTCTGACTCCCTCTTTACCCCCAAACCTAGACTGAATTAGGCGCCCATGTTTCCTTAGCATCTGAGGGCAGAGCTCAATTATTGAACAGAGCATTCAATACTATATGCGGGAGCACAGATCTTTCTCTTCAACTAGATTGACATCTCCTTGAGAGTAAGACTACACAGTGTTTCACCTTATATTGTCAAGGCTGGGCATAGGGTAGATGCATAGCAAATATTTGATGAATGAATGGGCCAATGACAGAATACAAGAAATAATGACTGAATAAATAAATACACCCGATCACATGATTTATGCTAATTCCAGCAGCCACACTTCCATTCTCCAGCTCTGGGCAGAAGCATTTTAAAAGTTTATTTTCATAACCTGACATTCAGTTGGTGAAGACTTGGCCCGGAACGAGTTGGTCTCCCCACAGTAAGTGACACCATCGCAACTTCTTTATCCTCCCACTCTTTATCTGAAAAAAAATAGACTGGGTAGCATGGACGAGATGTTTCCCTGCAGCAGGAAACCACTATTAGCACAAACCATGTGGTGACCATGTTGCCTTCCTCAGGGGCAGTCATCCAGCCCCACAGGAAATCTCCCCCGCTCTGCACACTGCATTTGGTTTTCACAGAGCTGTGGTCGCCTGGCATTTATCATGCTGTGCTTCATCAGAGATTTAATCAGGTCTGAGTTTTTAACAACGTGCTCGTCATGCTCACTTAACTTAAAATCAAGCCTGTTCAGGCATTAGTTGGTCCTATTCACTCAGTCTAGTAGTTTTGGCATTTAAAACTGTAGACTTTTTCATCAAGGTACACTACGTTTTTACCAAGCATCTCCCTACACAAAAACTTCTCAGACTGTTTCCCTGGGAACCATGGTTCCCTGGTTGAATAGTCCAGCTGCTGGAAGGGATGTATCTGTGTATTGGTTTCCTGTTGATGCCATAACAGATGACCACAGACTTCGTGGCTGAAAACAATAAAAATGTATTATCTTACTGCTCTGTAGGTCAGACACAGGTCACACTGAGCTTTTGCCAAGGTGTTGGCAGGGCTGCATTCTTTCTGGAGGCTCTCGGGGAGAACATGTTTTCTTGCATTTTCCATGCAGGGTACAGGCTACCCATGCTCTTTGGCTGGTGTCCTCTTCCTCCATATCAAAGCCAGCAATGGCTGATGGAGTTCTCACATAGCATCACTCTGATTTCCTCTTTTGCCTCCCTCTTCCACTTTTAGGGACCCTTGTGATTACACTAGGAATACCCAGTTCATCAGGTTAATCTCCCTATTTTAAGGTCAGCTGATGAGCAACCTTAAGTCCCCTTAGCTATATAAGGTAGCATATTCACAGATTCCAGAGACTAAGGTATGGATGTCTTTGAGGCGTCATTATTCTGCCCATCACAACTTATATGACTCTGGACCTCTGGAAGTGATCCTTTACATAACCTCATGGGTCCAGTGTGGACCTTCCAATGGTGACATCAGAGTCACCTGGAAGCTTTTTAGAAATGCAGATACTCCAAACCCATCCCAGACCTTCAGAATCAGAATCTACATTTTCACAAATTTTCCGCGGATTAGATGTGCATGTGCAGTGAGTTTGAGAAGCCCTCTCCAGAGGTTCCCTGAGCAGGCAGAGGAAAGAGCTTAGACTCTGGTGTTGAAAAATGATTTTATCTGGAAACACGTAATAAGGAAGGGGTCCTGAGGAGCCCAGTCAATAGCACCCCTCTTCCCTGTCAGAGCTCTGAACAAATAGAAATGTAAGAAAAAGAAGGGAGCCAGGTAGAGACCTAGATTTCACATTGGTAAACTGATATTTGATGATGTTACTTTTGCCTGCACCTATAACATTGAACCTTGAGATGAGGAGGGCTTCTTCCTACCCAGTCGCAGCAGCACTGCACTGGGGAGGGTCCCTCCCCTGCAGCCCCCTGCAGGCAGGGACAGAGCATGTGGAGAGGGATTTCTAGGAAGGAGGAGTGCATCTGAGAGCACCTGCTCTCTGCAGGCAGACCAACTCCAAAAAGGAAGAAGAAGAACCTAGACTACATGTGTTCGATTTCTTTTTCCAAACTTTGCAAGCAGGTAGATCACTAGTGAATAAGGGGATGGAGATGAGACAGGAGAGTTATAGCTCAGAGAGCTGCCTCCATATGGGAGGAAACATCAGGAGATGAATCAACATTTCCCCCAATAAATAACGCCTACAGCACAGTGTAGTGGGGAAGACAGAGAGACAGCCCACGCAGAAGCACTTGATACACAGCAGGAATCCCATTACAAGGATTACCATGTTATCCACCAATTTAAAACCTGGCAACCCAACAGAACATCCTAAGAACTTATTACAAAATGTGGTTTCCTGGACCCTTACCCTAGGCGATTCAGATTCAGTAGGTGTAAGTTGGGGCCAGGGAACCATACTGACCTGAAATTCTATAGCATCCAAGTGAGGAAATGGCTGATGCCTTGGTCCATTCAGTCATTTAGGCTGGACTATACCTAAACCAGAGAACTTCTGGTTGCAAGTTACAGAAACCAACTGGAGCTGGCTTACCTAAAAGGGGAAGTGTGTTGCAGGATCCATGGGTATCTTGCAGAACAAAAAAGCAAAGGGCACGTGTTGGGAAGGGACTGACCCCAGGAACTAATGCGTTTCCAGGAACCCACGATGTGCTCTCTCCATCTCTCATTTCTGCTTCTCTTGATGACCTACACTGTCTTCTGTGTTTTCATGCATGTGATGGACTCTGCACAACTCTTAAAGGTGCTTTTCCTCTGGACACTGAAGACAGATTAGCACTCTTTTAGTCTCCATTCTAAATTCCTAGGCAGAGAATATGACTGACCCAAGTCAGGTCAGCTGTTTTCACCAGGTTCAGGGGCCTGGGGTTATAGTACTCATCTCTCCATCTCCATAGGGATATGTTGGAGGGAGGATAATTCTAGAGGAAAGAAGTCATCACTTGTTTGGTAGATACCAAAAGAGTCTACTAAGAGTTGCTATCCTATATTTTTAAAATTGCTTTTCCCCAATAGCCAGAGAATAAAAAAAGAAAACCTTGTGACTTTGAGTGTCTGATAAAGATTTTTAAAATATTTCTAATTTACACTTAGAATCAGTCTCATTGAAATACTAGTTTTAGTGAAATCCTCAAGATGATGCCTCTCCTGCCTACTTGAAATGGTCACGGATCTTAACTCCTTTGGAGAGGGTGCTCCTCCTTCTAAATGGCTCACTTTCCCCAGATAGTTCTGGCCCTTTTACATGCTTCTTTCTAGGGTGAAGAGAGTTCTCTTCCAAGGAGATATGTTCTAGGAGTGAATGCCACATCCATTTATGTTGGAATTTTTTTAATGAATATTTCGACCTACTAGACCATAAGTTCTTCCAGAGTCAAGAGATTCTATCTCAATCATCCTATAGCTGTAGCACCTATTAAAGTGCTGGATCACAGTGGTTACCCAATATGTGTTGTTGACTTTAGCAATGAATGAGAAGTCTTGTTCTTCAAAAAGTAATGTAATAATATCATGCTTAGTGAGAAGTCATTGTGTACCAGGAAACAATGCCAGGAGAGAGCTCCAAAACTCAGGACTGTTGTGCCTTTCTGGAAGAAGAGTCCGTGATCACCTCACTACGGGTCAGGGGAAGGAAAGGGGAACTGAGAGATTTGTCAGTGTGAGAAGCAGTCCCAGGAGTTAGAAGTAGTGGCTCCATGACTCACAAATTAACTTCCCTTTCAGGCAGGGCTTCTTATTTTCCTTAGCATCCCTGTCTTGATCCCAGCCTGCTCAGACCCCTGCCTCTCACTGCAAGATGTGCTTGAGTCATGAGAGTCAGGAATGTTACTTCTCAGAGGCGCCAAATGGCAGTTGTCACAGGGTCATCATAGAGGGAATGTAGAGACCTTTCATGAATGTTTATTCTAATTGCAGTACAATAAAACCTTAGACTTCACAATCCATCATTCCTCTATCAAATCAAATATTACAGGGCTCATGTCTTTATCATGACAGTATTTTATTCTAAAAGTGTATTTTCCTACATTTTCCAACTTCTAAAATAATAAAAAATAGCTTTGGCATGACAGTTGCCTGACATAAATGAAAACACAATTTAATGAAATGGCATTTTATGAATTTAAAGTGAAGCAAATATTTGACATGCTTTATTTAAATTAATTTGCTATGCATGCTCTGTTGTTTCAATTGCAGCAGAGCTTTGTTTTATTATATGTTTACTGCACTGGGCTCTGAGGCTTGCTTGTGAAGAAACAGAAGCTAAGGGATCCAGGGAGTCCCAACTTAGAGAGTCCCACAGGCCCACACTCTGGTTCTGTTGGCAGGAAAATTTGGCTGAATTGGGGCAGGAAGTTGTGTAACAAAACGATTACATCCATTTTTGCAAGGCAAGAGTGAGCTATTCACCTCCATGTTGGTGATATTTTTTGCCATATAAGCAGCTAATTCCTTTCAGTAATTCTACTCTAAACTAGTCTTAATGTGACTTCTATATAAATTCTGAACTGAATAATTTTGGGAACGTTGTAAAAATATCCTTGCTAAACTTTCTAGAAAAACAATCTGCCAGTTCTAGGATACTATCACTTCAGGGGAAGCTGTGGCAAAGCTATCTCATTAATTTACTATCTGATACTTTAAAGATAAATGCACCCAACTCCTGGATTTATAGAATAAACTTGCTTTGAAATAAGCAAATAATACTATTTTGATTTGAAATTCCAGATACTTATTTACTTTCTTCTTTTTATAGTTTCCTGAATCAGGAGTTTGTAGTTCCAATTAAGAGTTTTTCAACAGCTTGTAGTTATAGGGACATTATTTGACTATGGTTATTATTTGCTTTACCTAACCACTCACCTGGTACAACGACCTCCATCCTGGAAGAGGGATAGGAAACAATAATGATGGTGCTGACTCTCACCAGGAAAGGCCATGGGGGACACGGGATAGAGGTTGTAAACTGAGTGAGGGTCAAAAGTAACAGATAACTTTTGTGCACACGGATGGTAACTTGTGGTGTCTTTTTTTTTTTCTTTGCTTTGGGCAAAGGTCTTCACAGTTCTTAGGATCAAGTGCACTTTGAAGATGAGGATGTAATTTACAGACAAAATAAAGTCCCTGGACTTAGAAGAGGAAAACCCTTAAATACATTTCATTTCATTTCATTTATTTTCAAGACAGGGTCTTGCTCTGTCATCCGGGCTGGAGTGCAGTGGTACAAACATGACTCACTGTGGCCTCGACCTCCTGGGCTCAAGTGATCCTCCCACCTCAGCCTCCTGAGTACCTGGGACTACAGGCATGCACCACCACATACAGCTAATTTTTATATTTTTTTTATAGAGACAGGATTTTGCCATGTTCCCCAGACTGTTCTCAAACTCCTGGGCTCAAGCAATCTGCCCGCCTCATCCTCCCAAAGTGCTGGGATTACAGATGAGTGTGAGCCACTATGCCTGGACCTTAAATACATTTTAGAAAAGAATTTAACACATACACATACACACACCCCATAAAGCCTGTCTCCACCATTTGGAAAATGTTAGTTCAATCCTCAGGAAAAAGAAGGAAGTTTAAAAATACAGTACAAGATGGTCCCTGGTCCAGAGATCTCTACATTTAACAAAGCATCCATTCTTTATTGGTTAGAAAGAGTTTAGATACAGCACTTTCAAGCTAACATCAGACTATGAATTCTTAACTCTTTAGGTTTACTATTAGGCCAAGTTATTATTGAGTTGACTGGAAAAGATCATTTTCTGGAAGACTGTCCTCTCTGCCAGCTTTTTCTCAACACTAGTGTCAAGCATCAGGGGTGAGGTGGCTTGGAAGTGCCATGAAAAAAACTCTGGAAAGTGAGGGTCAGGGAGTTAGGGAGGGAGAAGTTCTTTAGGTGCCCAGGCAACTGTGAAATAATGAAAAGGAGATAAGAGCCAAGAAAATCAGGAGGCAGGAGAAAAACTCGGAGCAGAAGAATACAGTGGATTACATTTTTCTCAAAGATAACCTGGAAACAGGCTTTATCATCCAAAGACCATTTTCTCTCCCATCTAGCAATTCGAAAGGAGAAAGAAAAGGATCAGTGCTGCAAAAAGAGTTCAGCTTAAGTAACTTCACCAGGTAATTGAAAAAAGCTTGTAGGTGTTAGGTCAAAACTTTTCTTTTTTTACTGTTATCAAATAAAAACACCACTGGCGGAGGAAGGATCATACTTCCTAGGCTGGTCCAGAAAGAAAGAGAAAACTAGAAACAACTGCCCCAGCAAAATAATGGCTCATACTGGTTTCCTGCTAGGAAACAGGAAAATTCTTCCAAGTTAATTCCATAAATACTCTTGAAGAATGTCTATTTACTTTTAAGATACAGTCCCTGCCTTCAAAGAATCTATCATCTACTTCTGAGGAGAGGGCTGACTAGGGCTGACTCACATCATTAGGACACATGAGATGGTTTCTGCCCAGGAGCTCATTCACATGGTGCTGCAGGAGTCAGAAGGGAGAAGTACAAGAAAGTCGTTTTGAGTACATGATTGTATTAATTGTCTATTGTTGAGTCACAAATGACCCCACACTAACTGGCTTAAGACAACAATCATTCAGTGCTTCACAGTTTCTGAGGGCCAGGAATCTGGAAGAAGCTTAGTTGGTTTGTTCACATTCAGGGTCTCTTGTGAGGTTACAATCAAGCTGTTAGCTGGGGATGCAGTCATCTCAAGGCAGAACTGGAGAAAGATTTGCTCCCACGCACACCCATGGGTCCTCGAGGGCCTCTTCTCATCATGTGGGCCTCTCCACAGGGCTACTTTACATGGCAGCTGGCTACTGCCACAGTGAGCAGTTTGAGAGTGAAAAAGCCCCAGGACAGAAGCCACAGCCTTTTTATAACCCAGTCTTAAAAGTGACCTGGTCTTTTTATAATCCAGTCACTTCTGCCATATTCTAATTGTTAGAAGTGAGTCAATAAATCCAGCCCCCACTCCAGGGAAGGGAATTAGACAAGGGTGTGAATACCAGGAGGTGGCATGACTGGGGACCATCCCAAAGGCTGCTCACCACAGCAACCAACAGGGCTGTATCTAGGGTTCTTCCCACTTAAAGATACACAGTCTATTTATTTATTTATTTTAATTTTACTTTAAGTTCTAGGATACATATGCAGAACTTGTAGGTTTGTTACATAGATATGAATGTGCCATGGTGGTTTGCTGCACATATCAACCCATCATCTAGGTTTTAAGCCCCACATACATGACGTATCTGTCCTAATGCCCTCCCTTCCCTTGCCCCCACCCCGCGACAGACCCTCCTGTGTGATCTTTCCCTCCCTGTGTCTATGTGTTCTCATTGTTCAACTCCCACTTACAAGTGAGAACATGTGGTGTTTGGTTTTCTGTTCCTGGATACAGTCTTTTTAAAAAAGGGACAAGACCATAGTTGGTTATTCCTATAGCAAAAACACCAGAATTCAAAAGGAGAAAAAACAAAGATAAATAGATAAGTAAATTCCACAGAGATTGCTTTAATGCCTACTTTGCATCACTGATGTGCTAGATGCTGGAGATACAAAATGAGCAAACAGCCCCTCCTTGTCACTCATGCTGGTGCCAGACAGAGACATGAAAACATGTTGGAGGTGATAGATTGTGACAAGTATTTTAATAGAAGTATTTTCTGGGTACTGCATGAAAACAAATAGAAGAAACTGGGTCTTGAAGGATATGTAGGAGTTCATTATGCTGGGTGGGAAAACATGTGAGGCTGAGGACTGTTATAGAAACAGGAGAGAGCAAGAATAAGGTTGAGGCTATATAGGCCTGAAGTATGGGGTATGTGTCAGGTAGGGGGACAGGGAAGGGGGGATCAGATGTGAGGCGGACAGACAAGAAAGCAAGGGCTATCAACAGCCTCAGATACTCAGGGAGACTCTGGGACTCCGTCAGGTGATGATATCAAAGGACTCATGTAACATTCCTGGCACATAGGAGTGTTCAGTTATCATTAGCTGTGGTTCTATTTTAGAAAAAAAGAACTCTGATGGCAGAAAGAGGGAAGACCATTGTGGGAAGACCCAAAAGAGCCTGCAAGTGAATTAATATTTGGAATCCTTGAAATCAGGATTCCCAGGCAACCCATGAAATCTCGTGTGGCACTGAGGGTGCATCATAGCAACTCCATCCTCGTTGGCCTGTATCCCCAGACACTGCCCCTGCTCTCCACCCCCAGCGGGGCACACGCACCACTGCAGAGGGAGGTGGAGGCTCAGGCACTGTGGCTGTCCTTATCCACGGAGCACTGGCAAGGGCTTTGCAAACACTGAGCAGCGAACCCAAATGAAGACTTTACATACAGCCCATCTGACTTGGCTTCATGACCCTCTGTGCCACCAGGACCCTGTGGCCCGCACACTCCCTGTTGTGACACGCACCCCTGCTATACTGTTAGGGTCTGCTTACTTGTCTGTCTCCACCTCACATAAGCACACCAGTCTTTTATCTCTTCCAGGGCAAGCCTGTGTCCAGTCCATCCTTGGCACCTAACTGAGGCCTGGCCCAGAGTGGGTGCCTAGAATATCTGTCCCAAATAAGTGAATGACTCAAAATGGGACCAATGCTATTCCCTGCCTCATTGTTGTGATGATTGTGTTTGTTTGCTTGGACTGCCCTAGCAAGTGATTGCAGATTGTGAGTCTTCAAAACCAGAAGTCTATTTTCTCACAGTTCTGGAGGCTGAAGTCCAAGATCAAAGTGTTGGCAGGATGCGTTTCCTCTGAGGCCTCTCTCTTAGGCTTGCAAAGGGGGTCTTCTCACTGCCTCCTCACAGGGCCTTTTCCCCACGCATGTGTGTCCCCTTGCCATGTGCTCCAGTCACCTCTTCTTATAGGGATGCCAGTCAGATTAGCCTAGGGCCCACCCTAACGGCTTCATTAATCATCTCTTTAATGGTCCTATTTCCAAAAACAGCCACATTCTCAAGTACTGGGGGTTAGGACTTCAACATATGAATCTGGGGGGACACGATTTAGTTTCTGAGCTAACATAAGTGTTTAGAATGTTGGCTAGAATATAACCCACAAAAGTGCTCTCAATGACCACTAACAATTTGGAAGGAAAACAGGAAACACATTGTTTCTGAACAAATATAACAGAAAGGCACTCTTGAATCAGCACCTTTTTAAAAGTGTTTTGAGGCTTATTCAGAAAGTTGAAGGAGGCTTCTATTACTCAGTGTTCCTTCATAGGATCATCCTTCCAGAGCAGCCTAGTGCCACTAAGGATGGCTTCCCAATTCTCCTCCCTATCCCACCTCACCTGGTAGGTAATTATTGTGCTCATCATTTATAGAATCCATTTCATCTGTTGTTTCTGAGACAGAGTCTCACTATGTTGCCCAGGCTGGAGTGCAGTGGTGTGATCTCAGCTCACTGTAACCTCCACCTCCTGGAGTCAAGTGATCCTCTCGCCTCAGCCTCCCGAGTAGCTGGGATTATAGGCATGTGCACCAGGCCTGGCTAATTTTTGTATTTTTAGTAGAGACAGGGTTTTGCCATGTTGGCCACACTGGTCTTGAACTCCCGGCCTCAGGTGATCCACCCACCTCGGCCTCCCAAAGTGCTGGGATGGCTCAGGTGAGCCACCATGTCCGGCCTTATCTGTCGTTTCTTATATGTTCTTCATAACAATCCTATTAAGTGAGAATTGCAATTTTACAAATGGAGAAACTGGATTCAGAGAGGTTGAGTAATTTGTCTAAATTCACACAGCCAATCAATGGCAGAGCTGGGATTCACACCCAGTCATTTTCCTGGCAGCACGCTGCCCACTGAGGTGGTGCTGGTTCGGGCGTGGGTAATGTCTTGAAGGGATCTCAGCTCTTGCCTCAGCCCAGGCGCTACTCTGACGTCTCTGGCCTCCTCCATAGGTGTAGTGAGGCGGGTTGCTGACCTCCTGGAAAAAGCCCCTGCGTCCCCGGGGAACGGAGGAGGGCTGAGAACGCATGCTTAGCGCGCGGTCTCCCTGCTCGCTCAGTCAGCCCTGGGTAGGGATCTCTCAGCTGCCTTTCAGCCAGCCCGTCAGTCCCGCTCCTGCCTCGCCGGGGGAAGCCCGAGATAAGCCCAGTGGGAAAGAGTTCTGCAGGGGAGCCAGGCTTCCTGTCGTACTGTGGCGCAGAGCCGCTCCTGTCAGCAGAGAGGGCTAAATAAATGCCAAGCAGCCAAAACACGCGGGAGGGAGAGGACCAGAGGTGGGCACAGCGAGGCAGCCTGGGTTTGGGGGCTGCAGATTGGAAACGACCTTGTATTCGGTTCCTGGACCTGGCCGAACAGCGTCCCACAGGCAAGGGCTTGCACAGCAGGCGGGAATCCAACACAGTCCTGGAGGCTGGGAGTCTGAGGTCCAGGTGTCGGCAGACCGTGAGAAAGGGATCTGTTCCAGTCCTCTCTCCTTGGCTTCTAGATGGCCACCTCCTCCCTGTATCTCTTCCCATCATCTTCCCTCTGTACTTGTGTCCAAATTTCTTCTTCTTCTAAGGACACCAGTCATACCAGAGTAGGGCTCGCTCATATGACCTATTTTAATTTGATCACCTCTTTAAAGGCCCTAGTTCCAAATACAGTGACATTCTGAGGTGCTGGGGACTAGGGCTCCAACACATGGGGAACCAGTTCTGATAACCACTCTGACCTAGCTTTCCTGGAGCTTTCCTGACTAAACCTTTTCCTTATGGAAGGCCGGGGGCTCCATGCTGAGGGAGCAGCAGGACTCACTTGCCTTGGGGAGGGGAGTGACCCACAGGGACATCAGCTGACAGGGCAGGAGGTGCTCTCCACACTGAGTAGACCTGGAGACAGCAGCCACAGCCAGAGTGAGGGGGAGAAATGAGCACCCGACTCACAGCGGAGGCAGGACAGGGGTGAGGGTGAAGGACGGAGTTTAGAGGCTGCTGAAGCTGCAAGATGTTAGCAGCTGCACAAAGTGTCGATTCTAGTGAGCTATGTTCACTGCTACCTGCCTCCTCTGCTTGGGTGGAGCAGTTATCCAACCTCTTGAAGCCTCAGTGTCCACATCTATACAACAGATACTAATGGTACCTACCTTGCAGTATTGTAAGGGATACAGAGATAATGCATGCAGAGCGCCTAGCACTGGGCCTGGAAAAGACAGCCACTCATTGAGTATTGGTTGAATGAGAAGTGACAGCTGGAATCACGGTAATATGAAATATTAAAGATGCTAGCTGAACCATTGAGCCCAAAGGAGATTTTTCACTCTAGAAACTCCCTTCAAAGACCAGTTCCTTCTAGGACCAGCCTCATCATTGGCAAAACAAGTGTGAATCCTCGAAGAGCTCCTGGGCATCAGCCTTCTTCGTACACCCCGCGGTGCAGCCCATTGCAGCATCCGCCATGAGGCTGCACTTGGAGAAGGCTTTTGGAGACTAGAAGCCCTTTGTCAATATGTAAACCCAACATCCCACCCAGAAGAGCATTCCATGCGGGCACAATTTGGCCTGGCTTCGATTCCCTGCAGGCTGCACGTAACAGATTACCTCAAAAGGAAGGCATTGCTGAAAAATTTCTGCCTGCCTCCCCCATCTTCCTCTTTGTCTCCTCCCTCCTCCCAGGATCTGTTACAGGAGTTTCATTCCCCTTAATTTACTCTCTGCAAATTGCTCAGCTTGAATGCTGTTATTCCACGGCTCCGTGAATGGAGCGTCATGAGATTTCAGCCCACTCGCTCTGCACACAGCACTCATTCTGCTGGGAGAAAGCTGCCCTTGTGGAAAGGAAGCCAGGACCTGCCTGCCCGGGGCCCAAGGTACCTTGTGAAATACCTAATCGTGCAGCTTCTCATTTGTACAGGGATTTACAGTTTCCCGGTGACAGTCATCCCTGTCGGCTCATTTACATAAATACCATAGACGAAGACATAATACCTTTCATCTGTACAGCTCTTTTTCTGTTTACCAAGTACTCTCATATATATATTACCTAATTTATAGATAATATATGATAATATAACACTCTAAAAATATATTGATTCCTTCCATATGAATAGTGCTATTACAATCCATTACAGAAAAAGAACGTGGGTCTGTCGCTTCCTTAAACTCTGAGCACCGAGGCATAAGCCCTGTCCTTGGTTGGGATCCATCCTCAGGGCCCATTGCTGTTGGAATGCAGCCTTTCAGAGGCCCATTCAGCTGCGCCTTCTCATCTTAGGGAGGCTTCTCTTCCCTCAGCCATGGGTCCTCTGGTCTCCCAGTCATCCTCAGCAACGTGTACTGGCTGTTCATATGGACCTGTGTCCACTCATGCGCCACTGCGGCGGGGCATCCTATTTTCTCTAATTCACACATGTGGACACCCTGGGGAGCAGGGTTGGGATGAGCATATGCTGACCACATTTCAAGATCCTGTGTCAGGCACTCAAACCCTGCTCTAATATTTATGGGATAATTGTAGCACCCCTTTAAAAAACAAAGAATATCCTTGGTTCGTCTAGGGGGTCCATCCATCCTGCAGCCTTGGGCATATTTGATCATGTCTTTCATACCTTCTGATCTCTCCCACCCTCCAACTCTATACTCCAACCATGTTAATTTATATACCATCTTCTAAAATTCAACAGCCTCACTTTCATCTGGGCTTCCTTAGGTGCTGTTCTCCCTGTCTGTAACCCTCGCCACTGCATCTTTATTGTGCTAACTCTTATTCATTGCTTTAGACTGGTTTTCCTGGAAACGTATTCTGAGCCAAGGAATTGCATGCAAGAGGTTTACTGGGGAGAACTTTTGGGAGATGGGCCTCTAAGAAGGTGAGGAAGGCAAGATTGAGCAGTGGGAAGAACTGATTTGTATGTGGCTTTAACTGAGGCCTCAGTCAACCCTACAGGAAGCTCTGGAACTAGGATGACCCATCAGAATTGTGTCAATTTGAGGCAAGGAGCCCCGAGTTTGTATCCCTGCAAAGATCTGGAAAGGGAAGTCTTGCATGGGAAAGTTTCCTCTATCCCAGGGCAATTCTCAGTGAGGGCCACAGCTATGATTTTCAACAGCCAATATTCCCTGCATGGGGGTTCAATGTGTCTGCCCCAAAGAGGAGTGCTCCGAATAGAGCACTCCAGCATTCTGCACATCAGAGTTCCCAAACTTTGGTGCATATTAGGGTTACGTGGGAAGCTTTTTGAAATCCCAGTGCTCAGGTCATACCCTATACCATTTGAGTTAGACTCCCACCCCAGACATCCTGATTAAATGAGTCTGAGGTGGGACCTAGGCATGGGGGGTCAGTTAATCTTCCCCAGTGATTCCAATGTGCAGCACTGTTTGGAACCCATTGTTCTGTACTGCAGGAATCAATGGAGAAACTTCTTCCACTGAGAAGCCCCCACCCCGACTGCTCAAAATTGCATTGTGCTTCCATCCCTGGTACCCTGTATTCTTGCCTATCATAACTCCTACTACACTGAATTATGATTGCCATTGTCTGTACCCACACCAGACTGGCTTTGAAGACAGGGGCTGTGCTCAGGTCACCACTGTGACCCACACCTTAGCACAGTGCTTCACAGTGTTGAATACATGATTGAAAATATGAATACATGGATGAATGGGCCAATATATCAATGAATGAATGAATTTAGACGTAAATAGGTGGCAAAAAGAGAGACAAGGAAGGAAGCAAGAAAGGAAAGAAGAAAGGATGAAGTTAAGAAGAAGGAAGGAAGGAGGCAAGAAATATCCACTGATTTGCTGTCTTTAGCTGGCCGTATTTGTCTTCTACTGCTGTGTGACAAATTATCACAAACTTAATGGCTTAAAACAACACTCATTTATTCTCTCTCAGTTTTTCTAGGTCAAAAGTCTGGGCATGACATAGCTGGGTCCTCTGCCCAGGCCTCACAAGGCTGCAATCAATGTTTCAGCTGGGTCAGTTTCTCACTTGGAACTCAGGGGCCTCTTCCAAGCTCATTCAGGTGGTTGGGGAAATTTAGTTCCTGTGGTTAACAGACTGAAGTACCTAGTTTCTTGCTGGCTATTGGCAGGGGGCTGATCTCAACTTCTGCAGCTCACCCCTAGGTCCTAGCTACATGGTCACATTCATAGTCCATTTACAACATAGCCGCTTACTTCCTTTATTATTTTTTATATTTTGGCTGTCTACTTCCTTCCAGGCCAACAGGAGAGTGTGTCTGATACTTCACCTTCTTTTAAAGGCTCACATGATTAGATCAGGCTAGATTACCTAGGATAGAGCCCCTTTTGATTAACTCGGGTCAGCTAATTAGAGAACTTAAAGGCATCTGCAAACTCCCCATTGCCCTACAACATAACATAATGATGGGCATGATCTCCCACCATATTCACAGGTTCCTCGCCACACTCACAGGGAGGCATCATGCAGGGTATGTATACCAGGGGATGGAAATGTTGGGGCCATCTTGGACTCCTCTCTAACCCACTGGAGCACAAGCCCATTGCCATTCTGCCTGGCTCTGTTTTTCTTCCTTGCCCATTAGGACTGGATGGCTATTTCTTTGCCGAGATCACCTTTAGCTAACAGCACAACTGCTAAAAGGGGAAAGCCAGCCAAAGGTCTAAGCGTCCTCCTGCTCCAGACCTCTTCTGTCCAGCCCCTTTGAACAGGGAGACTTCCCTTCTGTGACATGGTCTTAATGGCTTTTTTAGGGCATGCTGCGTTCCTTGCCCTGCTGCCTTGCTGCATGGAGCCCTCTTTTCCTAATTTATTTTCAGCCCTAAAGCTGAGCTCAGAGGCAGCATCTGGTTCTGCTTTTAAAACAAAACTCTAGCTGAGTCGTGTAGAGAAAGCACAGAAGTCAAACACATGCTTGTCCCCAAGGTCACCCAGCACCAGCCCAGCCTTGGTTTTCCCTGCCCGCACAGCCTCCTGCCAGCATCCTTTGTTGTCAACACACAGCTTCTATTCACCTGGGCCTATTACAGGGTCCTGGGGTTACTGGGTCTGCAGCTAGGTCAGAGACACTGGGCTTTGGAGGCCCTCCCAGGCCCCAAATCCACTTAGAAATTCTACATCCACACAAGAAAAATGGAAACTGAGGAGAACGTGACTTGTAAGGCCTGAGCTCCACTTTTTAGCTTTCCCTTCTAGCAAGCAACTCCCTGGGCTCAATATTCATTCCCAGAAACTCAAGTGACTGATGTGTCATAGTAGAAGCTAAACTATCCTTAAAAAAACCCTCCTGGAAGTAGTGACTCATTCACGTCCCCCAGGTGGTGAAAAGTCAGCCTTTGAGCTCCACCGGGCTGCTGTTCTGACTTGACTATTGTTCCCATTTGGTTCAAGTCTCAAGTAGACTGAGGCTTCCATGGAACAAGAATTATCATCATATGCGGGGGCAGGAGAGACATGAGGCAAGTTACATGTGAAGTCCAGACTCTGATGGACACAACCATAGGCATTGTATTTTCTGGGGTACTTTCATTTTCAGATATTCTGCTGTATTGCACCATGACTTGTGCTTGTCAAACAAGTTCAATCTTAGGGGCAACAGTAGTTACGTAGTAGATTGACTGGGAGGAGAGGCAGAGGGGATGAAAGAGAGAGATAGGCCCGTGTACTTCCTGCTAAGAGAAACCACAATAAAGGTAGGTTCTCCTTTCACTCTAACCCACTCCAGAAGGACTTCGAGGGCACATGAGCCAGGACACTGAAGGCATCTGATGGCTATAAGGGGAGCACTTTGATGAACTAATTACAAGGAGTAATTTGCTTGATTAGCCATTGTTCCCCAGAAAAACCTAGTCAGAGGAAGACCTTTGCATAGGACACAGGGATATGGTAAAGAAAGCCACATCTGCTAAAGCTAGGGTGCAGAGTCTGATTGTTCCAGAAGGGAGGGTGTGGAGGAAGGTGAACAGGGGCTGCACATGCAAAACATACCCAGGTCTTAAGTTGAGCCAGAGGTACGTGGGAAACAAAGGTAATGGGATGGGCCAAGGAGCAGGGAGAAGCCAGGTCATCTCCCATCAGCCTTGCAGGGAGAGCCCAACTTTACAATCCTGCATTTGACAAGTGGAGCCCTTAGAGTTCTGCTGGCCCATATTAAATACTCAAACATGTCAATTATTTTAATTGTGATTATTATTATTACTCACGAGGCATGCTTTCCTTTGTAATTTTTAATTGGAGAAGAAGATGATGTCATGTTCAGTTTCTACTCTGAAGCAATATATTTTTGCCTCTTCTGTATATATTTGGAAAGGAAGAGCTGACAATAAAAACAAAAACAAGCCAGAAACTAAACTCGTGATTGGCGAGATCCCACACAGTATCAACCTTGAAGGAGCCAAAGCCGGAGGCATGTGCTTTGTGCTATGTCGACTTTCATAGGTTTTCTTTCCTGTTAATGTTGCCTCTCTTGTTGTTTTTCTTTTTAAGTATGACCAAATGACCTTGTTACACATAATGTGGTAGCCTGAATATGAGCAACAGAAGGCAGAGCAAACAGTTTAATGCTATCATCAAATGCAACTACAACCACGTTAACATAGCGCATATTATTAATAGATGATGATACTAACGGTTATATGTGCTGCATGGTAATTGACCATACCAGATAAGCAGCTCACTTAAGTTACTGCCCAGGGGATGACTTTTATATCGTCAGGTTTTGAATCCCCACCTCCTTGCACTCTGCCAGCTCTCCAGCATGTATGCCCTCCCTCGATGGTTTTCTCCAATACCATATTCCTTCTCTGCTTAACTTCAAACTAGGGCATGGACCTTTTCTGCCTATGCTAGGAAGAAAAACACAAGAATAGAAGAGTGAGGGATGATGGCACATAAGTTAGGCTAACAAGAGCTGTGGGAACAAATAGATGCTGCACAACAGAAGGCTATTTTGCTCTCTCATACCAGCCCAGTATGGGTATTCTCATCAGCAGACAGTCTTCCTCTTTGTGGTGACCAAGGGGCTAAGGCTTCTTTCTCTGTATTATAGCTCCACCATTCCCTGGTCCTCAGAATCCTTGTATCCAGCTAGCAGATAGAGAAGAAAGGGAAAGACTCACCTACATTCCTTTCTCACCCTGGGAGTGACACAGACCACTCAGGCTCATATCCCATCAGCAAAAACTGGCCCTGAATGCCAGGAGGCTGGATAATGTAGCCTGTAGTGGGGCAGCTGCTCCTGGCAACAGTTTCTTACTATGCAAGAGGTTGCACAAGTTTTTGGTGACTCATTAGTCATTTCTGCTACCAGGAATTTTACAAGACCCAAGCAGGATTTGTGTTTGTTTGTTTGTTTTCTTTGTTTGTTTTTTGTTTTGTTTTTGTTGTTGTTGTTGTTGTTGCTGTTGTTGTTTTGAGATGGAGCCTCTCTCTGTTACCCAGGCTAGAGGGCAGTGGCATGATCTCGGCTTACTGCAACTTCCACCTCCTGAGTTCAAGCGATCCTCCTGCCTCAGCCTCCTGAGTAGCTGGGACAACAGGTGCACACCACCACGCCCAGCTAATTTTTCTACTTTTAGTGGAGACAGGGTTTCACCATGTTGGCCAGGCTGGTCTCAAACTCCTGACCTAAGATGATCTGCCCACCTCGGCCTCCCAAAGTGCTAGGATTACAGGCGTGAGCCACCATGCCCAGCCAGGAGGTGTTTAACATAAGCACTGGTGATTATTACCTAACACTAAAGAATCCAAGGGACCGACTCATGGTACCGATGAGGGCCTAGGGCAGATAATATGTCTGAGCCCCAGGGAGTCCCAGAAGCATGCTTTCTTGCATGAAGGGGGAAGCCTATTTCTCCCACAAGGCAGTACAACACAACAGCACAACAGCAGCTGCCCTAGGCATTAGGATCCAGGCTCAGAAGCCCCGTGAAACACAAATGACTATTTGATTGCCCTTTACAGAAAAACCTTGTTAAGCAGATATCGGTTTATCCAAGAGAATGCACAATTGGAAGCAATTGTTGTTCCCCAGCTAACTGGATACCCTGTCATGCTCCAGTAAAAATATCAGATTATTTGAACTAGTTAATTCAAAATCCATTCTTCCTGGTCCCTTGCCTTTCAAATTAATGACATTTGCTGTAATTGACGGTGAGAGAGAGGGAGATGGGGCAAGCGGAGGAGCACATGATCTCTCAGAGTTAGCGGATTCTGCTCCCACGCCAAACCAAAACCGAGGAGAAGTGAAGGGAAGAGGAAAGAGAGGGCTGGCCGCAAAGTATGCGTTCTGGAAAATCAGGTTGTAAGTACCATTTTTTTCCCCTGAAGGACTATTAAAAGAAAGCAAGGAGGAAAAGAAGAATGCCTAGACAGCCATGCAATTAGTATCACAATTAAGAAAATCAGAAAAGAGTGAGCTTTTTAGCCTCAGGATGAGCTTTGTTCTTTTGGGATCTCCTCTCTAACACCCTTGGCCTGGACAGGCATGACTTGAAGTCTAGGACTTACGGGGGAAAGGCAGCAGAGAGCTGCAGCTAGATAAATGAGGACAGTGATTCCACTCCTGTATGCCTCAGTTTCCTTATCTGTTAGCATCAGATACTACCTCCCTCACAGGGTTGTTATGAGGATTAAAAGTGTTCATGTTTGTAAAATGTTTACAGTGGCATCTAGAACACAGTAAGCCCTATACAGATGTCTATAAAACACAGAAGACTAGATGAGAACTCCTGTGTCCCTTTTTAACAGCTAGGAGACTTGAAGCCAGTTCCTTTCAGCCCGGAGCCTCAGTTTCTTGTTTATAAAATGAGGACCATTTTATAGCCTCACAGAATGGTCTTGTAGGGGGTGAGATGAATGTGGATATGCCTTGGCCAGTGCCTGGCACAGAATCAGCAGTTAATAAATGTTAAGCGCTACCTCGAGCTGAATATTTAAAGTATTCCCAGATCCCAGCAAGACAGAAAATGAGAGACTTCAGTAAACAGTGCCAGAGATGCTTCTGCATATGGCAGCCCCGAGTCACCAAGAAGAGTACGTGCCAGCCAGCACTTTAATTTTTACTTATTTCATGGAATAAGGAGCCATGTGTGCGCTGAGCTCCCACCCAGGTTATTAGAGAGACATATGTAGCACATCAACACAGATTGGCAGGGTGGGAAAACAAGGAGAAGTTGGGGAATACCTGGTGAAAGGTATTTAAATTAGTGAGACGAATTTGACTCCAACAGACCTCAGTAGCATATATACTGGAGTATTAAAATAGCAGGGACACAGATACCATTTTCTAGTATCTGTGGGAATCCGGCACTCAAAAAATAAAAGTGATGAGCCTTTCTATTTTAATAACAGGAAAACTCACGAGAACATGAATTTCTCTATATAGAGAAACAATGCAAAGACTTCTTCACGTCAATTCCAAAATGGCTTGAAAAGAGTGGGATGTTAAACATCAGCCAGCAGGATGTTGAAAGGCTCTCCCCGCAGTATAATCCAGTGTTTCTCTGAGGCATGGTGACAGGATGTGGGGAAGTAACACAATGTAATATTCAGGGACTCTAGCAAGACTTCTGAATTCTGCTCCGCCTCCTGAATGAATTCGAAAAGATACAGTTTGAGTGTGCGAGGATTATTGTGACTGCCTATGTGAAATGCCTGACGCAGGTCCCAGCTTCTCGCCACACAAACGGCACTTCTGATATCATGAGTACCACTCTGCCTCAATATACAAGTTCAGTTAGACAGCATGTAATTGTCATGGATGTGTCTTGAGGGAATGGCCACAGGGTGTACTATTCCCAGAGCTTGGTCCCATGTAGTCCAGCTAGAGAGGCAGACAACAAACAATATATTGTAAAGTTTTGTGGGTGCTTAGATATCCCCATATGGGGTACAGTGGGGGTATTATAGAAAGGAAATTTAGAAGATCTCAGTAATTTGGTGACTGTTGGGCCCCATGCTCACTCATGCCTTCAATAATTTCTTGTTTCCCTAACAAAGCTAAGCCCCTGGATAGCAGGGATCATCTTTCACATCTTTGTGTCCTAAGAACAACCTTCATTCATTCATTCAACAAACATTCCATGAGCACTCACTATGAAGCAGGCACTGTGTAGCCACTAAAATTAAAAATATGACTACAGTAGGATCTTTGCCCTTGAGGAGCTCAAAAATCTCTTGAAACAACATCTGTGAGGTGTTGTCACTCCCTCATCTGGGTTCCCGTAGCTCTTTGCACTGAGTAATTAGCCCTGTGCATGATGTATCTGTCTATCTTCTGCACTGGACTGTGAATTCTCAAGGGCAGCCTGGGAGGACAACTCGTCTCTTCACACTTGCCTGGCCCAGTATGAGTCACTGGGCAGGCAATCCATAATTGTCATTAAATAAATGAGTGGGTGAGCAATGAATGAATGAATGAATGAATGCAGCCGTGCCTGCAGAAGTGAACGCTGAAGACAGTGTGTGAGCTAATAGAGGTCTCCTGTACATGAAGGGTCTCACCTAGAGGACCATGACCGACCCGTTTTCGACTCCTCTGGAGTATGAGGGATCTAGATTCATTATAGGAAAGAAGTTCCTGATGAAGAATTGTTTTAGACACTAAGAACCGTGTGCCATCCTTCCTCCAAAAATCTATCCCTTAGAAAGAGTCTAGATTTTTCTTCGATATCATTGAGGCATTGTCCAGAATCCAGCAGGATTCCTAGGCTTTGACTGTGAAATGGAACAGATACATGGTGTGCCACTGTTAACAACAGAGAGCAAATAGATCACCAGTGGGTTTTTAAGGAGCCACCGGGCTTGTTAGCGCTCTGCACATAGCCAGACATATAAATACAAAAGTGATAAACAGGCAACCAGGAGCCCAGTGTCAGATACCTGCTTGTTCTACAGGTCTGCTCAGGCCCACCTGCGCTCAGCTGTCAGTGACTGCCCTACAAAAGCATGTCCTCCCCAGGTAGACAGGCAGTTTCTCTGGCCAGAAAGCTCCACCGTGTATCACTCTTGAACCAAATGCAAAATCAATGCTTTTGCTCCCATGCCAACCTCTCCTGACCACTCTACTGCTGCAGAGTTGCATCGTCACTGTCGGGCTTTGCCCAGGAGCTGGTGCCGGGGACTATGAATCAGCTCCCGCCCCAGATTAACATTCAGACAGAGGGCCTGGTGATGAATATTTTAATATAATGTTTACTGTTTACCCACATGAATGGAAAGGACTTGCATCTGCCAGTGCCACCTGTGCCCATAGAACTGCAGCCCAAACAGCCACATCCCCAGAGAGCCCAGCTGTGTGGAGCAGAGAGAGGCCGGCGGGAGGGGGCGGGGTGGGGAAGGGAGAGAAGGGCGGCACAGTGACAGGCTGGTGGGAGGAATCCGGGAAAGGAGGCACAGACCAGAGAGATGGGAACGGGATGCAGGATAGAGTCAGAGGCGGGAGGAAGACACAGGGAGAGCAGCAGATACAAAGAAAAACAGGTTGGGAGAGTGGGCGTTCAAGAAGAGAGGTTGTAGGGACCCCTCAGCTGAGAGTGGATCTCACGGAGGCTCCTGTCAGGATGAAGGGAGAGAACAGAATGTGTCTGACTCAAGTACACAGAGTGTGTTTCAGAGGAGTGGGCGTTTTTTTCAAGTCGGTGCAGCTATTTGTGGCCACGCAGCCATATGGACTCTCTGGAAGCCGCTGGTGCTCTCACCTTGCTGCCCAGGCACCGGCTCCCATGGCTTGGGGCCAGGACCACTACCCCCCACCTTAGTGTCCCCAGGAGGAAAGGAGGGAAGCTAAACATAGACACCAACCGGAGTCGGGAATGGAAAGGTCATTTACAAGCTTAGTGCGGAGCACCTTTGGTTTTGGAAGGGTCCGGAAGGGGGCCTGGCAGAGGCTGTCCTGTGGAAAGCTAGCCGCTGCTTCCTCCATGAAAGCTGTTAGAAATCCGGGGGATGACCTTCTCCTGGTGAGCGTGGGGCGGAGCCAGCTCCTCCTAGCACATCAAGGGCCAGAGAGGCCGCCCTGGTCTCTTCTAGTGGCCTGAGGCACTCACCTCTCACTTCTGCTGGGCATCTGCATGTTCTATTAGCAAGGAGATGGCCCGGGAAAGTCTCTCTCCCAAAAGATGAGCATTTCTTCTAAAACTTCCTCAGTTTCTTGGTTTACTTTTTCACCTTTCTGTTCCCTTTCACCTTTCTCCTTTTCTGGGGCTATAGCTTAGATTAGGTTTGGAATTCTGACAGAATGTGGCATTAATACCCATTTTGTTTCTACCAGCCCTTTTTCTGGTCATTTCTGGGCTCCGTGCAACCCTGAGCATCTTGGAGAGATTGCCAAGGAGAAGAGGAGAGGAGAGGGGACAGCTATGGTGCATGAGGAAATGACACCTGCCTTCTGACGGGTACAGCAGAGAATAATGTGTCACAGGAGAAATGCGCCAAGTCCACTCTCCCTCCTTTGGCTGTGTGAGGGACTACCCACCCACCTCCTGCTCCTCGTATTGCCTGTGTTCATGCCTGCACCCCACCAGCCATCCACTACCTAGAATTAACAAGAAGTCTATCAGGATTAAATGTGCCTCTGGAGGCCCATATGTGGGAACAGATTTTGTTTTTAACTTTTGATTCTAGAAAATTTCAAAAATACATAAAAATAGAGTGAATTGTCAATGAACCCCATGTACTAATCACTCCTCTATAAAAATCATCAACCCAACATCTCTCTTGTTGCATCCCTAAACCCCATTCCCCACACTCCCACACACACCCACGTAGGATTTTTTTGAAGCAATTCTAACTTATCATGTCATTTCATCCATAAATATCCATAGATATAGTTTTGACTAGAGCATTAACCCTCCAAACTCTCTCAGGCCCCCCAAAAATCAACTTAGGCCTTGACACACACCTGCCTTTGGGGATGGGAACTCTGTGACCGCTCGTTTTCTAGGTGTATGCTTCTCATCATCTTTCCCAAACTACCCTGCTCAGAAAACCTTTGTTAGAAACAAATCAGTGTCCAAGCTTGTGGACGGCTTCATCTCAGGCCTTGGGCAATCTCTCCTCTTCATTCCCAGAAGAAATCATTTTGTAAGCAAGCTAGCCTATCAGAAAACCCACCTGCATGCCAGATGTGCACAGCTGTATGCAAGCAAATGCCAGTCCATCTGCAGAACTACCTAAACAAGGGAGACATGCAATCTGATCACTAAATGGCTCTCATAAATGATAGTAGCACATGCAATATTCAAAACCAATAGACAAAACAAACTTGGGCTTTCTCCAGAGGGGGGAAAGACTGAAGAATAAATGCTCCTTTTTTTTCCTCCAAAATTTTGATGAAATCTGTTTGTTCATTGAGCAGGAAAGCAAAGTTGTTTATGGAAATAGTTACTAGGAGGCCTGAATTTGGATCCCTTGTCTGATTGCCATCAATGGCCTTTGGCCACAATGAGTGGTCTTCCTTCATGAAACTTTTAAATAATTCATGGAACCAACTATGAAAAAGTTTATCGTTTAAAAGTCTGGGCCTGGCTGGGCGTGGTGGCTCACGCTGTAATCCCAGCACTTTGGGAGGCCAAGGCGGGCGGATCACGAGGTCAGGAGATCGAGACCATCCTGGCTAACACAGTGAAACCCCGTCTCTACTAAAAATACAAAAAATTAGCCGGGTGTGGTGGTGGGTGCCTATAGTCCCAGCGACTCAGGAGGCTGAGGCAGGAGAACGGCGTGAACCCTGGAGGCAGAGCTTGCAGTGAGCGGAGATCACGCCACTGCACTCCAGCCTGGGCAACAGAGCGAGACTCCATCTCAAAAAAAAAAAAAAAAAAAAAAAAAGTCTGGGCCTGGAAATTTAGACATAATTACACAGATGCTTGTGCTATGGTAGAAAGTGCATTATCTAACTCAGAAAGTCTAGATGCTTCCACTAACTTGTGTAATTCTGACCCTTTACTGCTCATTTGTAAAAATGACTAAATCATCATAGTTCAGCCTTTCTCCCTGTAAGCAGGTAAAGAAGTCAGGAGGTCATGTGCTAAAAGGATTCTGTGAAGAGAAGAAGAAAATTTAACATTTGAATTTATTTTTTTCTTTAACATTTATTTTAAGTTCAGGGGTACATGTGTTAGGTGCACAAGTTTGTTTCATAGGTAAATAGGTGCCATGGTGGTTAGCTACACAGATCATCCCATCACCTAGGTATTAAACCCAGCATCCATTAGCTATTCTTCCTGATGATCTCCCTCCCCCAAGCTCCCCTCTGACAGGCCCCAGTGTGTGTGTTCCCCCACATGTGCCCATGTGTTCTCATCATTCAGCTCCCACTTATAAGTGAGAACATACAGTGATTGATTCTCTGTTCTTGCATTAGTTTGCAGAGGACAATGGCTTCCAATTCCATCTATGTCCCTGCAAAGAACATAATTTCATTCCTTTTTATGGCTACATATTATTCCACGGTATATACCTACTACATTTTCTTTATCCAGTCTATCATTGATGGGCATTTAGGTTAATTATATGTCTTTGCTATTGTGAATAGTGCTGCAATAAACATACACATACATGTATCTTTGTAATAGAATGATTTATATCTTTTTGGGTATATACCCAGTAATGAGATTATTGGGTCAAATGGTATTTCTGCCTCTAGGTCTTTGAGAAATTGCCACACTGTCTTCCACAATGGTTGAACTGATTGTCACTCCCACCAACAGTGTAAAATTGTTCCTTTTTCTTCACAATCTTGCTAGCATCTGATTTTTTTTTAGTTTTTAATAATAGCTATCTGACTTGTGTGAGATGGTAACTCATTGTGATTTTGATTTACATTTCTCTAATGATCAGTGATGTTGAGGTTTTCTTCATATGTTTTTTGGCCACATGAATGTCTTCATTTGAGAAGTGTCTGTTCATGTCTTTTGCCCACTTTTTAATGGGATTGGTTTTTTCTTGTAAATTTGTGTAAGTTCCTTATAGACTCTGGATATTAGACCTTCGTCAGATGGATAGATTGCAAAAATTTTCTCCCATTCAGTAGGTTGTCTGTTCACTCCGTTGATAGTTTCTTTTGTTGTGCAGAAGCTCTTTAGTTTACTTAGATCCCATTTGTCAATTTTTGCTTCTGTTGCAATTGCTTTTCGCATTTTCATCATGGAATCTTTGCCTGTGCCTGTGTCCTGAATGGTATTGCCTAGATTTTCATCTAAGGTTTTTATAGTTTTGGGTTTTACATTTAAGTCTTTAATTCACCTTGAGTTAATTTTTTATATGGTGGAAGGAAGGGATCCAGTTACAATTTTCTGCATAAGGCTAGCCAGTTCTCCCAGAACCATTTATTAAATAGGGAATCTTTTCCCCATTGCTTGTTTTTGTCAGGCTTGTCAAAGATCAGATGGTTGTAGATATGCAATCTTATTTCTGAGATCTCTATTTTGTTCCATTGGTCTGCGTGTCTGTTTTTGTACCAATAGCATGCTGTTTTGGTTACTGTAGCCTAGTAGTATATTTTGAAGTTGGGTAACATGATGCCTCCAGCTTTGTTATTTTTGCTTAGGATTGTCTTGGCTATTCAGGTATTTGAATTTATTATGTTCATAAAAAACCTATATAACATGGATTGAAAATGTATAGTTCTTTCGGTTGAAGTTGGAAAAAAGTATGTGTGTACATATATGTATATGTATGTATATAGGATTTCAACTTTCTAAAAAGTGATGTAAAAAACAGATGTAAAACTCAGAAAAATATCAGACTCTGAATGGCAAATGTTATTAAACACCAAGCCTGTCAAACACAAGGGCATTCAGCTTGCTATCACCATTCTCTTGTTGATGTTCACAACATCAAATAGCTAACAATTTCCTCCCATGAGCCCTAGTGTTTCAGGTCTCCCAGGGCAAAGAGACCACAGGGCAGAGAATAAGGTTACATGGTCTCCCCAGGAAGGTGCCTTCTTCACTCTAGTCTTAGCCCTTCTGAAGGAAATCACACGCTGTCCAGCTTGGCTCAGCAACCATGATTCACAGGGTGTTTGGGATGATCAAATTCTTTGTACAGACCCTAAAGGTGACTGTAACAGCCCCTAACTTTTCCCCATCGAGGATGGCAGCTATGACCGTATCTAACCTCCATCTGTGGAGTGGAACAGTCTTTCTTGCATGAGATGGCAGAGTACCTGGGGACCACATGAGTTATGCACTCAGAAGTGGATGTGCCCTTTGTGAGCAAAGTGGAAGGGAAGGAGCTAGAATTCAAGAGGTTCTAGGTTCCATTCCTGGCTGGGCCCCGGGTGATCTTGGACTGTTAAGTTTTTGGAGGGAGGCTTCGTTTGCCCACATATTCAGCGGGGATAATCATATCACCTTTTTCCATCCTTACAGCATTGAAAGGGCATCTAAACTATTGTGTAGCTGCAAACAAGTAAATTAAAAGGAATGACCTGAAATTCTGGGGCTGTGGCACATTCACCACAACCCACCCGCGGTAGACTTTAAATTCACTTGCAGATTCAAAACCCATAAATTCTGAACATGCCTTTGTCCTCAGGATTACTGTTCCTTTACTCCAAGCTTTCTATCCTTTCTGACCTTTTCTCAAAGTGCAGGCACCCTTCCTCCCTCACCTATTCCACAACCCTTGCCCCATCCACCCTTCGGGGACCTGGCAAAAATACTCCCTTCTTATTCCCTGTTTTTCACTTGATATATGAGCTTTTCACAGTGGCAGGGGGATTCTGGGAGTTTCATCTTCTTGCTTTTCCTTAAGTGACATGTGCACTAGCCCATAGTAGAACTTCGGTGGCAGCTGGGGATCAATATTCAGTGTCTTCACCCAAGTGACTTTCCTGGAGAGCAGTGCCTGGAAGCATTTAAAGCTGGACCCATAGCAAATCTGCCCAACTTACCACCAAAGACTGTGCAGGGCCTTTGAGGATCTCCTGCTTAGCTCCCCCTAAATCAATTTCCCAGCCCAGCAGAGAAACTGGGCAGGGTTGTATTGAATCTATTCCCCTCCATTGCCCCTCACTGCATTCCCAAATCATATCTGGCTCCCAGCCTCTCTTCCAACCAGTATTTAATCCTCAGTGGTGATCCTTTTAAGAAATTTATTTTCATCCTCCATTCTTCCCTTCCCACCTAACTTTGCCCATAAAAAACAATCTTGGGAATTTCTAAATTCTGACATCATATAAAAACTTCTTTGTTCTGCAAAGTACTCATTTTCAATGCCTAATCCATCTCCCAGCACCATTCCCAGTGATGCAGTGCATGTTTCCGGGGTTTATGGATCTCTCATTTGCTGGCTGCTTCTTACAACAGCTTGGAAGTTCAGCCTTTTAAAAATCAATCTGCCTCTCTGCTTTCTTGCACCCTACCTCACAGTTTGCACAGAGTGGCAGTCTGTGCACTGAAGTCTCCTGAAGATATTACTAGCTCTTACTTTTGGAACCACCCTTATGCATGCCAGAAAACAGCTCAATGCTCTCACCCAAGGCCCACCTGAGCACACTCACAGCCATCCACACACTCTCCTGCACACACCCTGTGTCCTTGAGTGGCAAGTTCAAAATCCAAAGTACCATCATAGAGACATAATTAAATTCCTGATAAGTGATCAGGAGAAATAAGATTAAGAATAATAACTAAAATAACAATTCCATTTGGTATTAAAAACAAGAGGCACTACCTTTTTTTGGAAACTTACCACGTACCAGGCACAGAGCAAAATGCTTTACCTGAACAATGATTCCTACGAAGTCTTTGGTGGTGGGTACTGTGATTATCCCCATTTTCAGATGAGGTTGAGCCATGAGGAAGGAGGCGCCTTGCTCAAGATCACAGAAGCAGGGATTAATGGAGTTTTGGTTAATCTTAGACTGTCTGACTCCAAAGCATGGGCTTAGCTTTGAGGGGAGGATGATTGGCCAGGGGAAGAGCTACAGAAAACCATGGTAGCCACATGGGTAGGGCGGAAGAAAAGGGAGAAAGCAGTTTCCAGAAGGAAGAAGGCAAGCAGTGTCCAAAATCAAAGGATGTCGGGAAGATCATCAAATGAGTATGCCTTAGAGCCGGGGTCCCCAACCCCTGAGCCATGGTTGGGTACCAGTTCATGGCCTTTTAGAAACCGGGCTGCACAGCAGGAGGTGAGTGGTGGGCCAGTAAGCATTACCACCTGAGCTCCACCTCCTGTCGGATCAGTGGCAGCATTAGATTCTCACAGAAGCTTGCACCCTATTGTGAACTGCACATTCGAGGGCTGTAGGTTGCATGCTCCTTATAAGAACCTAGTACCTGACTAAAACACCAAAAGCAATGGCAACAAAAGCCAAAATTAACAAATGGGATCTAATTAAACTAAAGAGCTTCTGCACAGCAAAAGAAACTATCATCAGAGTAAACAGGCAACCTACAGAATGGGAGAAAAATTTCGCAATCTACCCATCTGACAAAGGGCTAATATCCAGAATCTACAAAGAACTTAAACAAGTTTACAAGAAAAAAACAAACAACCCCATCAAGAAGTGGGCAAAGGATATGAACAGACACTTCTCAAAAGAAGACATTTATGCATGCAACAAACATATGAAAAAAGTTCATCATCACTGGTCATTAGAGAAATGCAAATCAAAACCACAATGAGATACCATCTCACACCAGTTAGAATGGTGATCACTAAAAAGTCAGGAAACAACAGATGCTGGAGATGATGTGGAGAAATAGGAAAGCTTTTACACTGTTGGTGGGAGTGTAAATTAGTTCAACCATTGTGGAAGACAGTGTGGCAATTCCTCAAGGATCTAAAACAAGAAACACTATTTGACCCAGCAATCCCATTACTGGGTATATACCCAAAGGATTATAAATCATTCTACTATAAAGACACATACATGTGTATGTTTATTGCAGCACTGTTCACAATAGCAGACTTGGAACCAACCCAAATGCCCATCAATGATAGACTGGATAAAGAAAATGTGGCACATATACACCATGGAATACTATGCAGCCATAAAAAAGGATGAGTTCATGTCCTTTACAGGGACATGGATGAAGCTGGAAACCATCATTCTCAGCAAACTAACACAAGAACAGAAAACCAAACACCGCATGTTCTCACTCACAAGTGGGAGTTGAACAATGAGAACACACGGACACAGGGAGGGAAACATCACACAAACAGGGCCTGTCGAGGGGTGGGGGGATAGGGAAGGGATAGCACTAGGAGAAATATCTAATTTAGATGATGGGTTGATGGGTGCAGCAAACCACCATGCCACGTGTATACCGATGCAACAAACCTGCACATTCTGCACATGTATCCCAGAACTTAAAGTATAATCTAAAAAAAAAAAAAAGAACCTAATGCTTGATGTTCTGAGGTGGAACAGTTTCATCCCAAAACCATCCTGTACCTCCTAGTTAATGGAAAAATTGTCTTCTCTGGTGAAACCAGTCCCTGGTGCCAAAATGATTGGGAATAACTGCCTTAGAGTGACTTTGGGTAGGTTAAATCACTTTGCTAAACCTGGATTCTTCATCAGAAGGATGGTGATGACAATACGTTCCTCATGAACTGTTGTGAGAACAAAATAAAAAATTATATGTAAAATGCTTGGCATGGTGCCTGACACATGGTAAATACCCAATAAATGTTAGCTATTACTATTATTTAGTCTGAGCCATTGCAAGCTCGCCGTGCCTGGCTCAATTTTATTCTATATAAATAAACATTATACTAAATCCCTTGGCACACAAGATTCCCATGGCCAGTTCCTTTTCTGTCTTGAAAAGTGGGGGGAGAGCTGTGATATCCCCAGAAGAATCTTTTCTAGGATGATAAAGGATCCAGCATGTGTGGCAGGAAAAGCTGGGAGTGAGTGTCTTTAAATTCATCTGCCTTTAAATTTATCTCCTCTAAGTCCACACCTTCTACGTATTTAGGGGCAGACCAGAAATTTGAGGACCCTGAAATTGGATGTAAGTTCTCCTATCTCTGACTGTGCCCACCCCACCCCAAACCCTTTCTCCTTGCCAATGTCCTGTGTGCTCCTTGGTCTATTGCTTGGTCTCTGAAAGGGATAAAGTCAGGGAGATCTGGGAGCCAATGGCTATCAAAGAAAGAAAATGCATTCTTTGCTACTTACGTCTTTGTCCTCAAAGCTGTTTACAGTTTGGGGGAAACTTCCAGTGCTGTCAAGCTCTCTTGTGCCTGCTCCCTTATGCCTAATGGTGGACTCAGTGAATCCACCATCAGAGATTTTTTGGTTGGCCAGCAGACTGGGGCTGAAGGGAATCAGACACTTGGAGACTGAAATGCCAAATGCATCAGTCTAATTTATTCAGACACATTTTCATCTGGGTATTTTCTATACTATCAAACTCTGTATCCTTCAGTGAAGACATTTGTCTTAGCTGAATAAAATCTCTTAATGGTTTAATAAAAAGCACTTAACTCAGTTTTCTTAGTTTTATGAGTGCCTTGAGGTCCTTTAGGAGAGCAAACTTCTTTGCTGGGATCATTGAGGGAAACATAATTATTTTTCTGCCTTCTGATACGTTATTTTCTGGAAGGAACAGTTCTAGATGCTCATCATATGCTCACAAACTCTCTGAAGCTCTATCGAAGGACAGGTTATTCTCAGTGATGAACTAAGTGGTGTTCCTTCTTCCATCCACAGCTGACCTGCCAGTCCCCTCAAAGACATCTCTGCATCTTTATTCCTTTCTTTGCTGAAATAGCATCAGTACCATTATCGTCACCAATTTGTTCTGTTCAGAATAAATAGAGAAAAGAGTCTGGAGGTCAGTTAGAACCAAACGCCAGGAGCAAAAAGCCAAACATGAAATTAGGTTAGTAGAAATTTCATGAGAACAAAAACAATTGAGGAAGGGAAGGAGGAATAAATGTAAAGAAACAGAGAAGACTCAGAGAGAGAGAGAGAGAGAAAGACTAGGAGAGGCAGGAAACAAGACACAGGCCAGGGGAGGGTGGACTGCAAAAGGAAAGAGTGGACTGCAAAAGGAAAGAGTGGAAAGGTAAGGGAAGGAAATTTAGTAAATAAGAAAGCCAAGGTAAAGTGAAGAACTGGAACATAATACATGACCAGCAGAAACACAGCAAGAATCACAGAAAGGGAAAGAGGAAGAGTGGGAGTGTAGACAGAAAAGGAGGAAGAGGATAAAAAAATATGTGGGGTGGGAGAGAGGAAAAGTAACACATTTAGGAATTGCGGATGGTTGGAATGGAGAGTTTCATTATTGAAAATTAGCATAGAGATGGTTTTCATTTTCCCAGTAAGTAAATAAAGGCATGAGAGGTTAAGTGACCTTTTATCCATCTGACTTCCATTCATACAATTGAACAATTATTTATTGTGCACCTTCTGTGTGCACTGCACAGTGCTAGGCACCAGGGACACAGTGTTGAATAAGGCAAACAACGTTCTTGTCCACAAGGAGCTCACAGTGCAGCGGGGGCATATGGACAAGTGAACTGGCCAGCACCACGATGTGAGGGTTAGGGTAGTGCTGGAACCATGGAAATCTTGCAGAAGAGTCCCAAGACAGTCATGTGTGTGTGTGGCATGGGCAGCAAGAGGGGTAGGTGACAGTGCACCTGGCAGAGTGAAACACAAACCAAAAGGCTAGCCTCCAAGAGCCCTCTAGCCTCAGAGATGCTCAGCCACAGAGCCTGGACTGCAACTCAAACGTGTAGTTCCCAGCCCCCACCATCTGGCTCCCTTGGGGTTTGGTTTTGAGCCCTTCAAGGCCCGACATCCTGATAACTCATCTCTAACCTGCATATGAAGGATCAAATCCAATAGCAGCCTCGTTTCCCATCTGTCATGGAATCGCTCAGTGTCTCTCTCTCCTCTTCAGGATCAATTGCAAACTCCTAACATCCAGGCCCTTTTCCTTCTGGCTTGTATTTACACAGTGCCCATTTTCTTACTCACTCTCCTGTCTTTCCATCATGTTCCAGCCATACTGAAGTGCTTGCAGGTCTGTGAAGAGGCCTCCATTCTTTTACAGGTAAGGAGCCCTTGCTGGGACATGTTTCCTGTCCCTGCCCCACCTGCTCTTACAGTGCCTTTGATATACACTTTGAACTCACCCTAAGATTCATTCCAGATTCCATGTCCTCTCCTTCTGCTCCTGAAAACCTTTCCTCCACTAACCTCTCTTGCTGAGCCCAGGCAGGTCAGGCATCCCTTTCCCTAGGCCCTCACTGCACCTCTCTCATAGCAGTTACCACACCTGATGTCTTAACCATCTCTTGACTAGACTGTCTTTCCCGGTAGGCTACAGGGCCTTTGAAGGCATGGACTGGAGCCTGTTCATTCATCTGTTTACCACTGGCGCCTGGCACAGCTCCTTGCTTACACAAAGTGTTTTACAAATGTTTAGGGAGCTGACTTGAAATGAGTCCCCAGTGAGTTGAGTTGCAGGCAATCCCTAATTCAGTTTGGAGGAATTGCTCAACCCCTCTTCCCATTTCATACAAGACACACTTTGATCTGCAAAATGGAATGGCAGACTTCCCCAGGAGCGCCCACCAGGTGAGGTTTCCATTGGGTGAGGTCTTGGTACCACTCCTGATTGTGCTAGTGCACAGACAAAGCCCAGGGAGGGTGACAGGCTTGAATTTCTGCTCTCTTAGTACAAGCCTCACATTTTATAGAAACTTAGAGAAATTTGAGTGAGTTTGGCTCCTGTAATCAATCACAAAGGGAGTAGAGGGGTCTTAATGCCTTAATTTATTGGATTGTTTCTAGCCAGTTAATTCATTCATATTAATATACTCAATTGATAATTATGAAGTGCCAGGCTGGATGTTCACCTTCTTAGGGCGTCTTCTCAGTGTACATTTGTTTTCATATGCCTGGGATACAGAATGTTACTGTTCTTTGCTGAGTAAACTTTAATCAGCATGTTCCTCTTTGGCCTGTGGTAGCATATGAGCTTATGGTTCCTGCGATTCATTTTATCTTTTTAAATTTAATAAGATACAACTTGGATGGCCATTAAGGGTCTCCTGTTGTGTGTGCAAGAGCCCAAAACTAACATGGATAAAATTAACTCTGGTTCATTATGTTCAGCAAGAAAAGTTTTATCCCTTCCGGTCTCCTAGCCAGGCCACAAAGGCAAAGTCTGGGAAGAGCTGTTTTCATTTTTTTCACTTTCCTGTATCCATGTGACATAAATAATATGACAGTTAAATAGGTCTGATTAATGCGGTCATCTTGGAAGCTGATTTGGATCACCACAGTGCAGCCTAGTGGACTTCATTCACTCGTTCTTTCATTCAACAAACATTTATCAAGGACTCTGTGCTTGTTCTTGTGCCAGTTGCTAATACCTAAAGATAAAAGAAAACTGTGTCTGCTCTTGAACTCACAGCTTACATTTCCAGAACATGACAATTAACTGACCCCTCACGGTTGGTGTGTAGTGTGACAACACGAGGCAGGGTGTGGTTGTGGAGGCTGAGTGCATCAGGTGGGCTTCACAGAAGAGGCAACCCTTAGACACTATTCAGTTGGGTCTGGTACAGAGGAATGACAACCAGAACAGATATGGTTCCCAACTTCCAGCAGGAGGCAGCAGGACAGTGCTTTCTGGGCAGACGTGTGTGCTTGTTCTTAGAGAAAAGTTCTGCGTCAATCTAGATTCCCAAGTTCCTATTCAGGATACCAGAGTAAGGCTGGACCTTGAGGATGACCTGGAATACTGTCTTCTAGTAGTGCTACCATCAGAAAGGCACACAAAAAAGCAAAACCCAACATTTAGCCAATGGTCAATCCCTCCATGGGCCCACCCACCACCTTCTTTTCCAAGTCAGCCACAAGCATGTAGTCTGATCAGGTTTCTGCTCTGATTATTCTGCCGAGGCTGTGTCTCATTCTACTGTGTTGTGGACACCTCAGCTGCATTGGCCATCCACGGGCTGGGAAAGTGTCCTGTCCTCTCCAAGCAGCAGAGGGGATAATCCCTTGTCTGTACCAGAAAATTCCTCCAACGAGGGTCTTACTGATGGAAGGGAGCACACTGGAACTCATCTCAGAATCTTACGCCCAAAATCAACTTTTAGGATGACTGAGAATTTCCCATACCCCAGGCTCTCCTTTCAGGTACAGATGTTGGAAAATGTTAACAGTGGCCTCTACCGACCAGACATAGTATTACCACATACTTAAATCTCGTCTAGATAATTCACATTCATTCATTCATTTGTTCACTCATTCATCAATCAGTAATTTTTCAGCAAACATTTATTGAGCATTTACTATAAGATAAGGCTATTCACAGGGTGCAAGGATGAATGCCCCAATCACCTTTCCCTAACCCCACATTTTCTCTCTCGCTGGTCCAGACAATGCCTGAAATGTACAAATTTATGTCTCCTTGGTCTTAAAGCATGCTAATCCACAGTGACAACGCAGAAGGTTTTCAGTTCAAAGTTACAGATTACTCCTTGGTAGTCATTAACACTTTAGTAGGAATTAGTTTATTCTGTCAGAAAAAGGCAACCTTTGGGTGAATAAATACAGAACCATGTAAGTTTTAATTAATAAAAGGGATAAGAAGTGATCTAGGATATGCTTCTAACATGAGGTAGTACAATGAGACTCAAAGAGCTAAAAAAGGCAGGGGGGAATTTAAGCCATTAGGCACTTGGAGAAAAGAGGGAGGTCAGAAAAAAAGGCAGTATGAATAGTGGCTTTGGAGGATATGTTCTGAATTCAAATCTGGCCTCTCTCATTTACTAGCATCCGATTTCAGGTGAGCCTCTTAACGTCTGTAAACTTTCCTCTAAAATCCTCACATAGCGTGTGGGAACTGAGCCATGAATGTCATGTAAAATACTTAGCACGACGCTGGGCATAATGTTAGCAGTCAGTAAACATGAGTCAAGTCATTATGACCAGAGAGAAGGAATAGGCTATAAATGAGACTGTGGAAACAGCAGGGCAAACTCGACCTCTACCTCTTTTTCTTTTCTTTTCTTTTTTTCTTTTCTTTCTTTCTTTCTCTTTCTTTCTTTCTTTCTTTCTTTTTTCTTTCTTTCTTTTTTCTTTCTTTCTTTCTTCTCTTTCCTTTTTTCTCTCTCCCTCTTTCTTTCTCTCTCCTTCCTTCCTTCCTTCTCTCTCTCTCTCTTTCTTTCTTCCTCATTTTTTTTTTACTATGTCCAGCCCTCCCTCTGCTCATCACATTCCCTGAGCCACTTGTTGGTGCTGCCTTCTCAACTTTATGCAGCTGTCCTGCAGTGAGCACAGGATTCAGGGCACATCCAAGCTCCTGACTATGCAGCTGGAGAATGGAGCCAAGGATCAGTCCAGAGACATGTAGGAGGAGTCCTTAGGTCACCGTCAGTTCTGAGTCTGGGAGGAAGGCCTCATTAGTGTACATGGGCAGACAAGTCCCTGTGGTCATTCCTGCCTCTCCTCCCTCTGCTCCTTCTCCTACTTGGCTGGTATCACCACCTGACCTTGCACCTTCTGAGGAACATGAAGACAGGAGCTACTTCTTAGTATTTATCTAGAATCTCTCCAGAATTCTATTCCTGGAGATTTGAGGTAGATTAGTGGATGGTTATGCATTTTCCAAAATTAGCATGCCTCATTAGCTTGGCTCAGAAGTAACTGGAAAATGCGGCTACCCACAGCAGCTGGGAGGTTTTTCGAAGGAACCTACTAGCCACAAAGCATATCAGAGGGACATGATAAGATCTTCAGAAGCCCACATATCAGATTGAGGATTCAGTTGCCTCTGTGAGTGAGTAATCAGTGAGTAGCCAAGCAGTGCTGTTATTTTAGCTTGACGTCAAGGCAGTACGTGGGGCCGATCTGAATATAAACCTCAGAACTCTGGCTGCCACGTTCAGCCAGGAGACCTAGGCACAAAAATTGCTGATGGGGCTCATGGAAAACTTGAGAATTTAGGGAGCTGAGTTTGAGGTGATAGGTCACCAGGATTAAAATCCCTAGGGAGGAGAACAAGGTGAAGTCTACCCCACCCACTTGGAGAGTCCACACATGAGCAGCCTAATCATCTGAAGATGGAAGAGACTGAAGCAAGTCAGGCTCTCCCTGGGAATACCGCATTGTTGGTGGGGGGAAACTTGTCAGGGAACCCCTGGGAGGGCCCTCTGAATGTATTCTAACCCAATGCTAGAAAAATAGTTGTCCCAAATTGCTCAAGGAAACCAGAGTTAGACCATCAGTGGAGAGAGTGTCTTTCCCATCTCAAAGGAGGGGGCAATTGGGCAACCATTTAGGGAGCCAGAGAGTCAACATGGGGTGAAATCTTGCCAGAGATTGAGAACAAATTTCCCATGGTTTGAATCCCAGCACTACCTTGTGTGTAATCTTGAGGAATTTTTTGAACTCTTCTAAACCTTAATTTTTTCTACCTGTCAAATGGAGGTAATAGTGTCAAGCACCTATTGTAAAGATGAAATAAGGTAATATATTTAAAGGGCTTTGAAAAGGTAAATGGTAAGAGTACACAGACTAATGTAACCCATATGCCCCAGGATTTACTAGCCTGTAACCATAGTCTAAAGTCCTATTTCCTTTTAATGTCTGCATTTGTATAGTATGAGCCCCACTGGCCTAATTGCCAGTGATCATAAGTAGAATTTAATAAGAGAATGCTGACAGCTTAAGCACAATTTCTGGAAAAAACAAGAGCAGGTCTTACCACAGGGAGGCAGCCACATTATCTTTTTATATAAACAAGGTCCCCTGATCTCCTTTTCCTCAGTGGCAGGAAACTGAGCCAGGCATGGATTGTCCCTCCTTTCGTACAGCATCGCCCTGGAGGCTGTCTGAAGGAAAGTGCAGCTAGTGGATTTTTTTTTTTTAATGTAGGGAGGCTAGGTGTCCCCAGAGGAGGCTGGGCTGGATAGAATTCATTCACAGACACAGAAATGATCCCCAGGGTAGCCTCTGCCCTATCTCTTGAACCACACCTCAAAGGTGATTGAATGTTTACAAAGCACATAATCAGACAGAGAAGTGGATGCACAGAGAGCTGGGGTAATTTTGTCCAAGGTCAGACCATGAATCAGTGTCTGGCTTGCACTGCATTTCTGCCCTCGATTGCACTCTGCTTTCTTTCTAAATTCATCCAAGTCCTGCCTGCTCCATTCCTCTTCCTTCTTCTCTTCCTCCCATACTAATGTTGCTCCATGTGGACAATATATGCACACATATTGAAAGTTGGTGCAAGTTTTCTCACTTGAAAACTGTGTAGGACTGTGTATAGAAATTAAACTGGGAGTTTCTAATTATCCACTCTAAAGAGAAATGCCAATGGAGTGAAAAATCCAAGAGAGCAATTACACATAACCCCAAATGGTTTATTTTTAGTTGAGAATAAAATGTGTGCCCCTCTATTTGCAGCATATTTAATTTCTCTATTATGCTTTGCCCAAGTGAATTTGCATTCTTTGAGCGCCCAGCAAGTGACAGTGTAGGCAGTGAGCCACCCAGAAGCATGTTGGGTGGCAAAAGAAGCCAGCTGGAGATTAAGCACTTACTTTGCAAAGATCCACACTAGCTGGCCTATCCATACCCCCGAGGATGATCAGTCAGAAGCTGAAGGACTGCGGAAGGGAGTGAAACACTCCGCTCAGGGAGATAGAATGGACAGGGAACCTGTAACGCTTTCTTCCAGCCCTGTGTTTGTATAAGAACTGACTGAGTTTATGTTGTACATGTGTGCCTCCGTTAGAACAGCCTTCATCTAATTTTCTCCCAAATGCTTTCCTCTCTTTCTTCAGATCCTCCACTTAATCCCTGACTGGCCTGCCCTCATTCCCAAGCCAGTAGCATCTTTCTGGGTCTCATATTTGTATGATTTCTATTGTGGTGGGCTTGTCCATTTTCATTAGATGGTGCACTCCACAGGGCAGGGAGCCAGGTCCCCATGCATTGGCAAAGCACTATGTATGCCCAACACTTTACAAACAATACAAACAGACAAGAAATTGGTTAATGGCTAAGATAAGCAGTTGACACAAAAATCCACATGTAGATAGCATCACAGTGAGAGGTAAAAGCACAGCTCTCCACGTGGGGTTATAGGAAGGAAGCTCTTCAAAAAGATAAATGTTACAACCCAGAAAATTTCATCAGCAAAAATATTCTACGCAGGTTCCTCTGAGTATGTGTGGAACATATGAAAATGGCATATCTCCTCTTACGCGGGAGCTAGAAAAGAAATGTTATTAGTGGGAATGACATATGTGAGCTTCTCTGTGAATAACTATACAATGTCTATATATATTATATGCATAATAATAATACCTCAAATCTGTATGGTGCTTTCCTTCCCAGGAACTAAAAATGATCCATGGTTGTTATTATCTCATTTATCCTTGCAGGTATTTTCCCTTATATTTTGCTAGTGTATCACCAAAATACAGAAACATTTAAGAGCCATTCTTTTGGTTCTTCTTTCCCATGAAGTCCTGTCTCTCCATTATACTCTCCTTAAAACATAGTTAGAGGAAGGAACTGTAATTCTATTACAGAATCCTACAATTTATTCATAGGCCTAGATAATAGATGCTCCCTAGTGCTGTTACGGGTCTCTAAAGACCAATAGTTATGAGTTTGCTGCCCTCACCCACATTCTGAGCTTCCAGAGTTCAAATTCCCGAAGGGTCACCATTTAGGGTTCTGGTAATATGTCAGGTAATATGTCTCTATTACTTTACAGAACAGTGGTTGCATACAATGGTGTTATTACCCGATAATGCTTTTGCAAAAATCAGTTAGCAGATAAATTACTCCACTTTCCAGCACCCCTGAAGAGACTGTTAGGTTTTTTATTGTGAGGTGTAGCTTTGGGAGGATGGGGAGGAAGTGTGGAATGTGAATTATTTCAGACAGCTGCAAAGAAGAGAAGCCCAAAGAGCATCAATCTCAGGCTAGCCTTTGGAGGTTTCTAAGCAGCAAGAGGACACTGAAGACTGTGGATCAGGTGCTCAAAGTAGTACCTCAATGAGATGTCAGATGGGAAAGTGGAGTGGGGAGCATCAAAACTACCTACAGAGAAGTTCCTCCCAAAAGCAAAATGGAAGTCTGGGCAGCATTCTGAGCTAGGAAAGTACTTTTGCCATACATCACCTACTTATGCTCTAGGAAATCTTGTCAATTAGACTCTAGAAAGCCCATTTTATAGATGTGTAAACCAATGCCCAGAGAGCCTGTGGTTTTCCTGAGATCACCTTGTCCTGTGATCATGGCAAGCACCAGGCTGCTTCTAGGCTCTGGGAGACAGTTAAATGGTCACTGAGGACTCTCACCTCTTATTCTCAATGCCCAAGGGTGGAGTGGAGCAAGAACAAGATAGCAGGTTACCAGGCATAGGTGTGTTGATAAATTTGTGGCCACTGGACAACATCATATTCCCTTGATTCTCCAATTTGGGCTGCGTTTGCTCTTCCTGTTCAGCTCTCTTTTTTGTTCACATCATTGGCTTTAATGTTCCCCTTATCCTGCAGAGATAGCTTATACCTTAAAATATCATTTCATTATAGGACGATTGAAGGTTAGAGGGGAAGTTAGATACTCTGGAAGAAATGCCAGTTTTAGTCCTTAGATTGCTCAAATTGCTCATTATTTCTTGGATTCTCCTTCTTATATTTATGTATTGACAATAAGTAAGCTGGGTAAGAATGAGTTTTTTTTTTCCTCATCCAGGGTAGGAAAAGGAACACATGGGGTTCTTAATTCTACTTGAAGAGTAATTGCCTTCTTGAAGGAAGCAATCTGGATTTTGAAAGATGAACATACATTTGCCAGTTTAATAAAAGAAGGAAAAGAGTATTTCAGGATACAGGGTCCAGCAGGTGCAAAGGCACAGTGGCACCATCCCAGAACTGCATGATCCTAGAACTGTAAGAATTTTGCATTTGTGTAGCAGAAATTTCCAGTAATGGGAAACAATAGGAAATAAAGCCAGAGGAGTATATAAAAGATCAGGTTTTTAAGGACCCTTTTGTGCCAAAGGGCTTGATTGTATTCCTGTCACCCCTGAAAAGCCAGCACGTCCACCACACTTACATGTCATCTCATGAAAGGGCATAACCAACTCACCAACACTGCCATGCTTCCTCCCCAAGCCCTTTGATGATAGAGATCATAAGCAGAAAGGTGCCATCATCCCTAAATTTACTTTGGCAGAAAGGTGTAAGAGAATGGGGAGATGACGCTAGGAGCAAGGAGACCAGATGAAAGATATGGAGAAGAGTCTACATGAGTTGATGAGAACCCACAGGGAAGCAGTGCCAGGAAATAGAGGGAAGGGAGGAGTCAGGGGACATGGTGGTGGTGGGAAGGACTTGGTGACTTGGGTGATAAAGAGCTCACTGGACATCCAGGGGGCCTCTGGGATTATATGAGCAGCTGTTGCTATAGACTTCCTCTTCTTGAGTCCAAGCCACTTCTGCCCTTAACAAACATTTAGAGAACATTCTCTCTATGCCTGGCATTATTCTAAGCACTAAAAAATATTCACCAATTTAATCTTCACAACAGTTGATGAAGTCAGAGAGGTCACCTAGCTGGTATGTGTTAGAGCATAGGTTCCAGTGTCTGTGCTTCTGACAGCTAGGCTATGCTGTCTTTCAATTCATTTGGTAACATTCAACAAATACAAACTGAGCACCTTCCTACCTATGCAAACATTTTACCCATAGTTATAAGCACAGCCTCCTCATGCAGCATGTTCCCTCTTACCAGCGGCAACATTAAAAGCACTCTATTTTCAAGAAGTTTCCAGATGTCCCCATTGACCTCACTCCAGGGCACACATGGCTACGGATGCCCTCTCATGCCCTTGGATCACTTTCTTCTCCCTAAGAATGAGCTCAGAGCCCACTGCTCCAATCTCAAGCTTGAGATCTTGTGCTAGTTTGCTCAGGCTGCCATAACAAATTGCCACAGCTTAGGTGGCTTAAACAACAGAAATGTCTTTTCTCCCTGTTCTGGAGGTTGGAAGTCCAACATCAGGGGCCGGCAGGGTTAGCCCTCTCTGAGGCCTCTCTGCTTGGTTTGTGGTCTCTTCACATGGCTGGCTCACTGTGCACATGCACCCCTGGTGCCTCTGGATGCCCTGATCTCCTCTTAGAAGAACACAAGTCATTGGATTAGGGCCCACCCTAATGGCCTCATTTGAACTTAGTCATCTCTTTAAAGGCCTTATCTGTAAATATGGTCAAATTCTGAGGTTCTGAGAGTTAGGACTTCAACCTAGGAATTTGGTAGGACACAATTTAGCCCATAACTGGTGTCTTCTCCCCATTGTGTCCACTTACCTGGCTCCTAAATGCAACTTCCTCCCAAAGACACATCTCTGGGAAGATCTCATATTATAGAAATAACATGTATTAAATCGAAATATATCCGCCAGTAACATGGATCTTTGCAAAAATGGAGAATTTGTGTGTGTGTATGATTCCTAAAATGATACCCCTCTGCCTTGCTTCCACAGAACGGCTTGTGCACTGACAGCTCAAGGGGAGGCAATGGTGATAAAAGCATACAGGCGGCCATGAATCTCCTCATTTTAATGCACTTCATTAAAACCAGCATTTTTTATTACAAAGACCTGACAAAGTGAATATTAGACAGAAATGCATGTTAAGCTGCCATTGATCTTTCCGGGTAGATTGTACATTAAAGAGTGCACTTTCACACTCTGTTAGCTGCTCCCACATAAAAGGGAAGCAAGAATCAAAGACAAAGTGCTTCAGCCTTATCCCTCCAGCATCACTATGGCTACCCAGTAGGGTCTAGCGGGCAGAATCAGACAAGGGGCAGGAGCCACCCAAATCCCATGTCCAAGGCTCTGTAGACATTTGGGCCTTGGCCATCTTCTCTGCCCACTTCACCGGCTTTCCTACATGGCTGAGAAGTCACTGCCAGTGCATTGGGTCATTTTTCCCATCCTAGAGCTTCCATTCCCTAAGAGAGGACCTGAGTTGCTCCATTTCTTAGGAACAACAATTCAGCCTGAAGCATGTCCTAAACAACATCTCTCCCCTGGTGTTTCTTCATCAAGGGGGCAATACTGGTTTTTAAAATTCAAGATGATGTCCGAGAGCATCTCTGGGGGGCTGCTGGTGATGAGCATGTGTGTGCATGCATTTGATGTGATGATATTGACAGGAACAGAAACCAGAAGCTTAATGAAAACAAGAGGAAAATGCATTTGGCAGCTGGGGAAAGAAGCTGTATGAAGAGATCTTGTGCCTGGGGTTTGCTACTGCCTAAGATGGAGTCTCAGCTTGTCTTCAGACATCAGTTAGACAATCCTCACTAGGATCTTTGTCTGCTGAAATATAACAATTCAAAAGGAGCAAGTGGGGCTTAAATGCTAAGGGCTAATCCTGCCAGAGCCATTTCTTCCTGGACCACCTCTTATTTTAAAGCAGCCACCTCTTTCATCACTACTACATTCAATACCTCTGCTCCAAAGCCTTCTATTCTTAGACCCCATCTTAACTTCTAACTCAGTGTCATCTCCCAAAGCTAGATACCCCTGCTTATCAGGCACAAAGATGGGCTATGAGACAGACAGTGGCTCACTGCTGGTCTGGAAGGGCAGGTGTGAGGCCTGATTCATCACAAGCCCAGCCAGGGATAGTAGATGTTACAGATTAGAGAATCAAGGACCCAAATGGAACCCAGATGACTACATACCCTCCTTCCTCCGAGATGTCATCCCTTCCTGACTTAACAGCTCCTCCAATCTTTGTAAATATTCATACAGCACAAATTAGTCATGTGCTGTGTAACCACGATTTGGTCAACAATGGGCTGCATATATGACAGTGGTCCCATACGATTATAAGAGAACTGAAAAATTCCTATCCTCTAGTGACGTAGTAGCTGTCATGATGTTGTAGCCCAATGCATTACTCACGTGTTTGTAGTGATGCTGGTGTAAACAAACCTACCACACTGCAAGTCATAAAAAAGTCTAACACATGCAATTATGTACAATATGTAACTGATAATGAAATAAATAGCTATGTTACTATTTTATATATTTACTATGCTACACTTTTTATAGTCATTTTAGAGTGTACTCCTTCTGCTTATTTTTTTTAAAGTTAATGTAGAACAGCCTCAGGCCGGTCCTTCAGGAGGATTCTAGAAGGCATTGTTATCACAGGGGTTGACAACTCCACACATGTTATTGCTCCTGAAGACCTTCCAGCGAGACAAGACGTCCAGGTGGAAGACAGTGATATTGATGATCCTGACCCTGTATAGACATAGGCTAATCTGTGTGTTCATGCCTTTGTTTGCTTGTTTTGTAGAGACAGGGTCTTGCTCCATCATCCAGGCTGGATTGCAGTGGCAGGATCACAGCTCACTGCAGCCTGGAACTCCTGTGCTCAAGTGATCCTCCTGCCTCAGCCTCCTGAGTAGCTAGTACTGCAGGCATGTGCCACCATGCCCAGCTAGTGTGCTTTGGTTTTTAACAAAAAAAGTTCAAAAAGTAAAAAAAAAAATTAGAAATAGAAAAAAGCTTAAGAAATGGGGATCTAAAAAAGAAAATATTTTTGTACAGGTGTATCATGTGTCTGTGTTTTAAGTTACGTTATTGCAAAAGAGTCAAAACGTTTTAAAAATTTAAGTGTATAACGTAAAAATGTTACAGTAAACTAAGATTAATTTATAATTGAAGAAAAAAAATTTAATAAAATTAGTATGGCCTAAGTATTCAGTGTTGATAAAGCCTGCAGCAGTGTATGGTGATGTCCTGGGCCTCCACATTCACTCACCACTCACACAGTGACTCACCCAGAGCAGCTTACACTCATGCAGGCTCCATTCATAGTAAGTGCCCTGTATAGATGTACCATTTTTTAAATCCTTTATGCTGTATTTTTAGTGTACCTCTTCTATGTTTAGAGACACAAATATTTACCATCATGTTACAATTGCCTACAGTCCTCAGTACAGTAACATGCTCCGCAGGTTTACAGGGTAGGAGCAATAGGCTACATACACCATATACCTAGGTGTGTAATAGGCTCTACCACCTAGGTTTGTGTAAGTGCATTCTATGATGTTCACACAGTCGACTAACGACACATTTCTTAGCACTAATCCTCCAGGTTAAACAACGCGTGACTGTACTTATCTTGTAACAAGTACAGACTGACGTGATCACTGGCTCTGTCAAGGATCCCAAATAAAGATTTTTACAAGCTGTGATGCAACAAGCACAGAGATGGGCAGGGAAGGACATAAATGAGTTCATTACTCAGCCCGGCGTGTTAACTTCAGTCTTGTGACTCATAAGACAGTTCTTCTGTTTTACTAATTGCGGTGTATTTATTGCCCTTCTCTCTTCGCTGACTAACTCAGATGTGTCAAACAAAAGCAGTGAGCCTCCTGTTCCCAGCAACACAAACTGACTTCTTCATTCCGCCCTGCAGAAACAGCTAAAATTTCTAGTGCATCCAATTGCCTCTGCCTCTTCATTTTACCTGACTCTCTGCTACATTTGGTGGCATTAACCTCTTCATTGGCCAGTGGTCATCGAGTTCCCACCTCATGCCCAACCCTGTGCCAAATTTCAGCCAATAGTGGTGCAGAACATGGCCACTGAATGTCAGGAGTCCACAAGCTAATAGAGAAACAAGTGAATAAACAATCACAAGGCATGGAGATGCATCCTGTTCAAGGGAGGGCTGGAATGAATAAGCCCTACTATTTGATAGCACAATAGGATGACTATAGACAATAACAACTTAATTGTGTATTTTTAAATAACTTAAAGAATGTACTTGGGTTTTTTGCAACTCAGAGAATGTTTGAAGGGATAGATACCCCATTCTCCATGATTAACTTATTTCACATTGCATGCCTGTGTCAAAATATTTCATGTGCCCCATAAATATATACACCTACTATGTACCCACAAAAATTGTTAAAAATTAAACAATTAAAAATTTAAAATAACATAAAGGGAGGGCTGGAAATACCATGGGAGTCTGGAGGAGGCACACTTCTGCTCCTGACATTAGTGGCATGCCTTTGGGTGGATTCTCTTTCGACCTCTCCCTCATCATCCTCACTCTGCCCTTTTTGCATTTTGTCTTCCCCTGCGGCCCTTTGCATGCTGATGATCCCCCTATGTCATTTCCTGCCTTCTTTTCTTTTCACTTTATACATTTTCTTTCAATGATCTAATCCATTCCAAGGCCCAACTGTCACCTTTACACTGGCAGCTTGTAAGTCTGAATCTCTCTTCTGAGCTCCAGATCCACATATCAGCTGCTTATTCGAGTTCTCTGTAGACTCCTCAAATGCAACCCGTCCAATACTGAACTCCTTCTGTGTACCCCCATCTCTCCACACTTTACTCCTCACAGTTTCTTTTCACAGTGGATTATACCAACCATGCCAGTTAGAAATCTCCCTGTCATCCTGACTCTTCCCTGGCCCCCATCAAGTGATCATCATTACATGTTTTCCCTCTAAAGGGTCTTTTGCATTCACCCTTTCCATCCTGCTGCTCACTTACCCCACAGCAGCTGATGCCCTCACTCTCTCCTGCTTGGACCATTGCAGTAGTCTCCAGGCCCGTCTCTGTCCTTTCAGCCTCAATAGTGCTTCACTCCAATCTATGAGCCATATTGATGTCAAAGAAATTGGCCCAAAACCCAAGTCTAAAACCCAGGTCTCCCATATTTAAGACCAGTAGAGAGATCTCACTTCCCATAGAATCATGTCAGAGCACCTTAGCCTGCCTTCCAAGCCCTCTCAATCTCTCATCCCTTTACTCTCTCATCTCCTCCTCCCCGTCCCTCTAGTTACCAAGCAGCCCCAACAAGAGGCCACAAAACCCTCCCTATAGCTCCTCCACATTTTTATGTGTCTCTTCCCAACAGTTGGGAAGTGCTAACCCACATGCCAACCTCAGTCCCCTGCTTGATAAATTTCTGTTTATTCTTTAGGGTCCAGTTCAAAACTCTCTTGTTCTCTGAACCTTCTCTGACCCAACTACACACCATTAATTACCCATTTGCTACTAGTGATAGTTGTACTGAGCATACTGCTATCTGAGAAAACAGTGGATGTGAGGGCAGTGGGTGCATTCTTACAGCAATTGGGTCTCTCTTAGCCTGTGTTATAATTTCCCATTTGAATGTCTGCCTCCTAGCAGGACACTGAACTTCTTCAAGGCAGAGGCTGGGTCTTCTTGTTATTGGGATCCAGAGAACAAGGTGCATCTCTTCCATCCAGTCCTATATGGCCCCACACTCTCTGATCATCTCCAACCAGCAGCCTCGTAGGTCCGTCAGACTCAATAAGCCTCAAACTGAGCTCAATGTCTTCCTCACCAAATGCTCCTTTTCCTGAATTCTCTATCTTGGTTAGGTGGCAATCTCCAAACTGAAGGTCATTTTGACTCCTCCCTCAGGCCTATTTTCTGCTCATTTTACTTCCTAAATATCTCTCAAGTCTGCCCTCCCCTCCCCTGCCACCAAGATGCTACTTCTGCCTTCAGTGACTGTCACCTGGACTACTGTACCAGCCTCCCCAAGGCCGCCAGCTTTGTGCTCACCTTATGAGAGCCCTTCAGAAATTCTCTTTTACTACTGAAAGAAAAGTCCCCATCCTGACTACCAGGCTGGCCCCACCTCCTCCTGCTACTGGCCTCCACCTCAGGCTCCAGCCACACTGAAGCACCTGCGGGTCTTTAAACACACCATGCTGATGCTCACCATCACGTCTTTGATGGTGCAGACCCTCCTACCTAGAATGCCTCTTCCATGGGATGCTCCGGGTCATACTGAACACTAAACATAGGTATCCCCTTGGTCTGGTAATTTTATCGGATTCTTCCCCATTTCCTCAGATTGGATTAATTCCACCTACTCTGTGTTCATAGTCTCCTGGCCATGTCACTGTTGTTGAGCTTACCACAACATTCTACGCTCCTTGGGATCAGGAGCCATATTGCATGTAATAAGTGCTCAATACATGTTGATTAAGTGAACATATTTTGTTAAAGAAGTGTCTAAAGGTAGAGAAAATGAACTGGTGTGATTATTATGCCAGATGCCTTCAATGCGTCACCTCAATTAAGTTGCACAGGCACTCCACAGGGCAAGTATTGTTGTTTCCATCCATATATGATTGAGGAAATTAAATCTTAAAGAAGGTAATCACCTGGAGGTGGAACAGGGATTCACATCCACATCTACACTCCATCCCATGCCCTTTCCCCACTCTGTGCTATCTCCTTCACTAGCGCATCAGTGGCAAGTTCCCACCCTTGGAAATCTCCAGAAACCAAGGTGTCCCAGCTTTCCCGAAATCAAGACACCCTGTCCCACTCCAGTTGCTTCTGCTACTCTGCAAATCTCCTCCTTCATCTCCACATGTCTGCAGGCGTGGAGCTGAGCATAAGCTTTCTCTGCTGCCGTATCATATCACAAACTTCTATCTAATTTGCCATTCCCTCTCTCCCTAAGGACATATTTATGTTAGTACTTTAAAGGCAAGCATCTCTCCATGAAGTAGGCTGAATCTATTTTTCACTAGCATTTGCATTATGGGAAATACAGTCCTTTATATATTAACGAGTAATTTCTTTGCCCAATGGAGTTCAAAATTCAATAAATGCTATTTAAGCTCAAGATCCCCCACTTGTAGGTCAGAGAGGAGCCTCATGAGGGTGGGAAGAAAATTCCCACGTATTTCCTTTTCCTCTTCCCTGACCTCATGCCCTCTGTGCCCTGTGATATCAGTATGTTCAGTGCAGCTATCACTAGTAGTCAGCATGTCAGCTACACTTTCTAGCCCCTGGGTCCAGGTGGCCTCAAGACTCACACCTCCAAAAACTCGTGGCCATCTCTCGATGCCTCCCTGTGCCAAAGCCCATCAAACATCTCCCCATTGGGCTGACATCCCCCGGCTAGAAAGGTCATTCCTCTGAGTTAAGCATTGCCTAATTCTTCTGTCCTCTTTTAAAGTGGAAATTCTCCATGGGGTCACTCATACCTTAATTTTATCAAGTTCATTGTTTCATTGTGCAAACTAGGTCAACCTGTTGTTTGAACTTGGTTTGAGGGTTTTAAAGAACATGAGGCAGAAAGCAAAGTGCTTTGTTTTTGTCACTACTCCAAGCTTGGCACTTGCTGGTGGGGTGGGAGAGGTGGACGGTGGGCAGAGCGAGAAGCTGCCTTGATCCACACTGGGAGAGAGTAGACACCTCACTCTCAGGCAGACCACATTCCCCCAGCTCTGAGTGCAGGACTCTAGGGCACTTAGAAATATTAGTCCCGGTCTGTTCTCTGCATCGAATAATAATTCAGTAAAATCTCAATTAAAACCAAGTCATAAATCACATTTAATGTTGCCCTGATGGGTCGAATCTAATATGCCAGGCCTATTAATCATTTGCCAGGCCCTGGAATCCCAGCCTCTATCCTCTGAGGATTCAGGGGTTAAGTCCCATTTCTCCCACCTCTGCCACAATTTAATCAGACCCCAGAGAGCAAGGGCCAGGGAAGTTCGGGACTGTCTCCTGTCCCAGATGTGGAGCTTGGTGGCTTGGATACTAATGGGGAACCCAGAAGGAAAGAGGAGCCCGGATTCCTACCCAGGCTAGTTTGTCTACTGGGTGTAGAACATGCCAGATGGAGGGTGGCAATGTGTAGGCACAGGTTGCAGTAGGCAATCTGGCAGGTTGAACAAGCTCTCCACAGCATCAGACAATGCCAGGTGGTCCTTCTGACAAGCACTGGGCATCAGGGATCTGAAAGAAGCAACAGCATTTCCTAACATGAAAAGATCAATAATGTGGAGTCCCCAGATAGGGAGCTGGTAGACACCCTGGCTGGCCCAGAAAAAAATGTGGCCATCGATGGCAGGGCCCAGTAACTGAACAGAGATCCAGGGCCAGGACTTCAGTCTCTTGCAAGGGGTGCTTGTTCCAAGCCCAGAAAGACTGGGTCAGCAGCACACAAATCTCCTGGGAAGACGGAAGCACTGCAGGTTTGTCTAGTTTAGACAGAAGCCAAGTGACCAAATGGGGAAACTGAGTTCTACATATCTAGAACTGGGGAACAAGGGGTCTTCCCTGATTTTTCAGGGGACTCTGAGAGACAAATTGAAAACCATCAGAAAAGCAGAGGCTGAAGAATGACTAGAACATGAGATTTGAATCCAGAGACTGGCATTTGATTCCTAGCTATGTGACCTTAAGCCAGGCACTTCACCTCCATGAGCCTCAGTTTCCATATGTATAAAATGAGGCTCATAATATTTAATTCACAGGATTGTTTTGAGGATCAATGGAGAGGCACGTAATAGCATCCAGTGTGATGGCTACATAGGGTGATGGAGCTCAGTTCCTGAAAGTCTATTGTTAGTGCACCACAGGAAAGACCAATTCCACACAGCAAGTTCAAGAGACCAGAGGCAGAATGGAGGTCAAGGTTGCAGAGCCAGGGTCCAAGTGGGTAAAACAGATTTAGGGTATGAAAATGTAAGGACCAAGCAACACCTGTCTCAAGCTACTCCACACCACTGTGGGACCCCAAGAATGTTATATCAACCAGCAGTTACATTAACCAGCAGGTCTGCTTATAAGAGGAGGGGGGCTTGAGGGACCTGAGCTAGAGTGAGTGTGGGCAGATTGCCACACTGGGCTTGCCTTTGCGGGGCCAGTGATGGTTCTAGAGGTTAGCCTGGAACCATGAGCAAGACTGCATCAGAGCAAGGAGGAGGTGGAGCTCCTGGATACTTCTTCACTCCCTCTGTTCCTTCCTCCTTTCCTTTCCATCTTCCTTCCACATATATTTCTGGATTCCCTACTATGTGCCAGACATGAGAGGCTTGACCCTAAGAACCTGGAAAGAGCCTGACTGCAGGGATGAAGAGACTGGGAAACAAGGCCCTGCTGACTCCAGGGGAAAAGCAAGCATCTTCTTACTTCTGAAAGACCTCATAAAAAAATCCCATAAGGACACTTAGCTGCTTTATGATCAATATGCTTGAAAATCTACTTAAGCATTTGTCATCAAGTCTCATTCTGTGCCATCAACTGGCACAAAATAATAGCTGGCATTTATCGAGCACTTATCGTAAGCCAGACACTGAACTTAAAAGTTTCCATGGGTTGTTTGTTTTAACCCTTTCAACCTAGGAGTTTCAGTAGCATCATTATCCCCATTTGATAGATAAGGAAACTAAGACCAAAAGAAGGAAACTTGCCTGAGATCTTGCAAGTAATTGGTAGAGCTGGGATTATAGGCTGGCCGAGCTTTTTAACAGCTGTGTGTTATCAGACTTCTGGCCAGGGCTGGTGGACTCCTGCTCAGTTCTCCATGATGCCTGGGTGGATGCCACCTGGCTTATGGGCAGGAGGATATTGATGTTTTGAATTGAAACCCCAACAACTGAATCTGTATACTGGCTTTCCAGGCCTGCTCAGGCTCAGTGCCCACTTAGGAACAGGCAGGGCAGGATGAGTGCCTGTGAAAGCTAACAGCCCTCTCTCTCTCCCCTCCAAGACAGGCAATACCCACTCTCTAGCAGCGAACTGGTGGTGAAACTCCTTAAGCCCTGCATTTTCAGTGTCCCCTCCAGGGTACTAGACCAGGAAATAAATAAATAAATAAATATTGTCAATGACTGGGACTGGAGGCAGTAGAATATAAATAAATGTTATCTATTAGAACGAGCATTTTCTGGCTACTGTTAAAGCAATATGACAGTGGAAGGTCTCTAAAGAGCTGCTTTTCTGCTCTAGAAAATGACCTCAGCTCACATGAACTATTGTTCACTTATACTTACAACCTTTCTGTTCATAACCTTTGCTCAGCCAATTGTTAAGGAATAATCCAAGGCACAATCTAGCAATTTCCCGGGTGCCTGAACGCCTATGTTCTGGGTGCTATTACATCTGAGGTGTGCGTCTTTTCCAGCAGCTTCTGACCTTCTCATTGCTAGTCCCTGCTTCTTTATTTCTTCTAGCCCCTTTGGCCAATTTCTCGTCTTCCTTGGAGCTGGCAGTGTCTTATAGTTTTGTATCATCTATTGTCTTTATTAATGGGCTTCTTGCTTTTCTTCAAGATTGTTCACATTTCACTTACCACTTTAATTCTGGATATTGAATTTCTGAAGCCCTGGGGCTCCTAGGACAAAGGTTAACCCATGTCTATTTAACCTGGTGGGGAAAATGGATTTGCCCCTCATTCAGAAGTGCTGAGTTTAATGCAATTGGGCTTTGTCTTATTATCAAATAATTCTTTTCCTTGATTATTCCCCTTTCAGTTCAAGGCTTTCTATTAAGTGTTGAGGAAAAGAGATTTGTGGCTTAGATCCTGTGAGGAAAGTGATTAGTCATGTGAGGATCAAGGGATCAACTCTTCAGTATTAACAAGCTTATGTGATAACCACACATTCTTTTTGACAGCATATCCATGGTTCAGATTCAAGAATGCTGAGGTTAAAACAGAGAAGAAAAGAACATCACTCCTTGGCAGCCTTCTGCTTTATATACATAAAGCAGATAATGGAGTTGGTTATTGACTCCATTGGAATCATATATTCTGTGGTTGTTTCCCCAGCAACCTTCCTTCATTTCTGCCTTGCAGCAGAATCCCAGTTTGGTTGAACTGTCTGACAGTAGTTTAGCTTGTTCCTACTCTAGCCTCTAGTGGGGAAGGGGTAATCTTGATCAATCTAAACCAGAGATGGTAACTCTGTTCTCCCTTGCAAATAATTGTCATGGAAATGGGCATATGGCACAATTCTGGACAATTAGCTGTGAAGCAGCTTTAGGGAACATTTTCACATCTTAAAAGGGCTACGAGAAAGGGAAACTCCTTCTTACTTCACTTCCAAACTTTGGACATTGCTGGGTAAGGATATGATAAGTGGAGCTGTGTAAATTACTCTGGAATCAAGAGGCACCTAGGCTGAGAATGAAAGTCAACATAATGAGAATTGTCAATGTGAGAAGACAGAAATAACCTTATTCCTGGATGTTGCATTTAACTGCTAAATAAACTGACTTTGCCCACGCTGTGGCTTTTGACAAGTTCATACATTGAAAGGGTGGTAAAAGAAGAAAGAGTGGTGGTGCTGGCAAAAGCATACTTATAAAGCACACTCAACAAGTGTATGCAGTAAAATCAGGAAGGGGCTGAAATCTCTGGAAAAACGGAATCAGGAGCTCCTGCTGAAACCTTCAAGTCAGTGGTATAAGGAACCTAATGAGGCCCTATGTAAAGGTCACCTGCTGTCTCCAGGACACTTGCTTGGGACTCTAGGCTCTCTGTGGGTAAAAACAGATATAGAATATTTTAAGGTGGAGATTCTCCAGTGCGATTCAGAGAAAACTGACCTTCTGCTCTGGCCCCTGACTTCCAGAAAGTTACTGTTGGCCTGTTCTTCCTCTAATAAAAGCACAACACAATTCGACATTCTACAGAAACAGTTTCTAAAACACGCTCTCTCGCTATGTCCAAAGGATAAAAAGTATCTTATTGGCAAGGCAGATTATTAACCAAAAAAGATCTCCACCACAGCAGGGTGCAAACTTTTGCCCCTCCCTTATAGCCCTTTCAACCATTGCTCATGTTCTCTGACCAGCTGGCCTTGTCTTGTTGCTGTATGTCTGTGGGTGGTGGTGGAAGGGTGTTGTTATCATTGACAGGGATGGTGTAATTTGCAAATCATCACTCACCTTGTCAGGATAAATTAACTAAGTTTTAAGGCAACAAGGACATTCCCACACTTAATCATCATTATGATTCCAGAACTAGTTCCCAGTGAACCCAAATATTGAGACTGCTTGTTTTACTGCAGAATCCAAATACACAAAATTAGCAAGATCAGCTCTCAGAGTGTCGGCTGCTGCCAAATAAGAACTCCGGAGAATGCCTGTGTATATTATTAAATTGTGCATAATGAGGGTGTGTGTCTAGAAGCTGGCTTCTGTGGACGGGCACATCTTTATCTCACAGGCTGTGACAGCTTGTTTGAACCAAAGAGCACATTTTGATTTTTTCTCCCTCCCCGTTTATCAAAATGTTTTCGGTACACACAAGAAGCCTGAGAAGACTGATCTTTGACTCATGTCAGCCTCATCGTTTCCTTCATTGTTCAAGTTGCTTCTGTGTTTTCATTAGAGTCGGCATCAAATCAAACCCATCCTTGTTTGTCATCTTCCACATACACCAAATAGGGAACACTTCTACCTTTATGTGACCTGATGAATCCATGCAACCTAATTTAGATGAATTACTGAACCCCAAAAGGACTAGAAGTGAACATATTTTATAATCAAAGGAGAAAGTGAGCAGAGCAACTGGACATTCTCTGGACAGCTATTGCATTTTAGGTCCTGGGATAGGTGCTTTCAAATAGGATCTCATTTGAGTCTCAAAACAACTCTACATTATAGGCATATTACATCCATATTTCAAATCTGGAAACCAGGGTTGCAGAGTAGCGAAAGTAGTTCGCCAAGGTCGTGCTGCTATTAAAGTGACAGAGCCTAGACTCACACCAGTGTTCTTCTCAATCCCAAGTCCTCGTTCTGCCTAGAACACCTCCCTGCAAAGGATAGAAGAGAAAAAGCAAAGGCAAGGACAAACCGAAGGCCCAGGACATGTGAGAAGAAAAGCAAAATAATCTAGAAATAAGGAACTATCAGAAGGAAACTATTAAGAATTCATAGAGGTAGAAGGAAAAGGTCTCATTGAAAAGAAAACTGGAAATTGACAGAAAAAAATAGTGAGCAGAAGCAGTAAACACCTGAAAATATGAAGAAGTAAGATTTTCCAAGAGATGTCACAGAAAGAAATCGAAGCCAAAGATGGAGGATGAAAGTAACATTTAAGATAGATGTAGAGATTTCGTTTTCTGTTCTTTCATGGAAAGTTCCTTGGAGGTTATTTGAGTAGAGAACTAAGAAAGGGCCCCGATAAAACCATGATTCAGTGCTGACATTAATGTTATCTAATTTTGGGGGAAGTGAATCTAATATTTAAAATTTTAGACACTCTCTCACCCCTTGGAGTGATTTCTTAAATCTAAAGGTGAGCCAGGGGAGGTAAAACATTTTGTTGGGAGCAAAAGTCATCCCTCCTGTGAGGTAAATTGCATCTTTCCGGACACTGAGTGCTATAAATCTTAGTCCCAGTAAATTGCAGCCACCAGCTGCTATGAACCCCAACTGCAGGTCAGTGGCTTAAAAAGGCCACTGGATCATGACTCTCCAGAAATGCAGACCCCTGCAGGGTGAAAATCATTTCCTGGGGTTTCCAGGTTGTTTCACCCATCCATCTGGGACCAGGAAGGGAGCGATTCTTGAGGCTTTGAGTAATTTTTCACTGAAGCAGAGGCAAACAAGCTGAATAGCAGAAGCCCTCTCCCACTGGGAATGCCCTTCTGGCTTCAGCCATGCAAGCATGCATCAGTGTGTGCACATACATGTGTGTATGTGTGCACACCCATAAGTGCATGTGTGCATGGATGCATATGTGCACACATATATATGAGCATGTACATGTGTGTGGGTGCATGTATGTGTGTGTGCATCCATGTGTTTCTGTGTGGGTACTCCTCAACCCCCCTTACACATACCAACAAGATCTCTGTGGAAGTGCCTCTAGAGAGGTAACTTTGAGTAGTAAAGCACTGGCCTTAGAGTCAGAAAACCTAACTGCAGCATATTTAGAGTGAATTCTTCCTCTTACCCTTTGCCACCTTGGACAAGTTACTAAACTTTTCAGAAGCCCAGTTTGCTCATCTATGAGATGGAGTAACAATTCTTGCCTCATTATCGTGAAAATTAAATGAGGTCACATTTATGAGGATACTTTGTAAGCCAAAACACATTGTAAAAACACAGGAGTTCTCACTGTTTTTGTGGCAGAACAGAAAGTAATATGTGATGATCCAATTACTAATATTTCAGCATGAGTCCGGTGTTCATCCCCTTGAAATCTAAGGGCTGACTGGAGAGACAACTGCAGAGAATCAGGTTTTCCAATATTTGGGTTCCTCTTCCTTCTTGGTGGGAGTGAGGGACCTCCTGTGGCCTTGCGTGCATGTCTCTGTATTTTTCCAAAGCCCAGTGGGTCTCTTGGACTTGCTTTGATGTTAAAGAAGCTAGCAGAAGGTAGCAGAGAGCAAGACCTTCAAGAAACAGTTTCCCTGGTCACTCTACCTTGGGCACGTGTCACTTTGCTTCCCATTTCTAGGAGCCCAGAGCAAGGCAAATCCTCCACCTATCTCCTGCCTCCCCTCTCACACCTTCACTGAAAGGCAAAGGATCCCTGCCTCCAGCTCAGGGGAAAAACCAGATTAACCTTTCTGACATGACAGCAAATGTTAGCAGTCTGCCTTGCTTTTCATAATGCCAATCTGGGCACCAGTCAGTCACCGTCTGTTAGAAATACAGAGAATATATGTCAAAACTCACCCACACATGCTGAATCGGAAAAGAGCCGTTATTACTGCAAACTCTATATACATTATTTATCAAATGAACTCTCTGCAGTAGGAATACAATTCATTTCTACTCTCTCTCTCTCTCTCTCTTGTTCTTTCATTTCAATAGGAGATGAAAGAAACCATTTATAGAATCTTTCCGGGCATTACTCATGTGGCAGTATTGCTGGCTAGGGTTTGAAGTCAGAGCTGTCTATTGCCTGAAGGGAGTGGGCTGCTTTGAGTGGGAGAGAAACAGCCCCTGTCTGCCAGACTTTCTCAGGCTCCCCTCTCCATGGCCACCACTGCTGCCACCCCACCTCCTGGAACTGTGAAGAACTGGATCTTCCTTCAGATTGCCAGACACACTTGAGGAGGTGGGAACCTTGGTTCAGAGTAAGGCCAATTACTTAATGCATTTTCTTTGTAGCATTGGCCTTAACAAATTGTCACAATTTGGGGAAGGTGTTCTCAATAGGTTTGTTTAGAGTCAAGACCAGCTCCCACTTGGCCTCACATTAGAGAGCAGGAGAAATAAATCTCTTACTCATTTTGCACTGGTGTGAGCCTTAAAATGCAGATTTTCATAATCATGTTGGCTCAGAGGTTAGGAGTTTTGCCTGGTGGAGATGGCAGTGGTAATGGTGGTAGTAATAATCTTGGAGGTAATGATGACGGTGGCAGAGGTGATGGTAGCAATGGTGATGGTGTCAGTAATGATGGTAGAGGTGATGATGGTGGTGGTCGTTGTGATAATGGCATTGAGGGAATGGTGGTGATGGTGGTGGTGATAATGGCAATGGGGGAGGTCATGATAATAGTGTTGGTGGTAGTGGTGGAGGTGGTAGTGATGGCAGAAGGGATGGTGATGGTAATAATATTGGTGGTATTAGTAATGATAGTAGAGGTGATGATGGTGGTGGTCATGGTGGTAATAGTAGAGGCAACAGTGATGTTGTTAATGATGATGGTGGTAGTGGTGGTGGTGATGGTTTGGTTGTGTGGTTAACGTGGTGGTGATGGTGTTGGTGGAGGTGCTAATGGTGGTGGTGATGATGGTGGTGGTGGTAGAAGCGATGATGACAGTTGGAGGACAGTGGACATGGTGATGATCATAATGCTGACAGTGATGGTGATAATGGCCGTGGTCTGTGTAACAATATAATCTTTGCATTCAAAATATTTTTTCTTAAGGAATAGGACACCTCTTTTTAAAGAAAGCACTTTGCTCCTATTTCAAATCAGACCTCTGTAAAACTGTTTATCTGAATTCCTGCCCAAATTTGTGTATCACAAAATAGAGGTTGCAAAATGAAAGTTCCATTTGTGAGGGAGACTGCCTGCTGGTGTCCAAAGCACTTTCTTGACTTTGGGACGAGGTGTCCTGACCATCCTCTCTTCTAAAGGCCAAATCTTGCTTACTCTAGACCCCAGCTCCAGCTCACCTCCACAGCTGTACACTGTGGTGACTCCCCTCCTCAAACCTTACTCATTTGCCTTAGCTCATATATTGCGTTAATTATTATTTATTTTAGCTTGTGTATATGTTTGACCTCCCCAACCAGATTGTAAGCTCCTTGAAGACAGGGTGCATGCCTTGTCCTTCTTAAATCCCATACCCTTTGAACAAATATATATATTGAACAAATGAATGAATGGATTGATGAGTAAATCTATGGTGCTATTATTAACTCCAGAAAGTACACACAGCATAATGGTTTACACAGTAATCATAACATTAATTTGAGCATAAAGACCTTCTAATGACTTGCAAGAAAGAGGGAATTTAGTTACTGCTACTACTACTACAATAGCTAGCATTTACTGCTACTACTGCTACAATACCTAGCATTTATGGAGCTCTGCACCAGGCTCTGTGCTCAGCACTTTACACACATTATCTTCATTAATTTTCACAACAATCCTGTGAAGTGGGTACTATTTCCCCATTTTACAGATGGAAAACCTAGGATCAGAGATTTTGAATAATTTGTATTATTTGGTTAACGATACTCACTTTCTATTCAGACAGACATGAGTTTAAACAACAACTCTGGCGTTTGCCAGTTGCATGGCTTTTATGATATCAATTTTTGTTCCTGGACCTCAGTTTCTTCATCTAAGAAGTGGGGAAATAATACTTAACTGTACGAAGGAGGATTCAATGAGGAAAACCTCTTTCTGTTTTATAAATATATACCTAATAAAATTACAAATTATAGCTATTGAATGTAATATTGTTAGATGTATTATACACACATACATGCATATCTTTTCTCAGTACCCAAGACAAAGTAAGTGCAATGTCAATAGTAGCTCTTTTTTCTTTCTGTTTTTTTGCTTCAAGGTCTCCTAGCTTTGAAGTGATGAAAACACATTCATTTATAGATCTGGTGTAGAGCCCATGTTCTCACACACCATAGATTCAGCCCCAGAAACGAGCTATTTCCCTGGGCACAGTGGGTGAGTAACAGAGCATCTTATCTAGGAGTAAGGATGCCACATGACCAAACCAGACAGGCTGGCTTGGCCGGCCAACTCAGTGGTCTACCACCAGGCCACGGCTCAATGTCTTGCTTAGCAATCTGCCTGCATGTGGCCTGATGGCTGTAGCCTGGGATGCCACCAATATCTTTTATAATGCCTATGGGCGCTGTCTATTGGAATGGAGCCCCTCCCAACACATCCTAGTGGTTGGGGCAGCATCTGCCAGGAGTCTGATGGTTCAAGTCTCCCTAACCGACCAGTAGCCGGTGCATGGTGGCTCTGGGGGCACATTTCTCTTCTGCTGTTCTACCCAAGTGTTAAAAATTAATTTAACTCTGATCGCACAGACAGGGGAAAAGTTAATAGAAGTTTTATTTTTAATATATGAGGAACCTTAACAGGATTTAAGCTTAATGCCTCAGAAATGGGAAGGACTGCTGACAATTTATCTACCCGAATCTGCAGACTTTAGAGGAGAGCTAAAGAAATGGAAGAAGTATTATTCCAGCAGCTAGAGGCAGGATTGAAATGCCCCCCACAGCAATTGGGAGAAAGGCCAACAGTCTGCCAACCTCAGAAATTGACTCATAAATTGTCTAAATCCTCAGTTTCCCCTTACTGCCCTGACCTCCGGTTTTCTTGGCTATCCAGAAAATAGATCATTTCAACTTTTTTAAGATATAATAGAGCTTGTCACTTAGAATCATAGAATTTTAGAACTGATTTCTTCTAGCTATAATAATTTATGATACTAAGAGATGTGGAGGGAAAGTTTATAACAGAAAATTGTGCTGAACATGGGCCATACATTTTGTTTTAGACATGGCTCTAGGATGTTTTCAAGAGCTGCTAACTTAAAAAAAATCTCTCATGCAAAACATTCTTCAGTACACTTAGGCTGAACTGCCTGAACTGTTCATTTTGAGACTATATTTCATTAAGGAGGCCAGTCAACTACTTTTACTTAGGAGATTTATTAAGCACCGTCTAAGTGTCAAGCATTGTTGTAGACATTCAGGGATGCAGCAGCAAATAAAACAGTCAAAAATCCTCGCCTTTGTGGAACTTGCATTGTAGTGACGGGACACAAAAATATTAACAAAATAAATAGTAAATTACATAGTATATTAGAAGGTGATGGATACTATAAGAAAAACAAAGCAAGGAAGAAGTGAAGACTATGGGAAGAGTCCGCTTTAAATAGGTTGGCCAGGAAGGCCCTTCACTCAAATAACATTGAGTGAAGACTTGAGGGAAGTGAGGGAACAAGTCATGTGACCTTCCAAAGCAAGAGCACCCTAGGCAGAGGGACCTGGAGGTACAGAGGGGCTGGGGCAGAAACTTGCCTGGCGTATTCAGGAGTCATCAGGAAAGCTAGTGTGGCTGGACTAGGGTGAGCACGGGTGAGCTAGTGAGCTCAGGGCAGATGCAATCAGGCAGGTACAACAGGCCTTAGAGCTGGCACGTAGGTGAGGTGACCACACATCTTGATTGCTCAGGACAATCCTGAATTAGGTCTGTTCTGTTGTCCTGGAAGAATTATTAATAGTGCCCCCGTTCACTCTCAAAGCACCCCAGTTTAGATGACAAATTATGTGGTCCCTCCATATGCAGGTCACCAGTAGGGTGACTCCGTGGGAGTTGGAACCCAGTGACAGGACCCAACTTTCATCCTCAAGGACCTACTCTGGCTGCCCTGTTTAGGAGGGCCTGACAAGGAGCCCAGGTGGGAGTAGAGAAACTATTTCCAAGATCATTGCCAACCTCAAGTTCTTGCCTCTCTTCCTCGAATGTCTCCCATTTTGTCTGCTGGTGAACTCCAAACAACCCTTCTGGCTTTTCAGGATGTCATTCAAATGTCTCCTCCTTCTGAAGACTTCCCTGACATAGTCCCACAGTCCCAAATCCTCAAAATATTAAAAAGTGCCTTGACTGATGTGTTTTCCACTTGGTTTTCAAATCTGTTATGATGTTTACACATTGTATTTACTTATTAATAGCATGCCTGCTCCTACTGCTAGACAGCAAGGATCTTTCTTTTGAAAGGGGAAACGCCTACTTATTGGGGCCCTATAAGAAGCTAGATGCTTTGTAAGGTTTTTCGTTTTTCATTTAAAATGCACATTAATTCTAAGGAATATTGTATCGGCCTTGTTCTGATTATCAGTGTAACAAACCACCCCAAAACTTAGTGGTATAAAATAACAGCCATTCTATTATGCCCACAGATTCCATGGGTGAGGAGTTTGAACAATGCAGAGCAGATGTAACTAGCTGGTCTCTGGGTAGTAGAATGGCCGGAGGCTCGGGCTCTTGGGGACCGGAGGATCTGTTTCCAGGATGGCTTCTTCATGCACATGTCTGGCCCACTGCTGGCATAACTCACAGGCTGGGATTATCAGCATGAGTGTGACCTCTCCAGCATGGTGGCTTATGTAGCGGCTCAGCATTCCTGAGAACAAGGAAGAAGCTTCATTGCCTTCACAATGTAGCCTCAGAAGACACAGAACATCACTTCCTCCATCCTCTATTAGTTGAAGCAATCACAAGCTGCTCAGATTCAAGAGGAAGGGATATAGACCCCACCTATGATGGGAGGAGCAGAAAAGAACTTGTAGCCATACTTTAAAGCTGCCCGTGTTCCCACCGTGCAGATGAAGAAACCAAGCCTCAGAGAGTGTAAGATACTTGTTTAAAATCATTCAGCTAAAATACAATGGAACCAGACCGGCATGGTGGCTCACACCTGTAATCCCAGCACTCTGGGAGGCCGAGGCGGGTGGATCACCTGAGGTCAGGAGTTCGAGACCAGCCTGGCCAACATGGTGAAACCCCGTCTCTACTAAAAACACAAAAATTAGCCAGGTGTGGTGGCACATGCCTGTAATCCCAGCTACTCCAGAGGCTGAGGCAGGAGAATCGCTTGAACCCAGGAGAGGGGAGGTTGCAGTGAGCCGAGATTGCGCCATTGCACTCCAGCCTGGGCAACAGAGCGAGACTCTGTCTCAAAAAATAAATAAATGAATGAATAAAACACAATGGAACCAATACTCCGAGGGCTCTGCTGGACTGCAGAGCACATGCTCTTTTTATCTTATCTGAATAGCTGTTGTGGGAAAGAGAGAATGTCTTAGTTCTACCACCCTATGTTTAGCGTAGAGTTTGGCACACTGTGAATGAATGGATGAATGAATGCAGTATGGCCAGCAGCTCCTGAACATTCTCTGGCCTCTGCCTGTAATCTGGATGAATGATTCTAACAATGGGAATTTCACACACTGTGGCAAGAAGCGTGGAAGACATTTAGGAGCATGGGAGATGTTTTGGATAGAGCTCTGTCTACTAAAACCCTTTTAACAACCCCAAGAGACAGACAACTAGACCAACCCCAACAGACAGACAACCAGACCCATTTAGAAGATGGAGAAACTGAGGAACTGTTGAGTGGCTGCAACAGTACTAGGCCTAAGCACATCTTCCTTTGCCTGTGAGGACAGCAGGGCCCCATCTCTGGAAAAAATTCACCCTGTCCACCCCTTTCTCACCACCTGGCTGACCTTTTCATAAAGGTGAAATATGGCTAAAATGAAAATGTTTCACCCTTGATTTAAAAAAATAAAAACAGCCAGGCACAGTGGCTCATGACTGTAACACCAGCACTTTGAGAGGCCAAGGCAGGAGGCTCACTTGAAGCCAGGAATTCGAGACCAGACTGGACAACAAAGCGAGACATAGTCTCTAAAAAAAACTTTTTTAATTAGCCAGGTGTGGTGGTGCATGCCTGTAGTCCCAGCTACTTGGGAGGCTGAGGTAGGAGGATCACTGGAGCCCAGGAGGAGCACAGGAGCTCAAGGCTGTGGTAAGCTATAATCACGCCACAGCACTCCAGCCTGGATGACAGAGAGATGCCTTGTCTCTGAAAAATAATAATAATAAAATAATAAATAAATAATTAAAGTTTAAAAACCAAAAAACTGCAAGTTAGAAACCTAAGCTCACATCATGGCCCTTTGCAGAAACCTGTGTGTCCCCAGAGAGGTCCCCTCCCCTCTCCGGGCTCATCTTTGTGATCTAGTACCTGGCAGTCTGTGACTCAGTTGCTTCCCTTCCACATCTAACTTTCTATGGCTCCAGGGGACAGACCATAAACTTCTCTTTCCCTCAGCCCTCACACCTGGCTCAGCATCAAGTCTGGCTCAGCTTTATTTCCAAAACACGTCACCAATCATCCGGATGAGGCATTAGTGGGAGTTTCTGCCCTATTCTTGCAACTTTTCTGTAAGTATCGTTTTCATCCTTTCCTTTGTCTCTCTAGATTCTCCACACAGAAGGCAGGGTTGTCTTTGGTTCTCTTTTGTCTTTTGTTTTGGTAAGAGATATATAAAAATAGATACCATTTTAACAATTTTAAGTGTATAATTCACTGGCATTAACTATATTCACATTGTTGTACCACCGTGACCACCATCTGTCTCCAGAACTTTTCCATCATGCTGGCTGCATCTCTGCATCCATTACACGGTAACTCCCGCTGCCCCCTGTCTGAAGGGCTTCTCTCCCTCCACATAATGACTTCACGGTTCATCCATGTTGTAGCATGTGTCAGAATCTCCTTCCTTTTTAAGACTGAATAGTATGCTATGGTATATATATGCCACATTTTGTTTTTCCATTTATCCCTCAATGGACATTTGAGCTTTTTCCACCTTTTGGCTATTGTGAATCATGCTGCTACAAACAGTAGTGTGCAGGGTCATCCTTTAAAAATACAAATCAGTTCCCGTCACTCTTTACTCCCTTACAGTTCTTCCAAACTTCACAATTTAAACTCTTTTCCCTCATCCACTAGGCCCCACAGGTCCCAGCTTCTGTCACCTTTGTCCCCCCAACTTCCCAGGCTACAGCCATGTGAGCCTCTGCCCAGCTCTCACACACCCAAAGCATGGCCTGGGAGGGCCTTTGCACCAAATCTTCCCCAGGCCTGAGTGTGGCCAGCTCCTTCTCTCCATCCAGGTCTCTGCTGAAATCCCTCCTCCTCCGACAGCCGTCCCCCCGTCCACCTGGGTTGCAGCAGCCCCCTGTGCCCATGCAGTCCCCAGGCCCTGTTTCCAGGGTTTATTTTCTTTGTAAAAGTTACAGCCCTGATATCCTATCACATTACTCTTGTGTATTGTCATTTCCCCCGCTAGACTTTCGAGCAGGGCGCTTTGTTCACTGCTGAGCCTCAGAGCCCAGAACAGTGCCTGCACACAGGAGGCATTCCCAATGCTTGTGGGATTCCTTAAGTCTGAATATCTGATTTGACCATCCAGAGTGAAAGTGTAGCAGAATAGAGGGGTCCTGGGACCTCAAAGGAAGCTGACAGAAGGGAGGCACCGGTGCACGATGCTGGTCCCCATTACATTCTCACCTCAGCTGCTAACTTCTGCTTCCTCTCTTTTGGCTGCTGCGTTGGTTGCCCCTGAGTGGGAGCCTGGGACAGAGAAACATGTGGCATGGCACAGCACACTTGACATAATACCCAAAGCACATGTCCACTCTCAGCCACGTCAGGCTTTGTATTCCCAGAGAGCTCAGAGATGACAGGTAAGACCTGGCTGGGTACAACCAGAGCAATTCGTTATAGAAGTACAGCCAAGTCACTGAACCATATAACATATAAGGAGAGAACGCATTAGTCTGTGTCTCTCCAACGTTCAAAATGCTAAGTCATTTTTCAGGCTTGGCTTGATTTCTCTTTCATCAGTAAGAGCTACAATCCTGCCAAGCTGGGAGCAGATAGCTCTACCTGCTGCTGAGATAGACGGGCTCCATAAAGGGCTGAGGGAATGCCAGCCGCCGCACTACTTTCAGCAGGTTCCACATGTCTGCTCCTCTGGGACGGCGTATCCAAAAGTGTCTCCCCAATCCTAGTCCCACAGTGACAAAATCCCCTATTGGAGAGATGTAACTGAGGCTTCCCCTGCAGGAAGCCACATGGCATGGCAGAGCACCAGACTGGAGGCCTGGAGGCTGGCGGCTGGCTTCTAGATCACCCCTCTTACTAACCAGGTGCCTTACAATGAGAACACTTGGACACAGGAAGGGGAACATCACACACCAGGGCCTGTTGTGGGGTGGGGGAAGGGGGAAGGGAAAGCATTAGGAGATATGCCTAATGTAAATGACGAGTTAATGGGTGCAGCACACCAACATGGCACATGTATACATATATAACAAACCTGCACGTTGTGCACGTGTACCCTAGAACTTAAAGTATAATAAAAAAATAAAAACATTAAAAAAAAAAAACTAACCAGGTGCTTTGAGCAGGCTTTAAATCTCTTTGGGCCTCAGTTTCCTCAAGTGCAAAGGCAGGCAATTGGGCCAGATTATCAGGCCTTTGTAGCTTGGAAATTCTAAGTTTTTGAGCTCTTTGGTCAGATAAAACAAAAGGTTGCAATGAGAGGAGAGGAGAATCACAAATGCCTTCATCCCCTTCACAGTCTGCCTTGCACCAGCTTGTAGTGGGGTTGTATAATCCAAACTTCAAGCTAAAGGTGAATTTATCTGTGTGAGAAAAAAAGAATGGTGGAGGAAATTACTCCCCTTCCCCTAAAATGAGCAGTTAACAATCTGTGGGATGTCACAGATAGATGGATGCAACTTAACTGTGCTTTCAGACCCCAGTGCTGCAGATGGTTTCTCAGGACCCCCTAGATTTTTATGGGCCCTTTTAGGAAGAGCCACTACCCCTAACTGCTGTGTCCCACACAACCCTCCTGGTCAAGGTCCATATTTCTATGAAGGAAGCTTTCATTCATTCATTCATCAGACAAAATGTGCTGAGCACTTAAACTTTGTGCCAGGCACTCTAGCTACAGAGAAAGAAGATACAGTCTTTGTTCTCTCGGAGCTCACTGTCCAGAAGACAAGTAAAACAAGTAAACAGGGTGAAAGACCTCTCTGGTGTGATACATGTTATGAGCTATCAGCTGTCTAACAAGCCACTTTGGGAGCCCAGAGCAGAGAACTTAACCCAGCACTGGGAGAGGTCCTCGGCTATCAGGGAGGTCTCCCTGGAGGAGGTGGTCCCTGAGCTGGGTCTTAGAGGATTCTACCTAAATATCTCCATTTTTGTCATTGCTAAAGGTTAAGATCAGCTGACAGTTGCAAGGGACTAGGGCTTGAGGTGAGGGGTGAGGTTCTGAGGGGAGAGGAACAGAGAGAGTGACTGTGAAGCCCCACTTGGGGCCCTGCTGAATCCAGAGACCATGAATCTTTCCTGGCACCAAATGACAAGATTGGAAGTTTTTCTCCCCATAGTGCCAGGTAAGGAAGAGGGTCTATCGGTGGAGTGTTGGAACTTTTCCAGAAGATGCAGTAAATGCATAAGACAGTGAAGGAGCTGACCCTCCTCCAGGAGAGTAGTTTGAGTGGCAGGCCCAGGACCTAAAGCCAGATGGTAGAAGGAAGGGAAGCCAGGTAGAGGTGGACTGAGGGAGAAAATAGGCATGGTGGGACAGTGAGCCTGCACTACAGGATGAGCAGGTGTCGCAAAAGCAAAGCATGATTGTGCTGAAGGTGGCTGAGAGGCTGCAGGTGGAGTCCATCTGTGATCGGGCAGAAAAACTGAGACTTCTGGGTTACAAAGAAGGAAGGCTTGGGGAGAGAGGCTCAAATCTCAAATGAAAAGTGGCAGGATTTTCCTGGCCATCTTAACTCAGAGGCCTCTCCTCCCTCCTGTATGAGCAGGTGAAAGAAAATCTCTTCAAAAATCCAGCCCAAGTCAGTTGGGGCCCAACATGCTAACCATCCCATGGGATCCCCATGCTTCTTCTGACCTGTTGGTAAAGTCTCAGTATTTCCTTGTAGCTTCATCTTTTTAGTTTCTCCCTTTACCTTAATCTTTACTAACGCCTTTCCAGGGACAGGCAGCAGCCATGAATATCTAGTCTTCAGGACTATTCATTTAGCAACTGACCCAGTACCAGCACAAAATGACTCATAACAGGTCTGCAGAACCACTGAATATATTCAAGAATCTAGCATGTGCAGAGGAAGAAGAAAAAGAGGAAGGAAAGGGAGAGGAATGATGGCCCTTAAGACATCCTGTGGGACTAGCCCACCCTTGAGATACTCAGAGCCTGTGGTACCCTGGGAATTTCTGTGGGCAAGTGTGTGTTTGTTTGTATGTGCATGCACACACATGCATCTGTGTGTGCACATGCATGCATATGTGTTTGTGTGTGTGAGAACAAAGGAGGAGCAGAGCGCCCTGGGAAAAATGTTTTTTACCAGCTGATTCTATGGAGGTCTGCAGATGTCATCTAATCAAGCTGCTTGGGCAGATGGCAATTCCCACACAGTGCTCCCTACAACTCCAAGTGGTCTCTACTATTGTGGATAAGACAGTTCAGAGTCTTTGCAGAACCTCCCATAATCTATTACCATGTAAATGTGTCCGCAGGTGGCAATGCCGGTAGGCTGATACTTGGGTCAGATGCCAGGACCTACAGAAAAATAATCGTGTTAGATTGGAGCCAGGTCTTCCCTGACTCAAGGAAGGACCAAAGTGAACAACATTGACCAGACCACTCTTCTGTGTTGGTGCAGGATCAGACCAGACCTGTTTTTTGGCATGGAGGGAAGCAGGACAACTCAGAACCACATCCACTCCCTCCCTGTGCTCCCCTGCCTGCCTTTGGAATAGAAACAGCCCCAGGCTAAGTCCTATACCACAGGTTTGCTGGTGGACTTCTAGTGGTCACGAAAGTGAATATCGGAAGCCTTGAACCTGGAAACACTGCTACCCACCTGGGAGGGTGTGTGGTTGGTTGGCTTCCTCCAGTGGCTTCTGGTTGCCTCCACAGCTCGAAAGCTGAGCCAGCATACCTAAGTGTCTATGTGTTACATGTGAACATTAACCTTGGCCTAGTCTGAGGTGGATAGAGGAGCACAGTGAGCTGCTGACCACCAGACTGGGAAGTTATAAAATCCCTGAAGGCGCCGGGCACAGCGGCTCATGCCTGTAATCCCAGCACTTTGGGAGGCTGAGGTGGGCGGATCACGAGGTCAGGAGATCGAGACCATCCTGGCTAACATAGTGAAACCCCATCTCTACTAAAAATACAAAAATTAGCCAGGCGTGGTGGCACACACCTGTAGTCCCAGCTACTCGGGAGACAGGAGAATCACTTGAACCTGGGAGGTGGAGGTTGCAGTGAGCCAAGATTGCACCACTGCACTCCAGCCTGGGTGACAGAGCAAGACTCCATCTCAAAAAAATAAAAATAAAAGTAAAATCCCTGAAGGCTACTTAGAGCAGGATGTGGGAGGTAAGATAAGGCTACCTACCAGGGCTCGGGGGCTCACCTAATCAGAGAAGCCAAGTTTGAGGAGAAGAGTACAGGTGGAGGTCACTGGGTGCTGCCATGGCTTCCAAACCACCTCTGTTCATGGGCTGGGGACAGTGAATCCGGAAGTCTATTTTCTTTTCCTAGTGGAAAGCAATGAGCAGCGTGACACTGATAGTAATAATAATAACAGACAACATTTATTGAGCCCTTTCTACATGCCAGGCAGTGTGCTAAAGGTTTCTCACGGATTATCGCATTAAATCCTCATAACAACCTCAAGGAATAGGTACATAATTGGTCCCACATTACATGTGTTGGAATGAAATTTGGTGATATTAACTGAGGAATTTTCCCTTGTTGAGCTCCACACATCTCCCTGACCACACGGAGCTAAGGCCTTCATTGCCTCAGGAGCCACTGTTTGCCTACAAATAGAAAGGATACAAAATCAAGAATAGAAAGCAACTAACAACAACAACAACAAAAAAGAGACAACACAGAAATCATGTTTCCAAAATAGGCATTGTAAAAGGCACAGCAGAGGCAACATTCTTGAGGTCCCCCTGCTTCTGATTCACAAAAGGACCAAGACTTTTCAATTTGCTGATTTATAGAGAAAATGTTTCCTAAGTTCCAAAAGTTTGACTTTATCAAGAGTCAAAAGCAGAAGGAACTGAATGCCAAACGTGCTAGCCATAAACAAGGGCCGGGAAGAAGGCAGAACAATGAATGATGTAAGACCCATGCCTTTCCCTCCTTCCCGCTGCCCACCCTCCAAAAAAGAGCAGGAATAAAATCAGAGAAGGAGGAGTGGGGAGAATGGGAATGAAAACCTTCAGAGAAGCAGGAGGAAGGCCGAGAAAGAAGAAGAACAAATCCACTGCTGGTGTGGGGGACTAGGAAGGGACCAGGCCTCTCCCCTCCCCACCCCCTCCTCACCCACTCCTCCCCTGACTCCATACCACCCCTACTTCCAGAAGATAGAAATCCAAGTGAAGAGTGAAAGATCCCAGATGAGGGTGCTGGGCTTGTGTCCCGGGGGCAGTGTGGGGATGGTTCCGAGCATCTGGAACACACACGAATATGCGTACACACATGCACATACACGCAAACACACATGCACATGCATATAACATACCACACATATATGTAAACATAACACATATGCCCATACACATGATTACACATACACACGTACACATTTGCACATACATATAACACACATGCATACAACACACATACATGCATGCCCATTACATATGAATACACATATGCATACACATGTACAGACACATGAACACACATACACACAACAAAAGTCCAAGGCAGCCACACCCTGAGTACCTCGCGGGGTGGCTGGTCCTGCAGGCTATCTTAGGGCCATCATTTTTCTCCTTTTTCCAGCTGACCATGACTTACAGGTCCCTTGCAATGAGCACCAAGAACGAGATTTTTTTTGTTTTGCTTTTTTTAAAATTATACAAATAATTTGGGTTCATTGCAAAAAAGTTAGAAAATATTGATAACAAAAGGAACAATTAAAATTTCACCCTCCAGAAATGGCTACTATTAATAATGTATGTGTTTGTACATATCTGTCGATGGATCTATACATATGAGTTTTATCTTCATAGCAATATAGCTTCAGTTTGGTTTTTAAATCAGATAGAAAAAGATGAGAGCCATAAATTAGACTATGTCACCCATAACTACAAGGCAACCCTTATTTCAGAAATTTCTATCTGGTCCCAGGAAACTAAAATAAAGAAAAAATAATAGCCATTTTGTGGATGGAACAATGAATCCCTCAAAGGAAGATGTGACAGAGCCCCGCTTCTGACCCAAGGATTTGGTACAGAGCCAGGTCAGAGCCCAAACTCTGGTTCTGATGCAGCAGTTCCCTGAGTACAAGCATCAGGCTCTGAGTGGCTGAGCTGTGATTCTCTTGCTGCACTCAAACCAAGAACTTCGTTTGTGTCAACATATGTGCAATGCCTTCTTGCAAAATGCCCTGAATTAGAAACCCTCCTCTCGGAATCAGAAAATCCTGCACTGAGGAGCAGGAGGGGCAAATCCATCCATAAGAAAAAAAGAGCCACAATTCTTTAGACCTAGATAGTTTGGGATCAATAACCAAACCACAGTCTTAGACAAGAGTGTGAAAAGATTTAAAAAGCCAGACACACAGGAACCGTGTGTTTCCCATAATGGCTCGAATGAAATTATATCGTCCAGAACATTTTAAAAGCAATCAGCTTATTTTGAGCAGAGGCACATAGAGGCTACTGATGTGCACTGTGAAAACTCAATAAAGGGGAACATCTAATGAAAACAGATACAACGTACAACTGCAATCATAGGTCATGCATGAATTATTAACCTCGGGGAGTTTTCTATCAGTTCTGGGAACTATGGATTGCATGAGTGGTATACAATTTGGGAAATATTGGTTCTCCATTTCATAACAGAGAACTTGAAGCAGGAAATGTACTTATTTCTTCTTTAAATATATACTGTAATTACCAGTCGGCAGTGACTAAATGTTATTATCCATCTGTTGGCTGCTCTGGGACCTGTAATGAGTAAACCTTAGCAGGTTATGCCATTTTCTGCAGCACAGATGACTGCAGCTTGTACATGCCTGTAAAGTCAACACTTTTTGTGTTGAATTTATTGTTGAAAATTTTCACAGAGAGACCAAGAAATGGAAAAAAAAATCCTTGAACAGGTTTAAAACTTCTGCTCAAAATCTTTTGATGAATTCTCATTGTGGTCTGCATAGAATCTAATTCCTTTGTTTGGCTTACAAGGCTTTAAATTATCTGGTATCTGATCCAACTCTCTCCCCAGCTCTGTCTCAGGCTTCTTTTTTTATTTTTTATTTTTTTGAGACGGAGTCTCGCACTTTCCCCCAGGCTGGAATGAAGTGGTGCGATCTTGGCTCACTGCAACCTCCGCCTCCCAGGTTCACTCTATTCTCCTGCCTCTGCCTCCCGAGTAGCTGGGACTACAGGTGCCTGCCACCACACCTAGCTAATTTTTTGTGTTTTTAGTAGAGATGGGGTTTCACCGTGTTAGCTAGGATGGTCTCAATCTCCTAACCTTATGATCCGCCCACCTTGGCCTCCCAAAGTACTGGGATTACAGGTGTGAGCCACCGCGCCCGGCTGCCTCAGGCTTCTTACTGCCTTACTAACTCTGCCATGCTAATCTTCAAAAATCTTCCAAAGCGTCAGATTCGCTCCCCACTCAGGGCCTTTGCACAGGCTTTCCCCTCTCCCTGAGTCATTCCTTCCTCTGTCCCCATACTCTCTGCATGATTTTTGCTTTATCATTTCTTCAGGTCCCGGATGAAACATCACCTCCCCAGCAAGGCTCTGCAGTGGTATCCAACAGCAGCCTGTTGGTTTTCTCCAAGTCATCAATTACAATTTAGAGTTGTCTGGTTGTGTGGCTTTACATGCTAGGCCTCTGTCTCTCCCATGAGACAGCACAGCAGAAACTGTGCCTGTATTATTTACACTGTAATTCTAGCCATAAGAATGCTACTTGCCATCTTGAATGAATGAGTGAATAAACCATGGTATTTGTTAATTCTGGGATGTGGTGTGTGAAGGACAGGTTTGAGTCAGGACCTAACATATTTGTAGGAACCAGGGCTCAGGAAGCTCTGAGCACAGACCAAGGAGTAAGGAACCCAGTGGTGGGCCAGCCACACTTCCTGTACCTGTCATGCACCTGTTCATGTGCACCTCTTTCTTGGCATGTCCCCAGATTCCGTTCAGCTGATCCAAATCCTTAGACCATTTAAGGCCTCCATTGAGTCTCGCATATTCCTTTAAAGGGGTCTTAGATTTCTCGGTCACGAAATCAAGAGGCTATTTAAAACCCATCCTCATCTTGCAGGGGTCCCTCCTCTCCTGATCAGCACAGCCATAACTCACAATGTACCACTTTGTTATATTGTCTCTATCAGATGCCTCGGCTTTGTATGCTGGTTTTAATTTTCCTATCTGGTTATAAGTATTTTGACTGGAGTCTCTGATTATGGCATAATTCAGAAGTTGGCTGGGGCCTCCCTGTCCCAGGAGATCTAGATTTAATGGACACAGACCACCCCCCAAGTCCATGGCCAGATGAAGCCTAAAGCTCTCCCATAAACACAGTTTTATAAGCCCCTGTGCCTTAAGCCCACATCAATTAGAAATCCAGTCCTTGATTAGATTCCTCTGCAGATCTTCTACCCCAAAAAATCAACCCCTAACCAGAGCATTTGTAGGGACAGTAAAATTTTCTGAAGGTTTTAGAAGTACAAAGAAGGAAATCACTTCTCAAACTAAGGAGGAATCAATCTCACAATCCATCTTTTTGCATTGCCTTTTCTTTCTTCCTTCCTTCCTTACTAACTCATCATCTTCTTTTCTCATGGACCCTCCCTCCTCTTTCTTCCCATCTCTCTATTCTCCCTCTTTCTCAAGGCCAAAACAAGTCTCTTTGGTTCTGGCAGAGAAATGTAGTGATCACCTATAGAAACTGAAACATGTACTGGGGCTGTCTCACCCTCTACCCCAGAGCCTTAGCAAAGCTATTTAAAAACTTCTCACCCCAGACTACAATCTTGCTTCAGTATCCCCTACAGTCCCAACCACAGAGCTAAGCACACAGAAGATGATGAGTAAACACTTGCTAAGCATTGACTGGAAGACCTGACTGGCCTGGGAGCCTGGGGTATAACCTAAGTATCATGAGCAGTTAGTAGAGGTAGGGCATCCTAGGCCAGGATTCACGCCTCGATCGTCCTGCTGTGCAAGGTAAGAGTGACATTCTCCAAAACTATAAGGGTAGTACCATTCAGAGGAGGAAATTCATAGTTCAAATTAAAATAAGATGGCAATAAAGTGAGACACAAATATCTAGTTGTAAACGCTGAAGGGACTTAATCAAGCAAAAGGGCACAGCTTTTCTATTGCGGCATAAAGTAAAGACATTTTTATTACTCTGGCAATTGGCAGAAAAAGTCAAATGACTTTATGGGGCTTTTTCTAAATTACCTTTATTAATGTATGTAATATTATTGAAAAATTATACTACAGGATAAATGTTCCATTGAGCTACAAGTTGCCTGCAGGAATGTGCTGTAAATATACAAGGGTGAATATGTTACTATCTTTACAACCCATTTCACACTTATTACAGCCTTCTAAGACCAAAATAGCACTGAACACTTGGAAAAGTATGGGTATTTTACAACAAGGTATACAATATAGGTAAATTTGTGGAGCCTGGAAATATATCAACTGTCTTTGAGTGTGACAACCTGTTTTGGAGTTGTCTCAAGACTACGTTCTCCTAGATCACTTGCACCTTTCTGATATGTTGACGTTTGCTTTGAGAAACCCATTCTGGCTGATTTGAATAAATATGGTCTCGGGCAGTTGACAAGACTTTTCCTATTTATTATACTTTAATGCTTGGAAAGAGAAGAGCTAATGGCTGAAGCATGCCAGGGCAGATGCAGGGGAAACATTCTACTCTTCTCTCTGGTTGCTCTGTGTGCATCTATCTCAACAGACAACACCTCTAGTCATGGTTTGGGGCTTCCAAATGCAATCTCTGTTTGTGTCTGAGTTGGCCTTGAGACCACCTTCTCACTCTCAATCTTCCAATAATCCAGTCAATATAATTTCAGAGCCCTAGGATTGAACATAAATGCTTCAAGCCATCTCTCTCCAGATCTTCCACCCTCTCCTCAGGCATGACCCTAGGACCACTTCACTTCCACTTGCTTTCATCTTGCTCCTACTTAAGCCCCCTACCACTTTTGTGATCCAGAGCCAAACTGATGGGGGGTCGTCTTGTCCTAATTTATGAGACTGGTTTACATGCCCTGCTTCCTGCTTTTCACAGCAAATTCTATGAATTGCTTGAAAGAGAAGGGGGAAGAGAGGGTGCAAAAGCCAAGTGAAAAATAAGATATTAAAAAAAGGAGGTCAATGAGGCAAACTAAAATTGACTGCACTATCTACCAGCTGTATTCCTCAAGAGCCCCTGCTAGGGAGAAGATAAACAGGGAGCCCCTCTGCAGATTGAAACCACAGCAGTCCCAGAGACTCCACCATCATCCAACAGATGCCAGCTTTTCCCCCTCTGTTACCACTGCAGCTAGCTTCAGGTTGGGAAGACTTCCAAATGCAAAATATGTCATGCTTCTACATAACTTTTCATTTCTGTTTTTTAGTAATTCACACTCCTCTTCCTTGCTTATCTAACCCCCACCACCTTGGTTTTTAGATTTTTTTAAGAAGCCTTTCCTCATGTTCTTCTGTTGGCAATATGATATAGTATTAGGAGCTTTTTGGGCTAAGTCACTGAGAAATAGCTGGTCAGAAATCATCAGCTGGGAAGGCAGAACAGGACATGGTCCTACTCAGGCCAGTTTTAGGACTAGGTAGATGAATTGTAGTGATTTCTATAATGTAGCTCGAGGGGCCACCTAGACCCCCCACCCACAACACACACACACACAGCTGTGCTGGTCATCCATGGACCTGACTTCCCACAATCTTTTGAAAGTATCTGTATTTTTATAGCTGGCAGAATGTTGTCCATGTCTATAATAGGGAAGAACAATAATCTAAGATGAATTTGCTTCTCCTTTAATATATATATAGTACCTGGTATTATTAACAAATATTTAAGTTGGTATAAAAGTAAGCATATTTATAACATACATACATATACATATAAATACACTATATGCATACACTGTGAAAGCACTCATCTATTATATTTTTAGTCAAAACATGTTGTTTTCTATCATGATATCCCCTCTTCTCTTTTTGCACAATTCCAACAAATGTTCTGAACACATAAAACAGATCAAAACTAGAGTGAAATTACACCTCCAAGACAGACAGAAAAGAAAACCAAAACCCTAATGTCAAGTCATTTGGCAGACCTGCAGTTCACTTATTTACCAACCTGTGTTAATGCCAACCATGTGCCAGGCATCATGTTAATTGTTGGGGACAAGAAGGTGCCACAGAGATGAATAAGACATATGCTCTCATCTTCATACTCAGCTGATGACCTGGCTTCTTATTTCTTTGAGAAAAGGAAGCAATCAAAAGAGAAATTCTATCACCCCCACCTTTTCATCTACCAATCAGCTTGCCTTTATGGCCATATACAGTACCTTCCCTCTCATGGCTAGGCTTTTATCTAAAACCAGCCCCCTTCATTTGCTTATTGGATCTTATCCCCTCTCTCCTACTTAAGGACACCAGTCCACCAAATATCCTCTCTATTCTGTAGCATATATTTTCTCTGTTCTTAAATCATTTATGACTTCCACATTTTCAAATCCAGTGGTCAGCTCTCAGTCCTCAGACTGAGGATCTAATAGGACTAACAGATCTTACTGAATCTATTCTCAACTCTTAACAGAACTGAATCCTCCCCCGACACTGAAACATGGTCTTCACTTGGTATCAATGAATCCTCTCTTTTGGTTCCCCTCTCACTTCAATAGTCCCTCCTACTCATTCTCCTTTGCTGGGCTCTCGTCATCAATGAGCTCTCTTTCTCTTTTTTCACTTTTTTTTCCTTTATTTTATTTTATTTTATTATTATTATACTTTAAGTTTTAGGGTACATGTGCACAACATACAGGTTTGTTACATATGTATATACATGTGCCATGTTGGTGTGCTGCACCCATTAACTCGTCATTTAGCATTAGGTGTATTTCCTAATGCTATCCCTCCCCCCACCCGCCACCCCACAACAGTCCCCGGTGTATGATGTTCCCCTTCCTGTGTCCATGTGTTCTCATTGTTCAATTCCCACCTATGAGTGAAAACATGCGGTGTTTGGTTTTTTGTCCTCGTGATAGTTTGCTGAGAATGATGGTTTCCAGCTTCATCCATGTCCCTATAAAGGACATGAACTCATCATCTTTTATGGCTGCATAGTATTCCATGGCGTATATGTGCCACATTTTCTTAATCCAGTCTATCATTGTTGGACATTTGGGTTGGTTCCAAGTCTTTGCTATTGTGAATAGTGCTGCAATAAACATACCTGTGCATGTGTCTTGATAGCAGCATGATTTATAATCCTTTGGGTATATACCCAATAATGGGATGGCTGGGTCAAATGGTATTTCTAGTTCTAGATCCCTGAGGAATCACCACACTGTCTTCCACAATGGTTGAACTAGTTTACAGTCCCACCAACAGTGTAAAAGTGTTCCTATTTCTCCACATCCTCTCAAGCACCTGTTGTTTCTTGACTTTTTAATGATCACCATTCTAACTGGTGTGAGATGGTATCTCATTATGGTTTTGATTTGCATTTCTCTGATGGCCAGTGATGATGAGCACTTTTTCATGTGTTTTTTGGCTGCATAAATGTCTTCTTTTGAGAAGTGTCTGTTCATATCCTTCGCCCACTTTCTGATGGGGTTGTTTGTTTTTTCTTGTAAATTTGTTTAAGTTCCTTGTAGATTCTGGATATTAGTCCTTTGTCAGATGAATAGATTGCAAAAATTTTCTCCCATTCTGTAGGTTGCCTGTTCACTCTGATGGTAGTTTCTTTTGCTGTGCAGAAGCTCTTTAGTTTAATTAGATCCCATTTGTCAGTTTTGGCTTTTGTTGCCATTGCTTTTGGTGTTTTAGACATGAAGTCCTTGCCCATGCCTATGTCCTGAATGGTATTGCCTAGGTTTTCTTCTAGGGTTTTTATGGTTTTAGGTCTAACATTTAAGTCTTTAATCCATCTTGAATTAATTTTTGTATAAGGTGTAAGGAAGGGATCCAGTTTCAGTTTTCTACATATGGCTAGCCAGTTTTCCCAGCACCATTTGTTAAATAGGGAATCCTTTCCCCATTGCTTGTTTTTCTCAGGTTTGTCAAAGATCAGATAGTTGTAGATATGCGGCATTATTTCTGAGGGCTCTGTTCTGTTCCATTGGTCTATATCTCTGTTTTGGTACCAGTACCATGCTGTTTTGGTTACTGTAGCCTTGTAGTATAGTTTGACGTCAGATAGCGTGATGCCTCCAGCTTTGTTCTTTTGGCTTAGGATTGACTTTGCAATGAGGGCTCATTTTTTGTTCCATATGAACTTTAAAGTAGTTTTTTCCAATTCTGTGAAGAAAGTCATTGGTAGCTTGATGGGGATGGCATTGAATCTATAAATTACCTTGGGCAGTATGGCCATTTTCATGATATTGATTCTTCCTACCCATGAGCATGGAATGTTCTTCCATTTGTTTGTATCCTCTTTTATTTCATTGAGCAGTGGTTTGTAGTTCTCCTTGAAGAAGTCCTTCACATCCCTTGTAAGTTGGATTCCTAGGTATTTTATTCTCTTTGTAGCAATTGTGAATGGGAGTTCACTCATGATTTGGCTCTCTGTCTGTTATTGGTTTATAAGAATGCTTGTGATTTTTGCATATTGATTTTGTATCCTGAGACTTTGCTGAAGTTGCTTATCAGCTTAAGGAGATTTTGGGCTGAGACAATGTGGTTTCTAGATATACAATCATGTCATCTGCAAACTGGGACAATTTGACTTCCTCTTTTCCTAATTGAATGCCCTTTATTTCCTTCTCCTGCCTGATTGCCCTGGCCAGAACTTCCAACACTATGTTGAATAGGAGTGGTGAGAGAGGGCATCCCTGTCTTCTGCCAGTTTTCAAAGGGAATGCTCCCAGTTTTTGTCCATTCAGTATGATATTGGCTGTGGGTTTGTCGTAGATAGCTCTTATTATTTTGAGATACGTCCCATCAATACCTAATTTATTGAGAGTTTTTAGCACGAAGGGTTGTTGAATTTTGTCAAAGGCCTTTTCTACATCTATTGAGATAATCATGTGGTTTTTGTCTTTGGTTCTGTTTATATGCTGGATTATGTTTATTGATTTGCATATGTTGAACCAGCCTTGCATCCCAGGGATGAAGCCCACTTGATTATGGTGGATAAGCTTTCTGATGTGATGCTGGATTCTATTTTCCAGTATTTTATTGAGGATTTTTGCATCAATGTTCATCAAGGATATTGGTCTAAAATTCTCTTTTTTTATTGTGTCTCTGCCAGGCTTTGGTATCTGGATTATGCTGGCCTCATAAAATGAGTTAGGGCGGATTCCCTCTTTTTCTATTGACTGGAATAGTTTCAGAAGGAATGGTACCAGCTCCTCCTTGTACCTCTGGTAGAATTCAGCTGGGCATCCATCTGGTCCTGGACTTTTTTTGGTTGGTAAGCTATTAATTATTGCCTCAATTTCAGAGCCTGTTATTGGTCTATTTGGAGATTCAACTTCTTCCTGGTTTAGTCTTGGGAGGGTGTATGTGTCGAGGAATTTATCCATTTCTTCTAGATTTTCTAGTTTATTTGTGTAGAGGTGTTTATAGTATTCTCTAATGGTAGTTTGTATTTCTGTGGGATCAGTGGTGATATCCTCTTTATCATTTTTTATTGCGTCTATTTGATTCTTCTCTCTTTTCTTCTTTATTAGTCTTGCTAGCGGTCTATCAATTTTGTTGATCTTTTCAAAAAACCAGCTCCTGAATTCATTGATTTTTTGAAGGGTTTTTTGTGTCTCTGTTTCCTTCAGTTCTGCTCTGATCTTAGTTATTTCTTGCCTTCTGCTAGCTTTTGAATGTATTTGCTCTTGCTTCTCTAGTTCTTTTAATTGTGATGTTAGGGTGTCAATTTTAGATCTTTCCTGCCTTCTCTTGCGAGCATTTAGTGCTGTAAATTTCCCTCTACACACTGCTTTGAATGTGTCCCAGAGATTCTGGTAAGTTGTGTCTTTGTTCTCATTGGTTTCAAAGAACATCTTTATTTCTGCCTTCATTTCGTTATGTACCCAGTAGTCATTCAGGAGCAGGTTGTTCAGTTTTCATGTAGTTGAGCGGTTTTGAGTGAGTTTCTTAATCCTGAGTTCTAGTTTGATTGCACTGTGGTCTGAGAGACAGTTTGTTATAATTTCTGTTCTTTTACATTTGCTGAGGAATGCTTTACTTCCAACTATGTGGTCAGTTTTGGAATTGGTGTGGTGTGGTGCTGAGAAGAATGTATATTCTGTTGATTTGGGGTGGAGAGTTCTGTAGATGTCTATTAGGTCCACTTGGTGCAGAGCTGAGTTCAATTCCTGGATATCCTTGTTAACTTTCTCGTTGATCTGTCTAATGTTGACAATGGGGTGTTAAAGTCTCCCATTATTATTGTGTGGGAGTCTAAGTCTCTTTGTAGGTCACTAAGGACTTGCTTTATGTATCTGGGTACTCCTGTATTGGGTGCATATATATTTAGGATAGTAAGTTCTTGTTGAATTGATCCCTTGACCATTATGTAATGGCCTTCTTTGTCTCTTTTGATCTTTGTTGGTTTAAAGAAGTCTGTTTTTTCAGAGACTAGGATTGCAACCCCTGCCTTTTTTTGGTTTTCCATTTGCTTGGTAGATCTTCCTCCATCCCTTTATTTGAGCCTATGTGTGTCTCTGAACGTGAGGTGGGTTTCCTGAATACAGCACACTGATGGGTCTTGACTCTTTATCCAATTTGCCAGTCTGTGTCTTTTAATTGGGGCATTTAGCCCATTTACATTTAAGGTTAATATTGTTATGTGTGAATTTGATCCTGAAGTCCTTAAAGGACCTGATGGAGCTGAAAACCAAGGCAAGAGAACTACATGACAAATGCACAAGCCTCAGTAGCCGATTCGATTAACTGGAAGAAAGGGTATCAGTGATGGAAGATGAAATGAATGAAATGAAGCAAGAAGAGAAGTTTAGAGAAAAAAGAATAAAGAGAAACAAACAAAGCCTCCAAGAAATATGGGACTATGTGAAAAGACCAAATCTATGTCTGATTGGTGTACCTGAAAGTGACGGGGAGAATGGAACCAAGTTGGAAAACACTCTGCAGGATATTATCCAAGAGAACTTCCCCAATCTAGCAAGGCAGGCCAACGTTCAGATTCAGGAAATACAGAGAACGCCACAAAGATACTCCTCGAGAAGAGCAACTCCAAGACACATAATTGTCAGATTCACCAAAGTTGAAATGAAGGAAAAAATGTTAAGGGCAGCCAGAGAGAAAGGTCAGGTTACCCACAAAGGGAAGCCCATCAGACTAAGAGCTGATCTCTCAGCAGAAACTCTGCAAGCCAGAAGAGAGTGGGGGCCAATATTCAACATTCTTAAAGAAAAGAATTTTCAACCCAGAATTTCATATCCAGCCAAACTAAGCTTCATAAGTGAAGGAGAAATAAAATCCTTTACAGACAAGCAAATGCTCAGAGATTTTGTCACCACCAGAACTGCCCTAAAAGAGCTCCTAAAGGAAGCACTAAACATGGAAAGGAACAACCGGTACCAGCCACTGCAAAAACATGCCAATTTGTAAAGGCATCAAGGCTAGGAAGAAACTGCATCAACTAACGAGCAAAATAACCAGCTAACATCAATGAACTGTCTAAATGCTGATGTGTCACAGGGATCAGTCCTTGGAATCCTTCTTTTCTCCTCCTACACTCACGCCGCTCATTTCCATGAATATTCACCAAATTTACATCTCCAGCCCAACTTCTCCCTTGAATTCCAGATTCGTATATTCAACGTTCCCCTCAGTATGACTTCCTGGAATTCTAATCGCTATCTCAAATTTCATATGTCCCCAGTTGAGCCTTTAATTACTCCGTGTTCTAAACCTGATCCTCCGTGGTCTTTCCCATCATAGTTAATGGAATGTCAATCTTCTATTTCCACAGACCAAAATATCTGGCACTATCTTTTACTTCCTTCTTTCTCTCACCAACTATCAATCCATCAGGCTGGAATCCCATTAATTCTTCCTTCAAAATGTATCTAGAATCTGACCATGACATACTTGTTCTTCCACTACCACCCAGGTTCAAGCCACCTTCATGTCTCACCCCCGTCCTAACTGGTATTTCTACTTCCAACTTGCACCCCTCCCCAACCCATGAGACCATTCTGCATAAGCAGCCAAGTGATCTTTCAAAACATACTTCAGATCATGTCACTCCTCTGCTCGTAACTCTCCAACAGTTTCCCAACTCAATTAAGTCCTTGTCCTTAAGGAGCTCACAGTCTAACAGAGAAGACAGAAATATAAGAATATATTACCAAGGCAACGTAAAAGTGCAATGACAGAGTGCTGGCTGTGGGAGTGAAAAGGAGAAACTATTACCCTAGCCTGGTGAGGATCATGGAAAGCAACCTGGAAGAGGTGATATCAGAGTCTCAAAATTAAAGAGTTAGTGAGGTAAGGTGCATGTGATGGGGTGAAAGTAAGGAACCAAGAATTGTCAAGGGTTCTTTAGCAGAGGAGCAACAGGAGCAAATTCAGAGAATTCAGAAACTCCATGCTGTGTACCAAAACACGGTAGGAACTGAAATAGGGAGAAACACACATACCGTATTCCCGGGCATAAATCAAGGGGCCAGGAGTGGTAAGAGGTAAGGTTGGGGGCCTAAACAGAGTCATATCGTAGACCACTTTTATTGTCGAGTTAATGAGCTTGGAATATAGATGTTGGGGAGACATTTCAAGGTTTCAACGTGGTTTTATTCAGTAACTTGATAAACTTTTTTTGAATTAATATGGACAATGTATCAACTCCAGGGCAAATGGCGGGAAGGTCACAGTGTTACAGGCCAGTAGGGGGTGCCAGCGAGCAGCCGCGGTGCTGGCCAGATCCTCTCTCCAACCATCTGGAGAATGGCTGGGAGGGCGACATACAGGAAGCAGAGCAATATCAGTTGGAGGACTCATCTCCAATTCAGGCAAGAGGTGATCCATTATCAGGCCCAGGGAAGGAATTGTGTTCCCAGGGACAGTCGACACCCCATATGCTAACATAAAAGGTGGAGCTTCTCTGGAGCTTTCATTCCTTCCAGTGCTCTGCCTCACGCCTGCTCTCTGGAAATGGATGTGCATTATCTCACAGGCTGTCAGAACCTTCCTAGGAAACCAGCATGTGGACGAATCTTGAAAATGCAATCTGGCCGCATCCAGAGCTTTGCATGCTGGTTCCTTGGGACCACACACTGAGACACTTTGCAAGAAAATTTAACAGAAGACAGATGGCAAATGTCATGGGGCCTCACACAACTGAGAAGGCAAAGGAGTAAACCAAAAAATAATGCATTGAGGACCAGAGTTCCTAGAGCAGGCAGAAAAGTAGTCACCTCCCCTCTGTCCTTTGACTGTGAGGAGCAAGCGGGGTACTAACCTCCTGAAGGAGCAACTGTGGTCTCCGTGACGCAATGGATGGGCTTGATGTTTATAGATTGATGGGTGAATTGTCCCCTGTTTCTTCATTCTGAATATTCTTTGAGCTTATTACATCAGCTCAGAGTGAACACTCTAAATTTAGACCCAAACTTTTTCATGTTTCCAAGGGAACTGTAAATCACTTTATGAATGTACATACAACACAGCCAGCAAAGTCTGCTTGATGAAGCCCTCTCCTACACTCAGAGTCAAAGGCATCTCATAAATTGTTGCCTTGCCCAAGGTCCTGGACAGTAACTGACAGCCTCAGACAGATTGCCTTTGCTTCTCCATATGACACTTCTGTAGGAGGCTCTACTGCAAGTACAAAGGACACAGGCCTTCAGCTGTGACATCCCCTAACTCCCCAAAGTCCCATGTTGTTTCTGTGAAGGGTTTGTTGGATGGAGAACAGAGTGAGAGATGCTACATTGCTTAAGATGAGCCATCTAACATGATGGTGCCCAGGTCACCCTCAAAGCATCAAGTACTCCTTGATAGTGAAGACCGAAGAGGGGATAGTGGAGCATGTGAAATATTTTTTGATGAGGTTAGTGAATCAACTAGGGCGGGGTTCAGTTATAATCACAGAGACTGGAGGTATCAATGGCTTAACAATATAGAAATTTATTTCTCTGTCATGTATAGGAAGTCCAGAGACATCCAGTTCAGCACTAGTATTGTGGACACATAGTGTCAACATAACCCAGGCTCCTTCTGTCTTCTCTCTACTTCTCTGATTGTGTAGCTTTCATCCTCACATTCACTGCATAGTCCAAGGTGGCTTCTGGAGCTCCAGCCATCATGCCCATGCTCCAGTCAACAGGAAGAAGGAAGATGAAAGGGCAAAAAGGGTGCAATTATCAGGTGGTCAGCTCCTACATTTCACAGCTGGTCAACTTTCTGAGTCCCACATTATAATCAACTTACATCTCATTGACCTTCCCTTGATTACCTGGCCACTCCTAAAAAGAAAGACTGGGATATGCAGTCTTTGAGTTGAATGCAGTATGACCCCAAATAACATTATGTGTTTGCCACCAAAAGAGAAGAGGAGAGTGAATATTGGGTGAAGTCCAGCAGTCTCGGCTCCATTTAGGTTATAAGCATAAGAGGAGCAGAGCAGAGGCCCCTAGGCTCCTAATACAATACCATAGAACATAAAGCAATAAAAAAAAATACTCAGCAAGAGGAGCAAGCCTTGAAATAATGGGAAAACTGAAAGAAGAAAGGAAAGATGGAGCAGAGAAGGAAAAGAAAATGAAAGAAGGAAAGTAAGAAAGAAAGTCGTGTAGGAAAAATAATGGGGAACAAGAACAAGGAAGAAATAAAGAAAAGGCTATAGAAAGAAGGGAAAGGAAAATGTAATGCAGGTGTTACCGGGTGCCCGTTTTCTATCCTTAGGGGTGACTTTTGCTGCCTGGGCAAGTTTTAGATTCCTGGTTCTGGAGCTGAGGGTTTTCTTCTGTGTATTCCTTGGTGCTGGGCTCCCTGCTATTACTTCTAACCACAGTTGTTCCAGTCTTTTCTCCTGCAATGCCTAGAAAATGGGACCAGTCAGGTCCCCTACCTTTTGGCTAGCTTTGGCCATCAGCTTTCACCAGACAATTCTCAGAGTTCTTTACTATAGGGTCAGCATCTCAAGGGTCGATGTTGCCATTCACTTAGATGACCCCTTGTAGACCCGCCTCTGGGACAGATTGTCCTCTGTGGATGCCTCCTCCACCTGTGATGTGCAGGCCCTGCTTCAACACTCCCAGTCAGCAACCCCATATCCCTGGCCCCCTCCCCACAGGCAGAGGCTCACGCATGATGCCTTCTTATATCTTGCCAGCTGGGGAAACAAGGTCTCAAGCCTTGGAAGAAGATACATTGGTGTTCTTACCTCCATCAGTAGCCTGCAGAGACAGAGGGAGAGAGAGAGAGAGAGAGAGAGATATTATGGTCCATAAACAAGAGAAATGAATGCAGACAGCCCCCTGCCCCCTGCCTCCACCCCTGTGAGAGCTGAAGACTGGCTGATCCTCTTACTAGGTTGCCTAGAAGTAATCACCATTCACAAGCATCTGTTTTCATCAGCTTTCTGGCTCTGCCCTTGAGGGACCAGAAGACTACCACCATGACCACTACTCTTTCTCTGTGACTGTGCTGGAAAGCATGGGTTCTTCCTCCTCTGCCTGAGGCCTGGCCCCATTACAAAAAAAAAAAAAAAAGTTATTGTCAGTGGAAGCTTTCCTGGCCACCTAGGAGAAATGGTGCCCACTCCAAGTAAGCTAGTTTTACTCTGGAGCTTCCTAGGATCTAAAGGACTGATTGGATGCTAGTTCAACCCCCCATAGAAGGGAGAGAAGAGGAAAAAGGTGGGGATCTCACCTATGGTATCACCTTAGTGAGAATTTAAGCTAAGTTGGTGTAGAACAGATTGTGTTCTTAAATCTGTTTTACATTATTATCACCACCAAGGACAGTGCTGTCTACACATGGTAGGCACTTGATAATGCTTGTTAGATAAATACATGAGAACATGTCTATTGTTTCTCAGCACCACATAGTTGAGATGAAAACTTAAATACTTTTCATAACAAATTTATATTTTAAAACTTCCAAGGAAAGGATTCAGGTTCGGATTTTTCTCCCAATTGATTTATTCCTCCCTAAAGGTCCATTTGGTATGGTCCCCAAATGAGAAGGCAGTTTTAGAATGTCCAGTGCTGAATGTCATGCAGATGATTATGCAAAACACAGGCTGCTCCCTGGGCCCTGTGTGGAGCCGTGAAAGATTCCGTCCCTGGAATAGGTACTGTTATGAGAAAAAGCAGATGATGAGGTCAAATATCTCCCCTAGCCCATGTATAGATATGCAACATAAGGATGCCCAAATTGGACCTCAGATAGACTCCAAAATACTTTAAATAGTTAAAACAAAATTTTCCTTTCCATAGAAAATTATATTTTTTACTACAAAATATAAAACAACCCATTATTGCAGTAATAATTTTCCTTTAAGTAATGATGTTTCCCTGAGCCCTCTTGTCTATATGGTAGATCAAAACAAGTTTTATCTAAAGACAGTGAGAGGAAAGCAGAGAAGAAACTTGAAATATTTCAGTGAAAAACATGGTTATCTTTGGATGTAAAGGAGAAGTATCAGCCAGCATTGAAGGAGGAAGGTTCTACAGTGGAAGGAGCATGGAACCAGGATTTAGGAGACCTACATTCTAATCTCAGCTCTACCGCTAAGAACTGGTTTTTCTCACCTGTCAGATAAAAAGGTGTAAGGTGATCTCTAAATTCTGCTTTCTGATTCCATGTCTTGGAGTCTGTACTCATTGAAAGTGCATAGAGATGGGAGTGAGAGTAGTGGGAAATATTCCAGGACATAGCATGATTTCAACCACTAGAATGATCTTCCTAGCCTGCAATATGAGAAAACAAATGTTCTCATTTAGATTGTTGTCTAATTCTGATTACAGGATGCCTGACTTAATTCCTACTGAAGGAGTTAATTCTTAAGAGTCATCTAGGTTACCATTCAGCAATTTCTTTCTCACTTTTACTATTACTATGACTGCCATTACTTTGGCCATTATTTAACTTCCTCAGGCTCTAAGCAGAGTCAATTCTAAACAAAGCTGGCTGAGAATTTGTTGGTGCAATAGAATTTGTTGTCCAAACTATTGCTTGGGGTTTCAGAAACAGTTGTGGTGAAGTACTGCCACATTTTTCACCACTAAATGATAATAGATATAATATCATTATCTATATTATAATGTTATCATTATCTATATTATATCTATATAATAGATATATTATATAATAGATATAAAATAGGCTGTATCTCACATACATATTCCATCATTTTTGTAAAGTTGCACAAAGTACTGTGAGAAGGTTGGCAGGCGAGTGTGCTGTGATCAATTAGCAATGTCTGTCATGAGGGAAAACTCAGAAGTAAAGACACGCATATCACTTATTTGCTAACCCTGGGCTTCTGGGCTTTTGGGCTACCAACCTGTGCCTTCTTGGTGATGAGACTACAATGGCAAGGATCAAATTCTTCCAGAGAAAACATCTTTCCTCCATCAGTGACATTATACAAAACTCTTCTTCCATATTCTAGACCCTACCCAGTTTCTCCACCTATTCCAACCTGTGCTCTACATCCTTGGGAAGCACTTTACAAAGAGTGTTTCATGTAATATTAATCTCATAAGATGCTATTTAAAAGAAGGCCCTTTGGTTTTACATTCAGGATTCTCTGCATGCCAAATTCAGCTAGATACTAGTATTTTCATGTAGTAGTTACTGAACACTGATCATGTCATAGGTTCTGTTCTAAGTGATTTGTAGGTATTAGTTAAATTAATCATCACAACTCTATTTTGCCCATTTCACAGATGAGGAAACTGAAACAAGAGAGCAACTATTGGAGTCAGGATTCACTCTGGCAGTCCAGGTTTAGAATCTGTTCTTTTAATACCACTTGATGCTGCCTCCCATTTCTGCATTTATCTATATTTATAATCTGTATCTTTATCTATATATCAATTCTAAATCTATATTTACATATACATCTATATCTATCTTAATGATTCACAAATCATGTTTGCATGTTAAAGACTGAAAATTTCTTCTGTAAAGAAATCTAATGCTATTTAATTCTATGATTCTTTAATTTATTTGACACAAGGAACCCCTTACAGATACTTTTTTCTCCCTTTGCTTTGCTTCTAATCACAACCCATATCATAGAATATTCTAGAGCACCATGAAAATATCCTTCTGAGGACTGAGCTATAAAATGGAAGGATGAAACTCTTAAATCCTTGGCTCTGATTTCTGCTTTATTTGGACCAAATGTATAACTAGAAGACTCAAAACCCAAGGGAGGGGTGCCAATTTTTCAGGTCCCAAATGAGTTTAAAGGGAGTCCCTAAATGGGGAAAGCAGAATGGATTCTATCCCTGGATATCCAGTTAATTGTTTAAGTAAGTGATGATAGATGACAGACAAATGAGTCATGTCAAACCAAGAATAAACTAAGAGTAGTTGGTGAGCATTTCCACTTACGTAAAATGAGAATCGTGCAGCACAGGGGGAAAAAAGCTTGAAATTCAAACTAAAGAGATTTGTATTTGAGTCAGAATTCAACCAATGGTGGACACTTTATTCCATGTTATATGGCCAACATATAATATTATGCCTGGTAGGTGCTCAAAAAACATATGTTGATTTGAACAAATGTGTAATCTCGAACAATTTACTTAACCTCCCTAAGCTTTAATTTTCTCATATATAATATGAAGATGACAATAATAACTTCGACTTCCAGGGTTGCTTAGAAAATTGAATTAGATGATGTATTTTTAAGCAAGTTTTAATTTTGAAGGCTTATGTAAATGTCAGCTGCAAGTCCTGTCATCATTAACAATAATAAACTTAGCAGGATTTGAAACCCAGCCATAGTAGCTTATATCAGTTCCCTCAGCCATGTCTCACCAGATTTACGCCATGAGTAGGAGATGCTGGTCAGCAGTAGGCATACAGGGATACGCAGCCTCTAGTACAGCAAGAATTAAAAAGGAAGACCATTAAGGACAAAGAGGGACAAGCCCTAACCAAATTATCTTCTAGATCTGATGAAAAGCTTCCCTAAAAATTCCCTTAGATGCCAAGGCATTGGTTTACTGTTGATACATAATAGCTATTCAATAATTGTTTGCTGAATTCACCAACTTACACATCTTGAGGTTACTTAAAGAAGTAGAATGTCTATCTTCTTAACTTTCCCCTCAACTGTTCCTGAAAGCTACAAAAAGATAGGATTTTTATCTAAAAATCTAGACACCAATCCGAAACCCATTCTGCTGTAATGCATTTTTTGGTGCTGGGAGGGAAGTGCCTGGGAAATGGAGACAGGAAGGAAGGAAGGAAGGAAGGAAGGAAGGAAGGAAGGAAGCGAAGAAGGGAGGGAAGAAGGAAGGAAGGAAGGAAGGAAAAAAGAGGGAAGGGAGGGAGGAAAGAAGGAAAAAAGAGGGAAGGGAGGAAGGAAGGAAGGAAGAAAGGGAAAGAAAGAGGGAAGGAGGGAAGAAGGGAAGGAAGGAAGGAAGGAAGGAAAAGAAAGAGAGAAGGAGGGAAGAAGGGAAGGAAGGAAGGAAGGAAGGAAGGAAGGAAGGAAGGAAGGAAGGAAACAAAACACTTCTCATATACCTGTAAAGACCATGATAAAAAATAAAAAATAATAAAAAATAAACCATGATAAACACTTGGTTCTTCTTCATGAACTAGCCTCTAAAGCTACCCTGCCCAACACTGTAGACACCAGCCACATGGGACCATTGAGCACTGAAATGTGCCTAATCCTGTGCTGTGAGTGTAAAAATACATACCAGATTTCAAAGACTTAGTATAAAAAAGCAACATACATCACTCATAATTTTTATATGGATTTCATGTCAAAATAATAATATTTAGCTATATAAAAATTTTTTGCTATATGAAATATATTATCAGAATTCATTTCACCTGCTTATTTTTACCTCTTTAGTGTGGCTACTAGAGAATTTAAAATTACATACATGGCTCACACTCACTGACTTGTATAGTCATTGGACAGTGCTGCTCTGGAGCAATGATTTTTGAGCTGTGGGTTGTTATGTCTTGGTGGGTCATGAAACCTATTAAGTGGGTGACAACCTGTATTTTTTTTTAAGGAGAATAGAACAAATAAATTATATTAGAATGCATGGCATTGTGCAGGTCAGTGGTGCAATGGAGAACACATCAGACTAGGGATCAGAAGATTTTAGAATCCATGGCATTTAGTAAAGGTAAATATTCTTCTGTGAAACTTTGGTTTCATATATATAATATATATATAATATATTTTATATATAATATATATATAATATATTTTATATATATTTATATTTTATATATATAATATATTTTATATATATTTATATTTTATATATATAATATATTTTATATATATTTATATTTTATATATATAATATATTTTATATATATTTATATTTTATATATATTATATATATACACACACACCTGTATATATATTTATACACACACACGCGTGTATAGATATAAACACACATTAGACAATAATTACAGATGTATTAGGTATTAGGTTACGGAGTAACATGTATCTTTATGGTCAATAGAGTAAAAGTGCTTGAACATCCCTTTTCTAAATTGGCCATGATGAAACAGGACTTCCTTGAGCCAGAGTGTCCTGGCATAAACAACAAAGGCTATGATTTGTATCTGACTAGGGAGATTCAGAGATGCATCAGGTCAGTCTTGTCACTTTCAAGTTCTGCCCGTGGAAACTTTGCAAGCTCTCCTGAGGTTGCACTAAAGGAGGAGAGAAGGGCAGTTGCACCACCTCCTCATCCATCCCTGTGAGTCATAAGAGTGCAGAGGCTGGCATGGGAAGCAGCGACAGCACCTACAGTGGACTACTGCAGCCCCGGTAGATTCAGGCAGGGGAGCAAACGCAGCACCCCAGTATCCCAGGAGCAAGAAGCAACACCCCTCAAAGGCAAATTAGACCTCGCCTCATGTTGCTAATATTATCCATAGAGATGTGCTTCTTCCTTCAGCACATCTTTGTATGGCCATAAAAGTGTCCTCTCCAGACTACTCAGGGAATCTACCACTCCAAACACTTCATCCCTTGAGGTAACTAAATTAGAAGAATACAGACGCTGCGCTCTCTTGGAGGCTGAGTCTCCCTGACCTCAGCAGGCTCCTGTTACAGCTTCCTCTAGCAGCCAAAGGTCCAGTTCCAGGTTGATTTAGGACCCAACAACAGCATGGAGGCAAGTCATGGTTTAAAGAACCCTGGCCTTACAGGTGGTAGAGACTGAGGCCCACCCAGGTCTGTAATCCTGGCCTTATCCCAATGATGCAAGGCCATAGGCACCATGGAAGCTATGGCTTCCTGCATTGTGACAGCTGTTTAACCCCAATAATGCCCTGAAACTCTCAGCATTGTTTTTCACCTTACTCACTGCTTAGAGAAGAAGGGCCTGATGGACCCTATGTTCCCAGGCCCAGCCTATAGAAATGTTGAAAAAAAAATGCTACTCTTTGCAAATTCAAGTGCAGCAGTGCCAGGGGAAAATGTGTGGAGCGAAAGGGTGCAAACAGATCCCATTGCTCCCAGCTGCCATTTTACCCTGCTCAGTGGTGGTCAATTAAGGCCATTTTCTCAGCTTCGGAGGACACTGCTCCAGGAACTGACATCATAGATTTTTATAAAAACCAATTCCATCCCATGCTTATGAATTACCCAGGAGAGTCATATCATACACTTCTGATGGTAAGAGCTCATTCACCTTGAGTTCCACATGGCACCTCAGAAAACACTATCAGTCAGACTAATACTTTTTTTAGGGCACTTATTTTGTGCTAGGCCTTATGTTAAATACTTAATATCTATTATATATTAAGTGCTTAAAACCACCCTGTGAGATCAATGCCATTATTAAGTATCTCCATGTTACAGATGAGAAAACAGAAGCTCAGAGAAAATACATTGCTTGCACACTGCCACAGCTAGTACACTCAGACTAGATTCCAGACTAGATTCTGTTGAGTGCCTCCTCTCCTTCTGGCTCTGACCCTAGTAGTGCTAATCCAGAGCTGTATGATTCCCAAGCTCCACACCTATGGCACAGTCTTGTCTTCTACTTCAAGTATTCTTAATATAAGGTCTTCGACAGTGGTTTCATAAGCCCAAAATAGCATCCACAAATCTGAGCCTTGAGGTCTGCTTATAGTGTTTCGGGTGAGAATTACTCCAAGAATCTCTCTAGAGGGCAAGAACCCATCCTCCCCAGGCCCCCCAGGTCTGCTGACAGATACAACACTACTAGAGCCCTCTGGCTTGAGTCACCCTCCAGGGTCTTCAGCTTGATATTTTTTGCTTAGTTTCCAAGTATCTGAAGCTCTTTCTGAGCACGTGCTCCAGACAGAAGCCAGTGGTTACTGTGCTCCACTCACACTTGGCCACTGTCCGTTCCAGCCCACTTTGAAGCTTCTGATACTCTGGCGGCAACTGGCTGGTGCTGGGTAGAGAATGGGAAGCAGGGGGTTTGCATCCCTATGTAGCCTGTCTGCTGGGCCTCCAGTCCTGTAACTCCCATCCTTGCTGACATTTCTCTTCCCCCAACCTTCAGGTCCACTGGCCCAAGGGCCCTGCTGTTCAGATTGGTCAGAAACCCCAGAGTCAGGGAGAGCAGACCTTTCCCTCCCACAGGACTTTCTCTAATCAGCCCAGTTCATTATTCTAATCAGGACCAAACAAAATGCCCCCTACAAGAGCTGTGGGGTTTAGACACAATTCTGCACACCTGTTAATGGAGAGGAAGCTGGTCACCTCGTCAACACTTACCAAGGCTCCTCCACTGACAGAGATGTGTGCTTGGTGCCAGGGCAGAGGGGAAAATACAGAAGCTTTTCCCTTGTTGGGAACTGCCCAGCTCCCACCACTGCCTGGCCAGGCCAGGCATGTCTGACTTGCTTGACAATGCAGCCCGGCTTCCAATGCAGACTGAAGTCAACCTTAGACCTGTCTTCTGGGCCTGCCCGAGTTGGGGCACAGTCATTGGGCAGTGCTTCCCCGGAGATAGCAAGACCAAGGACTTGTTGGTTTAAAGTATTCATTCGAAATAGGGTGCAATCTCAATTATGGAAATTAACACAGATTAAAAAGTGGAAAAAACCCCACCAAAATCAGTAATTAAAAATACAATCTTTCTGTATGTTCTAGTTATTCTATAATAAATATGTATAGATTTTCTAATCAGAAAAAAACTTTTTTTTCAATATAGACTTACTGATTTATCTTTAGGGCCTTGGTGCAGGGATTCTAACCCCCAAGGCCCATAGCTTTTGGCTGGCACACTCACATCCAGACCCCTGGAACTCGTGGGATTCATACCTGGTTCTGTTGAGTGCCTCCTCTCCTTCTGGCTCTGACCCTAGTAGTGCTAATCCAGCTCTGTGAGTTTCAGTTGACCCTAGCTGCACCCTATTATGTGGCTTTATCCACCCTAGTTCCGCAGCCCCATGCTCCAGCCCTGCTCAGGCCAGCCTGCCTTGACCTTGGACTGTGATGCTTGCCTCTGAAGCTTCAGGTCCAGCTGCTGTATCCAGGTGGATTGTTCCAACCCCTGAATCCCCTCTGGTTTCTTAGGGTCTAGTTTCAGGGACCACACAACACAGGAAAAACCAAGAAATATTTTAGGAATCCTCATGGATCCTAGGGGATTGAGATCTCGATTCACATCCTAGTCAGCCCCACTCTGGAAAGCAGGGTTGACCATTCCCTGGGAGTCACTGATCATCTGCATGAAGCAATTGTACTCATCTATACCCTGGGTCAAGAAGATGCACCACAAATGCCACCATGGGATTTGTCACTCAGAGTCACCCAAGCATCCTCAATTCTGCTCAGTTCAACAATTAATTTAGCACCCAGTGATGACCCACCCTCCCACTTGCACCCCTGCTAAGGCTGAGGCTGAGGAAGATGGAGGAGGAAAGAAGACCCCACAGCTGGATGGCCCATAATGAACCTCTGGCCCATGAGGAAATGAACACCAGGTGCTTCTTTATATTTGATGTATTAACAATACTGATACCTTCCCATCAATTATGTGCCACTTTGTAGCTTATGAAATGCTATTGCATATATTTCATTCTCACTATAAATAGTCCTCACTTCACAGATCTGAAAATTGAAACTTGGAGCAGTCACACGACTTGCTCAAGCTCATAAAGCCCGAGAATGGAAGTGGCACGAGAGACAGATAGGCATTGTGTCTCCAAAGCAGGTGACCTGTTCACCAGGCAATGACCCTTCTCTAGAATCTCCCTGATGGAGACCCCTGGAGAGGAGTACCTATGACCTAGCTCACAGCCAACCACCTCATCAAGTCCAAGGACAAAGAAGGCCAAAGATCACTCCATTTCTGAGAAGCAGGTGCACCTATGAGAGACAAATAGGGCCTGTGTAATCCAGGAAACCAGTTTCTCAGTGAAGATGGACATGTGGCAGGGAAAGACAATTGGGGAGTGTGGATGGTCTGACAGGTACCAAGGTCAATAATAAGAAACAATGTGACAGGCAGCTGTAATCAAGAGAAACTGGGGTTAGGGGGGAGACCTACAATCCTGGAGCTATCAGTGAGAGAGGCTGCAAAGTGGGTAGGCAGGAAATTTGTTACCCAAACAATAAACTGGGCCAATGGCTAGCATGACAGTGGGTCCCAGCCCTCTCGGGGCCACCCCACACACTCCCAGCAGCAGTTCTCCCAGATAGCACTGCAGAGAGAAAAATTCCAGAAGCTTGGGAAGCAGGAAAGACCAATTTGTGGAAATATGCAGGACACCTGGGTAGGTAAGGATGGCTGGAACCACATCACGTGTGTGTATATGTATTGAAAGAGAGAGAGAGGACCTATTAGACTTTGGGCTCTATGCTGAATGCTGCGATAAAAGATAACTAGATTATAGACTCTGCCCTCTAGGGACCCTCCAGGGGGAAAACAAACAGCTCTGCAGATAACTATTGTGATAAGTGTAAAAACAAGTTCTGCTGGAGCTCAGAGAGGGAGATGATTGTCACAAATTCTTATAAGAAGACTTCCCAATCAACTGCATACAGCTCTTGACATTCAAAGACTATGGAATCAGGCTGCTTAACTTTGAATCCTGGTGCCCTCACCTAAAGGCTTTGTGACTTTTAGACAAGTCACTTAACCACTCTGTACCTCAATTTCTTCAATTGCTGCATCTGTAAAATGGGATAGTAATGATGTGATATGACTGCTGTGAGGATGAAATGAGGTAATATATGAAGCCCTTAGAAGATTGGTTGGCATGTGCCTGGACAATGCACATGTCAGTCTAAGAAAGCCCTTCCTTTCCTTTCCTTCATGGCACAACCCCACATGCATATTGGGACAGGGCAGAATGCACAAGCTCTGGGGCATATAATCATATCTGATCAGTTTAGCTTGAAGCTGGTGGGTATGTTCCCTTCCTAATCAAATGCAGCTGGTTTGGGCAAACCTAGCCACCAGTCCCACGTTTTTGGTCATGTAGGAAGAGCCCAGAGATCTTGTTATTTTGGAGAAAGGCAATAAATATTCCTTGTTGACTTAATACTGTAGACTTATCTTACAGATAAAAAGTTTGGATCATTCTAGACACATTTGTGGGTCTAGACTAATGAAGGTATAATATTCTAGAATGGTAGAAAGACACGTCACTGACTATCTTATAATTATCTTCTAACAGCCCCTGATGAATATAACATGGAAAATAATCAAAACCATTCTTTTAGGAAATAGCTCACCTGCTTTGGGCTTTCTATTTAGTGAATAGAACTAGTGTCTTGCTCAGCAGGGGAGCAGGGGAATGCTTTTATAATGATTTCCCTGCAGCAATCCTGTTTGATAATGCAAACTAGGATCAAAGCAATAGGTTTTCCTATTAAGTACTCCAAGGAAAGAATCAAGTGTTGAGTTGTTGCTAGGGAAATCTGAGAGCCTCATGGGGCCTGGTGATCCAGTCCTGGAGAAGGAGAATTGTTGAGTAAATCCATAGAGAGAAACAGCAAAGTTTCCCTCCGCAATGACTGGCTTTGACTTCACTCACTCTCATCTCGCCCTCAGCTGCAGACTCAACCCATGTCCAGCTCTGCTGCTTGGAGTCAATGTTGGTGAGCTCCCACACCCCCACCTCAGCTAGCTGCTCACTAAGGCAACTATAAGTGTCCAGAAAGCAGAGAAAGTAGAAGGCTGAAACTTTAAAAAAAAATTCAGAGAGCGTATTCTTCCTGAAACACAAAGATAAATAATTAAATAAACCTGCACCTTTATTATTTTTTTAAATGTCACTGTATTTTTCCAATCTCCCTATGAGAAAACCAAACTAAAGAAAATGTGAGCTGGATTCCTTTTTACACTGTGAATTTCTCAGAGATAGCATACATTACCCTCAGAGCACTTCTTTACTACCAACTTCATGGCTTGTTATCCATAGGATTGAGCCTTAGTTTACTCATCTGTAAAGTGGAGCAATACGCCCACCTTACATGCTTTACAGAATTGGTAGAGGAATCAGTCGTGATTATGAAAGCACCTTGAAAACTCAGATGAGCTCTACAAATACCAGGTGTTCTGTTATTCTGACTCATTTTAGTGCTTTTCAAAAGGGGAAAGGTAGGAAGATCAATGTGAGAAAAAATGTTGAAATCTTTTACAGGCAATAAATCTTCTTCTCTGCTACAGCATGAAGCCACACTGAACCAAGTCCACTGTTAGGTTAGTTGAAGGCTGTTGTTAAAATGAAAATGTCACTGTTATTTATGGTATAAGGCTTACCTGTTTCCAAATAGGTTTTCAGAAGGCATTAATTTATTGCCAATGCTGTATCTTGTATCACTTTGGCATTTGACTACGGAGGGAATGAGTCACAGAGGAAAGTAAGTTTTAAATAGACTTGGGGACAGGAAGAAACATCTGGATTAAACAGCCCCTCCAGGAAGTCAGATTCCTGTGGGTACCTGCAGGGACAGGCACAGGACAGCCACGGGTTGGTCAGTGAGGGAACTGTGTCCAGGTGGTCAGGTCTCGTTGAAGTTGAGCCCCAAAGAGGTGAGAGATGTGGGTGAGAGGCTACCAAAACCTGGAAATAGAGTCTGCTCAGTGGTGTAGAGAAGGTCACCTTGAGAGAAGCAGTGCCCTTCAGCCAAGGGGCACAGCCAGCCCGAGGCAGCCTCCCAGGGAGGCAGCGAGGGCCTGACTCTCCTCCACACCACGCCTCTCTGGGTGGAGCTCCCCTTCGGCAGAATGGGAAGCTCCAGGGCAAGGTAGCCTGCTGGGAAAGAGTGAAGCTCTGGAGCGGCAAATTAAGAGTTCCAAGGAGTGTGTGTGCCAAGAGAAGGAGTCCCACACAGCAGTGCACTGCAAAGGCTGAGGGAGAAAGGGAAGTTGTGCTGAAGGAAGAAGAACTCCAGTAAAAGGGGACTGGGGCCAGGTGCGGTGGCTCACACTTGTAATTTCAGCACTTTGGGAGGCTGAGGTCGGTGGATCACCTGAGGTCAGGAGTTTGAGACCAGCTTGGCCAACATGGTGAAACCCCTTCTCTACTAAAAATATAAAAATTAGCCGGGCGTGGTGGTGGGCACTTGCAGTCCTAACTACTTGGGAGGCTGAGGCACGAGAATTGCTTGAACCCGGGAGGCGGAGGTTGCAGTGAGCCGAGATCGTGCCACAGAGGAATTGGACACCATGCACAAGTTATTTCAGATATAAACCCCAAGCCCCCTGAAATGTTCTGCATCCCCTTAGTGGGTTTTTTTAATAACCTATATGGATCCCACACGAACTTTGGGAACCCTCAAAACGTGCTCTGTTTATCAACATCCCTCAGAGCCCAGTCAGTGCCATCTGTATTCTTACGCTGTCAGAAAGGCAGCTGCATGTAGCTAAATGGTCAATTCTTGTCTTTATTCAGATTGAACACATTTAAAAGTCCAATATTTTACAATATATATCCTAAATTTAGCAGTTAATAAAAGAACATTTGAATTCCATTGGCACCCCTTTTAACAATAATGAACAAAGATGATGCAGTATAACTTAATGGAGAGCAAAATGCATTTTGTCAAGAAAGTGAGAGAAAGGGGATTTAAGAAATTATGTACCCTGAAGAACCATTCTCCAAAGTAATGAGGAAGGCTAATCTGAGCCTTACTGACTAAATAACTGCAAAATAAGATAAGCGATAAGAAAAAAATCTTTTATGTTTTTCAGGTTGAAATTCATCTTTGGGGCCAATTGCAACTGCAGACATCAAAGGGCCTCTTAATCATGTTATGCCCTGCTTTGAAAACATTGCTGGCTCAACAAGCACACAGATACAAAGCAAATTTCTAAAAATGCCAGTCAGGGATCTCTGACATCTTCTTAGTACACTTCATCCCTGAATACAATCACCCCTACATTGTACTATCCCAGGAACCAAGCCCTTCTACAAACATGACTCCCCTCATTCTCTACTCTGCTTCAACTGCCTTTTTTTTTTTTTCTCTCTCTCTCTCGCTCTGTCACCAGGCTGGAGTGCAGCGGCACAATCTCGGCTCACTGCAACCTCCGCCTCCCGGGTTCAAGCAATTCTCTCATGCCTCAGCCTCCTGAGTAGCTGGGATTACAGGCGTGTGCCACCACGCCCAACTAATTTTTGTATTCTTAGTAGAGGTGGGGTTTTGCCATGTTGGCCAGAATGGTCTCAATCTCCTGACCTCGTGATCCATCTGCCTTGGCCTCCCAAAATGTTGGGATTACAAGCATGAGCCACTCCGCCCGGCCTCAACTGCCTTTTCCATTGCCTCCTCCTTTCAAAATCTTTCTCATTCTTCAAGACCCAGCTCAAAAGCCATCTTTTCCATTAGTCTTTCTCTAGAGAAGTCTTGCAGTTGAAATGCCTCCTTCTGCTGGACTCCCAGAAGAAGTTCCCATACCTCTGGTATGGTACTTCTCATGTCCTGCTATTTATGCTTGTTATATGAATATCTTTCTCCTAGTCACACAGGGGGTCGCCTGAGACTTCTCTATCCTGACCTCAACATCTAGAATGGAACCTAGTCCTGTTCCTGGCATGCAATCAGTGTGTAACTGAATTTAATTAAGCAGGTTTTGCTCCATATACCAGTACTCTCAGAGCTTCCTCAAATTTCAGGTAGAAAATAATTATGTTATTTCATGCACTAGAAGGTATAATTCACCTGCTTGTAGTCTTTGGGTCAGGGCGGTGCTATTTAATGCTCTAAAAGACATAATGTACACAATGAAGTAAATAACTCATTTAGACCACTAGAGCTGAACTTTAATACATTGCCACTTCTAGCACACAAGTAATCTGAAGAAACGAATGGCTATCCAATATATGAAAGCAATTATTTGCTTCCTGCTGGAAGGATCAACTCCAATATAGTTATGCTATATAATTGGAAACAGCATGAATTTGATATTTGAATCTGTCATTTGATATTTTTAGGGCAGATAAATTTATCTGGTATTCTGGATGTGGATGAGTACAATTTTCAAAGGTGACTATTCCTAAGATTTGTTTGTTTCTAAAGGGTTTCAATGTTCTAAGAAAAAAAAAAGCAAGCAATCAGTTCCTACATTTACAGTTATAATTACTTGGAAGTTCTGAGCCCATGTTTAGCACATATTAGTAGTGTTTCCAGAGCTTGATATCCAGTGGTCCATCTGCTAATACGTTAATATGCGACCAGTCCCTTATCTAACAGGCACACACCAAGTGTGTATGTATTATTTTCACTGTTAATCAACTTTAAGCCTTCATGAAGACTGAAGATGGTCCCTTCAGCAGCCATACTTCCTTTCATTTGGCCTGGGGGCTCCAGTTAACTTTGTTGATTCTATACCCTTTGCCGCCCCCTCTCCCACCCACTGCCCACAACTCCTCTCCACCCTCCACCATCCCCCTCCATCTGGACTCGGATACCATCTCTTCACAAAGCCTTCTCCAGTCACGTCTCCCACACTCATCTCTGCTCACCTTTAAAACACTAATTTTAAATTAGTAATGTTAATTCAATACATAAAAATGGACTGGCTTGCCTTGTTCTTCAGTTTCGTGTGTATTAGCCTAGTCTTCTCAACTAGATTATAAGCCCCATGAGGGAAGAGACCACTTCTTAGATTTCTTTCTTTCTTTCTTTCTTTCTTTCTTTCTTTCTTTCTTTCTTTCTTTCTTTCTTTCTTTCTTTTTTTGAGATGGAGTCTCGCTCTGTAGCCCAGGCTGGAGTGCAGTGGCGCAATCTTGGCTCACTGCAAGCTCCGCCTCCCGGGTTCACGCCATTCTCCTGCCTCAGCCTCCCGAGTAGCTGGGACTACAGGCGCCTGCCACCACGCCTGGCTAATTTTTTGTATTTTTAGTAGAGACGGGGTTTCCCGGTGTTAACCAGGACAGTCTCGATCTCCTGACGTCGTGATCCGCCCGTCTTGGCCTCCCAAAGTGCTGGGATTACAGGCGTGAGCCACCGCACCCGGCCCACTTCTTATATTTCAAACCAATTTCTCAATCTGTTCTAAGGAGTGTGGGCAGGAAACAGAAACCATCAACTTGGGCTACAGTCTGGCTGGCAAACTTTCTTGCAAAGAAACTTTCTTTGCAGTTGTATTAAATGTAGAGAAGAAAAAGATGAAAGGTAATATGACTCTTCAAGAAGAATAATTGAACAGTGAATGGTGACATGCTGTTCTCCAAGCTCAAGAAACACAGATGAAAAATAGACATTAATGATAGCAAAAGGTCAGGTGCTTAGGAGAATTTCTGACCAAAATGGTGTAGATTAATTAGGAATTCATTATTTATATCCTACCTACTTCCCAAGGATAGAGGCAGCTGCTGAAGGGAGGCTATGGTGTCTACTACTGAACTGAGAGCCTAGAAATGTGATTCAGGACTTAGTCTGGCTCTAACTTACTGTGTGTCTTGGGCAAATCATTCCCATACCCTCATCTATAAAATGGGAATAATCTCATCAATTCTTGTGAGGATTAAATGGGATCATATACAATATGTTTATGTGTGTATGTGTGTCTGTGTGTTTGTATATGTGTTTTATATATATAGTGTGTGTGTGTGTATATATATATATAATTGTCAGAAGCTTTACAGATGTTAAGAATTCTCTGTAGCCTATAAAAATCAAATAAATTCTCACTTAAATTAGGTTTCTATTTATCATAGGGAAACCTAGTCCATGCATCATAAAATTTAAAAGCTAAAGTTACAAGACAGACTTTCTATCAACAGCTGCCTAAAAAGAAATAGGCGCCCCCACCCCCAGCAGTAAGATTTGCCCAGCCTTGCCAGTTGTATTGTAAGTGGGTACCCCAAACTAGCTGACCTCACCTTCACTTCCAATCTTCACTTCCAATCATGATATTTTCATTACTCCGCTGGTATCATTCCCTTGATTGATACTCAAGATCCCATTCTCCAGATGAAAGAGTGTCTCTGTGAAAGGTAATGTCAATTAGAGTTCTCCCAGGTAGTACAAGGCAGAACCCCAGGACAAGACCAGAAGCTGGGTCCCATATACCACCCACTGAGGTTTCTCCTAATCCACACTGACACGAAGCCACGAACATGCTGGGCTGACCGCATGTGCTGAAAAATGAGTGTGGATCCATTAGGTTCTGAACCAAAGACCCTTCCTGCAGATTCCCACATGGGGATACATCAAACAGCACGTGGTCAGGGGCGTTGGGCAGCCGCGCCTAGTGGGAGGCAGCACCCAGGCTGGCCCAGCACATCCTCCCACACCATTCCATGTCCTTGTTGACAGCTCTGGGCCAGCCATGGAGTCCTGTCTGCTGGGAGTTTTCTGCCCTCGGGTTCTTTTCAGAAATCTGACAGGCCCAATAAAGGCCCAGCGCTGATGGAGAGGAGCTGGCTCCGAGTTCTCCCAGCAGCCCAGCGCTGCCTCCACTGACACAATGGGGCCGGCTGTAATCACATTACACCCTCGTCTTTCATAATTACCCTCTTTCTCCAAGTGACAGAGCATCCCAACGGCAGGGAGGAAACTATTTTTAAACGAATTCTAACAAAAAAAAAAAAAAAAGCACAAAAAAAGAGTGTCATTTTCCACAGATATAGTTCTGGTTTATAAATCACCCCTAAGGACGGAGTGGGGACCACAAATGGCAGAAGCTGGAAAATCCAAATCGAGCACCAGCCACCCAACCCCAGGAGGTCACTTCTCCTTCCCTGCCCAACAACCTTCACGCTCATTTCATTCTCCCTCCTGCACCTTTTTTTTTTTTTGCCCTGAGGCCCCACTGGCCCATGTTGGTATTTTCCACCCCATTTTGACTCTGGGAAAAAAAGAAAAAGAAAAGAAAAAAGCTCAAAGGCATGTGGATACCTTCTAGCTACTTCTTTTCCTCCTCACCTTCCCAGTCCTTCCTCCCAGTCCCTCAAAAGTCAGAGGAGGTCATGTGGGGGAGGAAGAGGAAAAGAAAAACAACTTTAGGTGGGACACAAGCTTCAGCCAACCTGGGTGACCCAAGTCTCTCCCCACAGGCCTCCCTAGAGGGGAGTGAGCACCTCATTAACAAGGCACTAAATCAGCCTTGAGGACAATCTTGCTATCCACCTCTTACAAATTACCCGGAGACACCTCTGGTGCTGGCCATGATAATTATATTGATAAGGAAGCTGGAGTGGAGGACATGAATCAATGGAAATGCACGGATCTCTTGAGTATCAATCTATCGAATTACTGCAACTCTCTTGCACTCCCATTTGTAGGGTCATTAACCATCTGTCTTGCTCACAACTGTTAGTGTATCGTTGAGCCTTGGGTGTATTATCCATCCCTCAGGTTTATATTTTCACAGTCCACCTGCGAAACTCTTATTTGTTTCTCCACCAGCCTGGCACTCTTCCATTTTTTTTCTCCTCCACCTTCTCTTTTTTTTTTCTTCCTTCTCTGTTTTTCCCTCTTTTTCCCCTGTCTTAGTCCACTTGGGCTGCTAAAAGAAAATACCGTAAACTGGGTGGCTTATGAGCAAAAGAAATTTATTTCTCACCATTCTAGAAGCTGGGAAGTCCCAGGTAAGGAGTATCCTTACCTCTCTTTTATTTTGAGATAGGATCTTACTCTTATCACCCAGGATGGAGTGCACTGGCACAATCTCAGCTCACTGCAGCCTCAAGTGACCTTCCCACCTCAGCCTCCCAAGTAGCTGGGGCTACAGACACACACCACCATGCATGGCTAATTTTTGTAATTTTTGTAAAGGCATGGTTTCGCCATGTTGCCCAGGCTGGTCTCAAACTCCTGGGCTCAAGCAATACACCTGCCTTGGCCTCTCAAAGTGCTGAGATTACAGGCATGAACCACTGTGCCCAACTCTCTCTACGTCTTTTATAAGGGCACTAATCCCATTCATGAGGGTTTTGCCATCATGACTTAATCACCTCCCAAAGCCCTTACCTCCTAATGCCATCCTCTTGGGAATTTCAGCATATGAATTTTGGAGGGACACAAACATTCAGACCATGGCATCCTGCTTCTCCTATCCACCATTTTATCTCTTTAACTGGTCTATTTTGGTTCTAGTCCTGGACTCTTACTCATTCTAGTCTCTTTGACTCATCTGAGATACAGGAAGAGAGTGAAGGGCAGAGAGGAGGCTCTGCTAGTCCCCTCGAGCCTTCTAAGTTGTTGCCTTTGGAGACAGGTTTTGCATGTGGTTTAAACATTACCCACTGCCTCATACCAAAGACACAGAATGGGTCCCAGAACAAGTGGGACCTCTCTAAAGGAGATGAACATATCCAATGCAGCACTTCCAGACATGCCACAGCATTAGGCCACGCCTTCCTCATGGCAAGCTGCAAAATCTGCCCGACAGCATCACTAAAAAGTGCCAAAGAGGCTGAGCGCGGTGGCTCATGCCTGTAATCCCAACACTTTGGGAGGCCGAGGCAGGTGGATTACCTGAGGTCAGGAGTTCGAGATCAGCCTGGCCAACATGGTGAAACCCCATATCTACTAAAAATACAAAAATTAGCTGGGCATGGTGGCACACGCCTATAATCCCAGCTACTTGGGAGGCTGAGGCAGGAGAATTGCTTGAGCCTGGGAGATGGAGGTTGCAGTGAGCAGAGATCGTGCCACTGCACTCCAGCCTGGCTGACAGAGTGAGACTCTGACTCAAAAAAAAAGAAAAAAGTGCCAAAGACAGGCCACCTGCAGAACAGTCAGCATTCTTTGCAATACAGAAGAATGGGAGGTGGCAGTAGAGAATAAAGCCAGAAGTGAAGTTTTCAGGGACACAAGAAAGAAAGCCACTTTGAAATAATTAAGTGACATGAGCTTAGCAACACTACAGGCACATTGATTAAGCAGGCATTTAATAAACATTAGTTTCACTTCCCCCTTCAGCAGGGCTCAGAGAAAGTGAGAAAAGTGGAGCACCTCATGCCATTCATTCTATCTTCTTTCTCTGCCTTCCCCTAGAAAAGCAGCACAGGAGAGAAGCAGAGAGGTTGATGGTGGTGTGACAAGGGATGGATTATCATCCATCCCTTGGGTGGAGCTGGAGTGCGGGACACATTGGGGGATCTCAGAGAAGTGAATGAAGCCAGAGGGAGTCCATGAAAGGCCATGGGTTTCTGTAACTGCTGGCTCGGTGGAGAATTGTTCTGGAAAAATGACAAGTTTAGAAAATGTCACCCAGCTCCTCTAGGATCAAGGTTTACTGGGTTACAATTGCTCCTGATTTGGGGGACACTATAGAGGCTGGAGACTTTTAAATAAAGAGCCATCAAACAAGCCTCCTCTCAAGGAGGAGAGACTGAAGCAATTTCTGGGGAGATCTCTTGGATTGGTGGAGAAAACATTAATCTCAAAGTCATCCCTGTCAGGAAGTCCTAAATCTGAACCCAGGGGGAGAAGAGTGTTGACTTGTAAGAGCTCTAAGTCTTTTCATGAAATTAGTATGAAGACCCTAATTAAAGCTGGCTGGAAAACAGCCACTAAGAGCACAGACCATGGTCAGCAAAATCTGGGTTCAGTCTTGGCTCATCTGCCCATTAACTGCAATCTTGGTCAAATCCTTTGGCCTTTCCTGAGATTGATTTTCTTCATCTTAAATAATGGAGATAGAAAGAGGACCTACCATCACAGGAAAATCACCATAGGGCCCTGCTGGTTGTCTGCAGCAAGTCTGATTGACTGATGCCCCATTCTGATTGGTTGCAGCCCAAACCATAACAATCGCTAAATATCTTGACTCCTAAATATCACTCTTCTGTAGCTTATAGGTTGCTGTGAGAAATAAATAAAATAATACAAGGAAAATGCTTAGCTTGACCCAATTACTACTAGTATTTGTTATGGGCTGAATTGTGTCCCCGCTTTCCAAAGAAGACGTGTTGAAGTCCTAACCCCAGAACCTCAGAATGTAACCTTATTTGGAAATAGGGTCATTGCAGATATAAGTAATGAAGTTAAGATGAGATCATACTGGAGTAGAGTGGTTCCTCTAATCCATTGTGACTGCTGTACTTTTAAGAAGACAACTATATGAAGAAACAAGGAGAATACAGTGCACAGACAGAGGCACAGACGGGAGTGATGCACCTACAAGCAGAGGAATGGCATGGGATGCTAGCAGCCACCAGCAGCTGGGAGAGGGGCATGGGGCAGATTCTCTCTCAGAGACCTAGGGAAGAATCAACCCTGCTGATGCCTGACTTTGGACTTCTGCCACCAGAACTATGAGAGAATATAGTTCTGTCGTTTTAAGCCACTCAGTTTGTGATTATTTGTTACAGCAACCCTAGGGAACTAATGCCATATTATAGTGGGTTAGCTCCTCAAAACCCACTAAGACCAAGAATTTATAAAGTATCAGGAAAGAGAAGACCTCAATGTTCGTTCTAGCCCAATCGCTCATCTGATGCTTAACATCCCCTCTTCAACACTCTCATTAAGTTGTGTTTCCGCTTGTACCTGAACACTTCCAGTGACCAGGAAGTCACTACTTACCATGACACCCAGGTAACTTTCATTATTAGCAATGCTAGTCTGTATTTTGAGCTAAAATCTGTTTCCTTGTAGATTCTCCCATTTGGTGGAAACCACTTCCCTGGGACCTTTTGCCATATACTTAGCATTTTACAACCCTTCAAATATTTGCATTCATCGAACAAGCCATGCTCTTGCACATATCATAGTTTTAGCAAATGTAAGTTCTTCTGTGTGAAATGAACTTTGGCCTTCTCCACCTAAAGAATAATCCATTAAAGTCAAGTTTGGTATTATCCCCTGATAGGGTAGGTTACGTGGTGGGAAAAAGCAATCCCCAAATCTGGGCTTCAAACACCAAAAGATTATTTCTCACATGACATGTTCTCACATGACATGTCCACTGTGAGTCAGCAGGAAACTCTGTGGTCACTCAGAGGCCCAGGCTGGCAGAGCAGAGCAGCCACCATCTTGAACTCTGCCAGTCACCTCCAGAGAGAGAAAGCTCTAGGGTGTCTCCCATCAGCAATGTTAATGTACCAGCCCAGAAAAGACACACACCACTTCCTCTCACAATTCATCAGCCAGAACTAGTGCCATGGCCTCACTTAACCAAGACAGGGCTGGAAGATGCAGTCCTGGAAAGCCAGGCCAGAAATATTTGGCAAACGACACTGATGGCCACCCCACCCACTTTGCGTGCCCCTCCCTGCAGCCCCCGGCAGAGTTGCTAGCATCTCCTCCAGCCTTCTCAGAGCAGCTGATGTATTTGTTAGCCATGGTAATTATCACATTGCATTGTCGTTATATTGCTTGTGTTTTCATCTCCTCCATGAAAATGAGAGTTTCTCAAGGACAGGTTAGGGCATAATACATGTTTGATATGTGGATGCATTTGAGAACAGTGACCATCTATCCAGTGTAAAAGCCAAATAACTTACAGGGGTTTACAAGGCTGGGCATGACCTGGCCCCCACTACTTCTCTGACCTTATCTCCCCACAGGGCTCCCTTGTTCATTTGGCCCCAGCCACACTATGTCTCAAATTCACCAGGCCGGCCCCTGCCTTAGAGACTCAAACTCACTGTTCCCTCACTATCTATTCAGCTCACCACCCCACTTCTGTCGGGTGTCCTCTCAGCTGTCAGCTTATCAGAGAAGCCTGTCCTGACCATGCCCTATACAATGTCGACCTGCCCTGTTAACACCCCTGCTCCCTCCATAGCAGTTACCACTTCCTGACACAAACACAAACTCATGTGTGTTGCATTATCACATATTAAATGTCACATAATTTCTATTATATAATACATTATGTATGACATATATAATTGTCTGTGGTATTTATTTATATGCCCAACCCACCCACCCACACACACTTGAATGCAACTTCTATAAAGAAAAAGACCAGCATATAATAGGTACTTAATAAATATCTGTCAAATGAATGAATGATAAATGAATAAATGTACCCCCTGAGTCTTCACATCTTTGGGCCAAAATGCTAAACTTTTCCCTCTCATATTATAGGATTTTGAGTCCCTTCAACATCCCAGGCACCTAGAAGTGATCAATAATCAGTGCAGTAAAGAGTAGAACAACATAGACCCTTGTCTATCTTTTATCCTATATTTTAATTAATAAAACCTACATTTGAATAAGATTTCGGTAGTTACAAAAATCACACCGTTGACCAACTCATAGCAAGTTTAGTTATCGACTAAAGTATTTAGTGTTTTTTTACACATAAAGCTGTACCTTTCCCCCTCTATGTAATTTTGTAGCTGTCACTTTGGACCTAAAAGTGTAGGACCTAACATTTTTCTCTCTTAATTTCCCTGTCACTTGTCTTCCTTTTCGTTGATAATGTCATTTATTCATTCACTTATTTTGAGTGTCAACTATGTGCAAAAAAGCTGTTATGTGCTACGGGGTGTTATGTGATCATTTTCCAATTCCCAGAAGAAAAAGTTATTTAGCAATATCCACATGGATCAGATAAACAAACTTGGATTCAATAAGAAAGATAGCCAAGACCCCGTCTGTGTGTAAATGACTGATAGCAGAGCTGTTTCTGGAGACTTTCAATGATAGGAGGGTAGAAGTGATGCTCAAGAAAGTCACGCCTAGGGATCCTGAAAGTGAGAAGGCGAGTAGAGCTTTGGATGAGAGGCGGCTTTAGGAGCTTACAGTTAGGAGGGCAATTTGATTCCAACATGTCACTCTACCTATCCCCAAGGTTTATTTACCTTGTCTGGAAGTGACCAACAGATCATCATTTCCCACATTGCTCCAAGGATCTCACCCATCTTTGGATAAGGCTGTGTTAAGGATTGGGCTTTTCTGCTGTCCACAAATGGATAACACATTTCATATGTTCCAGTGATTTCAGGGAAGTCCTTGACTAGGGGAAGAACTGGAACAATTATTCCACTTGTCTGCAAACAATATTTATTTATGTTAGTTAATGCCAGGTTCTGGGTGAATATTATACAGATAATAATTCCATTAGCCCTCCAACCTTGTAAGATAAGTACCATTATTATCTCCACTTTATAGATAGGGAAACTGAGGCACAGAGAGCTTAAGTGATCTTCCCACAGCTAGAAAATGAAAGAGCTGAGGCTTGAACCTAAACAGAGACTCTATAGGCTCCAGAGTCTATAGTCTCAACAGCTCTGCTCTGGTCTGCTCCCTGTCCATATTGGAAGCAGGGACAGACTATAGTCTAGTATATAATGCAAGGGCTGAATAATAAGGCATGATTTTATACTAGGCACTAATACAGGTTACTCCTAATAAAATCAACCCTCAGGCATTTTTTTCAGAACTGAAATGGAACAGACCAGTATCTAACTTGAGGATAATGGAGAGGGATTAAATTAGTTGGAGAATGATTTAACCTTTTGCTCACTGAGCATTTTCTCATGAATTCATCTTTCCATCCTTCCAGGGATCTACTTATCCACTTATTCAACAACTATGCACTGAGCACTCTCGCCGTCCTGAAGCGACGGTCACACATTGCAGATAAGACACGGTCTGACCGACAAGGACTTAGCAGTCCAGGTGGGGAGAAGCAGGCAAAGGAAACCCACGGTCTAGCATGGCAAGTGCTGTCAGAAGTGGGGCCTGGAAGAGAGGGACATGAATTCAGCCTGCATTTGGGAGAATAGCAGAGGAGGCAGGAGGGAAAAGATGAGAGACAAATGCTTATGGAGAAAAGAACATTGAATCTGACCCTAGCAAAATTTTCTAATCGCGATATTCCTGGGAAGATCTTAGAAATTACACAGTTTCCATCAAAGACAAGAGAAAATTGAACACTCTTTTCAAGAAAAGCCCTGGGACATAGTAATTGATAACACAGGTTTTGGAGTCAGACCTGCATTCAAATCTTAACCTCTCTTGGAAGAACTTCCTCCATTAGAAGATGGGGCTATTCATAGTGACCCATCATAAGGTTGTCCTGAGGGTCATGTAGACTCCTGTGTGAGGGGCACAGCACAGTCTGTGCTGAGTGCAAATACAGTAAATCCTAGTTGTGACCTTCTTCTCCGACGAATAGTCACACTCACTTGGTCCCTTAGTCCTTAATCTTCTTAGTAGCTCTAACTTTTAGAACCAAGTTTTGTAAATCTCTTTTCTGTTTTGCATAGAGAATACAAAAGGAATAAAATTTCTGTAAAACTGATTTGCATCCCAGTGAGTTTATTGTACTCTATGGTTCTTGGTGACTAGGTAACCAGCAGAGGAGCTAATTCATTATTTTACCAATTTAAACAGGAACTTGGAAGAAAAGCACCTGGTGGTCACAGAGCATGAGGACTATACTGACAAGAAGATTAAAAGAAAGTTCAGCTCACACAGCCCTAGATAATCACAAATGTACCCAAGGTTTATTAACAATCACAATTACCTGGAACTATATTATTTGCCTGGCTGGTTATTCTGAAGACAATTTGTATGGATAGATGAGCTGAGAGGAGCTCATGAAGTTATTTTGAAGTGGCTGGCAGAGTCCCTTTGCAATAAATATCTGGGGAAATAGGAGAGGACACCCAAGGCTCCCTGGTCCAATTTCTCACCTAGAAGTGAAAAGAAACTCTGAGTTCTCCTCAGAGGAACAGCCCATCCACAGGGCCCCAGCCCCCAGCCCTCATGTTTCCTCCAAGAACCATTTGCCCACCATGGGACCAGACCTGTGTGTTCTAGATAAGCCTTTTGAGAAAACAAAATAGTATGCAGAAGCAGTGTCCATTTTCAGGGGTCCAGTCCTTTAAGGAACAAAGTCCTGGGCCTTTATGACATTGGCAGCCACTGTCCCTTCCTGACGCCCCCCCCTTGAAAATCTCTGGCTGCCTACTCCTGAGCTTTGTAGGCTTGTGCAGAGCCATGGTGCCAAGGCATAGGTCTCAGAGGTTGTCTCTTTCCTTGGTTTCCGTTGCAGATTCCCACAACTCCATGCTGTGTGCTGCAGGCTGGTCCTGAACCCAGATCTCTGGCTGAGAGGATGGGGGCAGATGGGGAAACAGTGGTTCTGAAGAACATGCTCATTGGCATCAACCTGATCCTTCTGGGCTCCATGATCAAGCCTTCAGAGTGTCAGCTGGAGGTCACCACAGAAAGGGTCCAGAGACAGTCAGTGGAGGAGGAGGGAGGCATTGCCAACTACAACACATCCAGCAAAGAGCAGCCTGTGGTCTTCAACCACGTGTACAACATTAACGTGCCCTTGGACAACCTCTGCTCCTCAGGGCTAGAGGCCTCTGCTGAGCAGGAGGTGAGTGCAGAAGACGAGACTCTGGCAGAGTACATGGGCCAGACCTCAGACCACGAGAGCCAGGTCACCTTTACACACAGGATCAACTTCCCCAAAAAGGCCTGTCCATGTGCCAGTTCAGCCCAGGTGCTGCAGGAGCTGCTGAGCCGGATCGAGATGCTGGAGAGGGAGGTGTCGGTGCTGCGAGACCAGTGCAACGCCAACTGCTGCCAAGAAAGTGCTGCCACAGGTAGAGTCCGGGAGCTCGCAGCGTGGTCTCAGGAGGGGAAGGAGAGGGCTGAGCAGAGAGGGAGAGTGAACAAGAAGGACCAATGCACTTCCAGCGAAAACGCACTCCCAGCAAAACCCCGGCATCTCTTCACACGGTCAAAGGAAAAAAGTGTCCTAGTCTGTAGCTGCCGGTTAATATGTCTCTAAGATCTAAATGCAGTTCTTCCCCGAGGGATTCAGTTCAGGGATTTTCTACACTGCATAGCCAGTTTGAAATACATTAACCTGATTTTGGGGGGATGAGTCAGGTAATGGTTCATCGGTTCAGCACAGCAACTTCGATGGCGAGCAGGGAATTTGATGTCTGTCTTCTTTCATCTTTGGTTTTCACAGGCTGTTGAATTGATATCTATCCATGTTAACCTGAGGGACTAGAGAATGCAGACGCTCTGTTCACTCAATCGCAGCCTTTCTCCCATCTGAGTAGATGATAGTCATTAAGGTCTCAGAGGACCTATCCCCATCTTCTCCAGTGAGATGGAAGCTTTAGCCCCTGCCCCCTCAAAAAGCACACAGAAGCGTATGCACACACACACACACACACACACACACACACTCTCACACACACATACTCTCTCTCTCACGCATGCACACACGCATGCTCTCACACACAACACACTCACACAACTTAGTGCACCCTCCAAAAGGCTGAAATCTCAGGGGATTTACTTCTAACATTGCCCACCCCCTAATTAGTAACCCTTGTGAGTTACCTTTACCTCTCTGCAAGACATAATTAAGTCTTCAGAGTCAGAATTCCCAAGTTCAGATCCTGGCTCTACTGCTTCCTAGCTGATGACCTAAGCAGTTCCATATCTGTGCCTTCCTTTCCTCATCTACAAATGGTGCTAGACTAGAGCAACAAGAAGTTATTAACAATAAAAGCACCTATTCAGATGTCAGCCTGGCTTCTGTAAGTAACGTATAAGCAACAGCTATTATCGGCTGACGCCAATGAGTGGGAACTGTATCTGTACCCCTTTGTGCACAGGTTTTCTCTCCCAAAAGGTACCTTAGACCCCATGCAATTCAGTTCTTTGATGACAAGAGGCATTTGTCTTGAGTTCAAGCACTCACCTCTATAGGATCCATGATCTCAAGGCTTTCACGGGGATGAAAGCTGGAGGTGGCAGAGTGAAATTTTAACAGAGCCTGGATGGCCCGCAGATGTAGAGGGGTACCTGACACATTCACCCTGAGACACAGCAAGTCTAGAGGCAGTCACTGAGGACTAAAATATTTCATGGGTTCCTTTCACCTCCTTCTCCTCCCAATAACCAACACTATAAATAAAACAATCTGCAGAACAGAAGAGCAAGTCCAGTTCTCCTGTGCTTCAATGACAATGGTCAGGTCAGCTTGTCTTTTCAATGGAGCAGGAGAATAGGGGAAAGTCCTAGGTTTCCATGAGCATGGACTCTGCAGCTCAGGAAGCTGGGGCTTCTATAAGTGAACTTTTTGCCAGCCTTCCACCAGGATCCCTGGCAAACATGGGAAAAATCTGCAAGGAAGAGCTAAGTTAAATAATGTCAGTAAAGTATATTTTCATGGGGGCGGCATGAAGTGGCAGAATTAAACAAGGATGTAACTTACTAGACTTCATATCCTCAAGGCCAAGTGCAAAGAAGGATGCCAGCAGGTACTCCATTTGTATTTGTTTAATACGTTTACTTGAATCATGCTAGGCAGATAAATTAACCACTGTAGTTATCCCACAGTAAGGTCTAGGACAGAGACATGCGTAGAATCCCAGAGGGGTCATAGCAAACAGTAACTAAATGAGAGTGAGGTCCTGGGGAGCCTTTGAAGTAACCATGGAGCTGGGTTTTGATGAATGAGCAGAGTGAGTCAGATGGCAGGCAGGGAGGGAGCGAGACAGGTTTGTAACACATAAGACCTTTCTCTGCACAGTGGACTCAGTGCTCAGCCTATACCTCCTTAGGTCCCTCACAAAATCCCATAGCCAGCACCTGGGCATCCTGGTGAGAAGGCTGTCCTCAGTTTGTTGGAAACTTCTTGGGCTGCCCAGAGAGAGAATGAGGGGCTGGGGGATTCGCATGCCCTCAGGGACATAGACCTTAACCCACAATGAGATGTGACCTGCACTGCCCAGAGCACCCTGCAGAACTGAACCCAAGTGACTCTTCTGGAACTTGGCTTGATAATGCACCTGGGCTTGAGCACGTTCCCTTCCCAACTTTCCACTCTTCCCTACCAGTTTTTTCTGGGAACACCTTCCAATAAATCACTTTTACATGAATCTTTAGCAAAGACCTACTTCTAAGGAATCCATCCTAAGACACCTTAAAGGTCAGCTTCTGGAGGACAAGGGCCCAGATCTCATTCATCTTTGCCCCCAGCCCTGTGCTAGGCACAGACAGCCCATGCTAGGTGAAAATATTTATTAAATTGAATATGTACCAAACTACGTTGAGCTTCACTCTCAGCAACAGAAATCTGGTCAGAGAATGAGTAGAGAGGCCTTTGCCCATCCTTCCCCAGCACCATTGACAGGAGAGGCCACTGCTGCTCTTTGACCTTCTCCTTGACCATTCCAGGACAACTGGACTATATCCCTCACTGCAGTGGCCACGGCAACTTTAGCTTTGAGTCCTGTGGCTGCATCTGCAACGAAGGCTGGTTTGGCAAGAATTGCTCGGAGCCCTACTGCCCGCTGGGTTGCTCCAGCCGGGGGGTGTGTGTGGATGGCCAGTGCATCTGTGACAGCGAGTACAGCGGGGATGACTGTTCCGAACTCCGGTGCCCAACAGACTGCAGCTCCCGGGGGCTCTGCGTGGACGGGGAGTGTGTCTGTGAAGAGCCCTACACTGGCGAGGACTGCAGGGAACTGAGGTGCCCTGGGGACTGTTCGGGGAAGGGGAGATGTGCCAACGGTACCTGTTTATGCGAGGAGGGCTACGTTGGTGAGGACTGCGGCCAGCGGCAGTGTCTGAATGCCTGCAGTGGGCGAGGACAATGTGAGGAGGGGCTCTGCGTCTGTGAAGAGGGCTACCAGGGCCCTGACTGCTCAGCAGGTAGGCAGGGGAACTCTCTGGGGTGTTTGGCAAGGGTGGTCCAGCAAACTAGCTGGATGCCTCCAGTTAGCTTGGGAAGAAAGATGAGTGAGAAAGTGAAGTTTAGGCAAAATAATTCTCAATTGAGTTGTACTCATTTGCTTTCCAAGAGAGCTGAGTTCTTGAGTCTTGATGAGGCAGATTAAAAGGGATAAAGAGTGGAAATAGGAAAAGGTCAAGTTCAGGCTGAGAGCTGGATTGTTACCCCTGAGACTAGGAAAAAGGTAGTGGTAACAATGATGACAACACTTCATTGCCCTTGAGGTGGGGGAGGGTAGACAGTGAAGTCATGGGACCACCTTAGGCAAGGCCATTCTCTAACTCTGAGGGATCCCAAGCGTTCCACCTGCTCAAAATTGTCTCCCTCACCAGTTGCCATATTCCAGGAATGCCTTCCACAATGCTACTGCAAGAGATGGTGGTTGGTCTGTGAGGCTCTCTGATTATCTTGGAGCTTACAGATTGCAAGATGTTATTAATTTATGAAGTGATTCCAGTGGGGCAGAGTGTTTTTAGACAAGGACTTAAATCTAAACAGGAATAAAGTACTAAGGACATTGGGCAACAGCTAACATGCTAACAATTAGTACAGAATATTAAGAGTATGACTCACTTTGTTCCAGATGACTATCTAGCAAATTAGAACCAACCCTATGTATAGTCTACACTGTCAAAGCTGATAGAAGGATGATGTACTAAAATGGGGATCTAAACCCAACAGTGAGAAAAAAAAAAAAAAGTATCTCATTGGGGCTGATTCCCTTTTTTTTTTTTTTTTTTTTTTTTTGAGACGGAGTCTCGCTCTGTCGCCCAGGCCGGATTGCGGACTGCAGTGGCGCAATCTCGGCTCACTGCAAGCTCCGCTTCCCGGGTTCACACCATTCTCCTGCCTCAGCCTCCCGAGTAGCTGGGACTACAGGCGCCCACCACCGCGCCCGGCTAATTTTTTGTATTTTTAGTAGAGACGGGGTTTCACCTTGTTAGCCAGGATGGTCTCGATCTCCTGACCTCATGATCCGCCCGCCTCGGCCTCCCAAAGTGCTGGGATTACAGGCGTGAGCCACCGCGCCCGGCCTGATTCCCTTTTTTATGCAAATCAGATTATGTTTATTATTTCACTATAGCTCATCCTCTTCTGACTAAATCAGTGACTACTGCTCATACATTTGTTTATGTTTTAAACAGTACAGATTAAGTGGTTGGTCTTTTCCATTCAGGGCTCAGAGAGCCCACTGGGATTATTTAAAATAAAAAATAACAACAAACAAACATTTTAAACCTTCTAATGGAGCAATTTTAGGAATTTGCTGATAAGTCATGTGACATCAGTTTAAGGGGGAAAGCCTGGTAAGCCGGATTCACCAGACTTCTGTAAGCCAGAGTTACTCACTCCTACGTGGCAGGCAATGTTCCCGCACATGTAACTTCAACTTAAATTATTTTCAAAAATCAATGGTAATAATGAAAAGAAAAACAACAATAATGCACTGTGCTTAGGGAAAAAAATTTAATGTTCCTTAATTTTTTCCATATCCAATTATTTCATTTAGCCTCCCAATTTTGTTTACTGAATTGAAATATCTTTCTAAAAATATTGTCACCACACCAATTATCCCAAAGTGAAATTCAAGCAGAAGTTAAGCCTTATTGTTTCTGAATCCAAAGTCACTAGGCACCTTCTGGGAAGCCAGGCTGACAAATGGCTCCAGTTTCCATCCAGGGGATGAGGCTCCATGAGACCCCATCTGGAGGACACCCAGGGTCAGTGTGGGCCATCGCTGTGTTAATGCTATTCTGTAGCGCACATGCTTCTTAGTAGACTTACTCTTTGGCGGTCTGGACATACCTGTCATATTCTTGACCCTGCCTTTCTACAGGGATAGGTTCATTTGCAAACAAAATCTTGATCTAATCCAGGACTTACACTGAACCCTCCTGGCTACCTCAGGGAAGACTCAGCAGCTGCTAGCATAGCTACAACTGGGTTGAGTCCAAACTATGAGCACGTTACCTCTGACATGGTACCTCTGTGCTGCTTGAGGAACACTTCAATAGGCCCAGATAAATTACTTTACAGGTTCCCAAAGCATGTGAAGAAGGACAGTTGCATAATCTCCATCTGTTTCTATAGCAACCCTAGAGCCACCACTCATTTGCAGGAGGTCTGCTCTTAAGGCCTGCTTTTTAAACCAAGTGCTACAGGTCTCTTCCAGAGAAGTATCTAGGTCATTATCTAAAGTGCTCCTTTGCTTGCTCTTTGTGAAAAGACTGTAGGAGAAGGGGCTATTTATCCACTGTTTGACGTTCCTGGCCGGGTGCACACACCACAGCACGATGTTCCCATTGCCCATGGGACTGAGGAGAGGAGAGAGAAGGGTTAGGAAGGTGAAAACACTGAGAGCCACAAAATATACTTCGTTATAGGGCATTCTTTTCTCTTTGGCAAGGGCGTAGAAAATAGCTGCCCATTGTGTGGATTGCATTCTGAGGCCCCCTAGGTCTGCAGCACTTAAGCACAATTGAATAGTGTTGCCAAGGTCACTACTTTTGACTCCTAGCCTTGATCTATCCTCATAGTGTGCCAAGGGACAAAATCTCAAGACTTCTGCCTCCATTCTCTGCCCATGTACAGATAATAGAACAAAACATTCATGAATATGAGAACTTAAAACAGGCCTTAGAAAGAAGCTTCTCATTTTACAGATTTAAAAAGCAGCAGTCAGTGAGACAGATTTTCCCAGAGCCAGACAGCTAATTAATGGCGGAGTAAGAAAAAGAATCCTGGTCTCCTACCAGCTTCTAGCACTCTTTTATCTTCTCTGGAATGCAAAGTAGAATAGAATTGAAAAATAAAAATTTTAAAGCCATATACACAAAGAAGTAGCCTTTGATATGAAAGCTGAGCTCCATCACATGATTAAAAAAATGAGACGTCAGAGGTAGGGTGGAAAAGCACATTCAACCATTTGTCCACATCTGTCCCCAGTGATGGTGGTTAGTGCTGGGGCTGGCCAGGGAGCTGGCCAAAACTCCCCCGGAGCCAGCAGGATAAAAGAACCATCAGAACAGGGTCTTGAGACAATCCAGAAAGCTGTTTCCTGGACTTCAGTCAGACCTGCGGAGATTCATCAGTGTCAGCCTCTGCTCTGTCAGGACTGCAGCCAGCCCAACCTTTGGCACCCGAAACCACTTACTCTTTGGAGTAAGACACATCATGGAACTAATTCCAACTGCTCTCACCACATAAGTGCAACATTTATGCAAAATCTAAAGAGGAAACAGCATGGCATCTTTGCAGATAAGCAACCCTGATTCCTCAAGCCACAGTTTATTCCTCTTTAACAGCATGCTCTTCCTCAAGTTTCAAAGTTGACACCCCAAAGAAAGTAAGGCTAAGAATACTTTGCACCCACCGTGAATTCATTGAATTAAGGCATGAGGCTCTTTGATTGTTTGCAGTACAGTTCAATATAATTTTCTTTTATAAGGATTACTGATGCCTAGTGTACATAGTTGCTGCTAATTTAGAGTGAAAGTGGTGGTGGTCTCCTCCATTGAGCCACCATTGTCAAGACCACTTCCACGAGGAATGACGCCAGTTGCTGCTTTCTCATTCAGAAGTGTAGGCAACTTTACCACCAGGCTCAGGCCTCAAGCTAAGTTGCCAAGATTTTTTTAAAAATCCTTCTGCACCTCTTTTTTTTGCTTTAAAATCCCAAAATGCTCTTCTTAGATCACCCTCTATTGTTAATATTAGCTTTGAAGAAGGAAGCAAAAAGGAATACGCTGATTTGTTCCAAATGCCCTAAGAATTGCTGGTGACTTGAAATTTGGAGTGGCCATTTCTGCCACTATGACAGAAGTCCTGCATAGGAAACCTGGAGTTAATGTGTTGAATCACAGGAGACAGGCACTAGAGAACCTGTTTAAAAAGAATTTTCTTACCTGTAGGATGAGCACCAGTCTAGAGATCACACCTATTAAGATCGTCTGAATTATTCCTAATATAGTTTACTTTGGGACACCATGTATAAATGAAAGGAGGCATCTCGCGCAATCTGTAACCTGCTGTCTAAATTGTAGGGGAAAGAATGAAAACTGTAGAACATCAGGGTTTGACAGTCAGTTCTGCTATGACCCACTCTGACTTTTGGCACATCCCTTAACCTGGGATTCAGTTTCCTCATTGGTAAAGCTGGGATAATTATCTCTACATGAACTACCTCATATGACTGCTACTAAATATTTTTTTAAATTCTTGTTAGATGGTATATATGAAAATAGTTTATAGACTGTGAAATGCTATATAAATGTAAAGTGGTATTGTATATTGGCTAAGAAGGTTTATAGTCATTCTGCCTGCATTCTAATCCTAGCTTCTATGTTTGCTGACTGTGTGGCCCAATTTCGTCATCTATAAAATGGTAGTAATAATGATACCTTAATCCCATGGTGTTGGTGAGAGGGTGAATTGAAATAATCTATGTAAAAGTGGTTAGCATTGTACTTGGTACATAATAAGTGCTCAGTATAATCATGCAAAATCCTGACAGGTTCTAAATATCAACTCTTCTTCTCATGGCCTAGGAGTCATTCTGTATGTGTTATATAGGTTGTCCCAAAGGTTTTAGTGAAATTCAAAGCTTTAATAAGGTCAAAACTATAGGTGATACAGTTTATAAAACATCATTTGAAAGCTTATTTAAATTTCGTTTACACTTCTTGAGTTTTATAAATTTTAAACAAAAATTTTTTTTAATTTTTGTTTTGGTCAACATTTGCCATCCTCAAGAAGCTCTGCTTTCTAGACTGTTTTATTCAATGAATGGTTTTAGGCAAAAGTAATTGAAGCAAATGTCCAGCAGTGCATATATATGCTGCTGATTCTATCCTGTGAGTCTTGGATCTGTTAAAGGTCTCCTTGTGTCTCTGTCTTTGCTGAGGATTTGAGGGTGCACATGTGAGTACAATGAGGAGACAGCACTCTCCACTCACAAGGTCCAGCAAAACACAGCTGGCCTCAGCCTACCTGGTTGTAAAGGGGAGGGGTGAGATTACCCAGGGGAGAAATTCAAAACCTATGACAACTCTTAAACTCATCGAAGCCTCCACTACATATAAATTTATAAGTTAATAATGACCATTTAAATATCGGCTTGATCTTTGATTTAATCTATGGGCAGGTCTAATTACAGACACACTGGAGTTAGCCTCTTAGTTAGTCTTAAAGGCTTGATTATTTAATGGCCACAACACTGGTGAATCTTCATTTTCCAAGACGATACACAAAAGTCTATTTCTCTGTGTTTTACCCTTTGGTGACTCCAAGTAGCATTTGAGAAATCAGAAGAAAGTAAAGCAAGGTCCTCAAGAATGTTTTTTTATCATCATCATCTCCAAGATTGAGGCTAATAAAAATTAGTTTAACACAAGCTAGATTTCTTTCAGAACATAAGTGGTCTTTAAAAGGGAAAATTCTACAATAATGGGCTGTTGAGTGTCTTCATCAGGCCGTGGTATCCAGGACTTACTGTTTTGGCTTCTCATAATTTGCAAGATAATCAGGAATGAGTCTTTATTTCCACTTGCCAAATCAGATATTGGCTCCCAGGGTAATCTGATGACGATAACTTATTAAACCACCAAAAATGTTGGCCAGTGGTGTGCTGTTAAATACCTAACAACCTGGCTCCCTAAAGGAAAAAAATTTAAAAGCCCCGTTGTGTAGCATTTGCCAGTTTCCATGATGTAAATACTCTCTCCATGGCCAATTTCAATTACCAACATGACGTCAGTAAACATGGAGCTGGAAACAGATGTGTAGTAGAGTACAATCATAGAATATTTTCACCAGACAGAGCACACATAAATTATCTTAAAGGTACACATAATAGTAAAATGTAGTCAAATAATTTGAGAGTGATAAATTTTGAATATCTATTACCTTTATTTTTAATATAATTTACTTAAGTATTAGGTTATAAAATTGAATCTTTAATAATGGCTGTATTCAACGACAGTCTTGAAACAGTCCTGAAAATTTGACAATCAGCATTTACAAGCCAGTAGGAGCTGGCTCCAGTGCATGTTCATGACCTTATAGAGATTGGGGTACTAAGCACCAAAAAGACAAGAGCCTGCTCACAAAGGAAGTTACAAATCACTTAAAGCCATTGAGCCCAGCAGGACATATAGACATGGCATGGGGGGTGAGATGTGAGGAAGAAAGTTGAGTCCAGGATGGGGAAGGCAATCCTCTGAGCTCATGCTATCTGTGTATTGCCTCCCGGTAGTTGCCCCTCCAGAGGACTTGCGAGTGGCTGGTATCAGCGACAGGTCCATTGAGCTGGAATGGGACGGGCCGATGGCAGTGACGGAATATGTGATCTCTTACCAGCCGACGGCCCTGGGGGGCCTCCAGCTCCAGCAGCGGGTGCCTGGAGATTGGAGTGGTGTCACCATCACGGAGCTGGAGCCAGGTCTCACCTACAACATCAGCGTCTACGCTGTCATTAGCAACATCCTCAGCCTTCCCATCACTGCCAAGGTGGCCACCCGTACGTACCATTTCCCCGTCCTGCTTCATTTTTCTTTTCTCCTACATGAGATCATGGGCATTCATGATAGTAGCGTCTTTTCTTAGTTCTTCAGGGATGCCTGGAATAGTTATTGCCCTTGAGGGGAAGGGCTAGAGATGTGACCCATTTAGAAAGGGTACATCATTAAAAAGGCACTTTCGATTAAGAGAGTTTCCAAATTCAGGCAGCTTTCATAAATTATAGAACCAAAAGGACAAAAAGTACTTTAATTATGGAGTACTGGCTTGTTATAAGCTAGACTCTGACTAGAAGTCAAGGAAAGTGTAAGACATCTACAGACTTTGAATCAGTTAGGGATCCAAAACAAGGAGATATGAACTAGGACCTCTAAGAAGCAAGTGCTAAATGGTGTGTTCTCGACCATAAGTGTATAGCAAAGTGAGAAAAAAATCTTATTTAAAACCACAGCTGACAACATCCCCTTCTCCTGATAGAGAGGTGGCATAATTTCCTCCTGGTCTTTTGTTTAGTGAAATATCTTAATAGTTCATTTTAGTTATAAAAGTTGAAGCCCTAGAGCATAATTTAGAAGGATTCACAGGGAAGAAAGAGAGAGATGGAGACAGAAAGCAATCTAAACTGCTCTCCATAAGAAATGAACAGTTTTTTTTATACATAAAGGGAAACTTCTGTGGGTGTGTACCTATATTTTGTGTATGTTCAAGCATAGAAAAATATAAAAGATTACATAACAATTATTAACACTGACTACATCACAGAGTAGAATAAGAAGGAGATAGGAAATAATTATTATATTTTTCTTTATACCCCTCTGAATTCTTAAATTGATACAATAAGCCTGTTTTAGTTTAGAATTTCAAAAGCCAGGCAGAATAATTTAGGCAAGAGAAGTTCTCATCACCCCAAGTCTACTGCAAAACCTGCATGCACACAAATGCCTCTGTGCCTTATGTGGAAAGTCTTTGGAGAGATCATGAAAAAGGGGCTGTATCTGATTAAAATCTGGGAAGAGAGAAGAGAACATTCAAAGGAGATGAGGTATGAGTGATACAGAGATTTTTAGCAATACCAAGAAAGTGGAACAAGAAGTAACCATGAAAACATAAGCCCTCTAGAATTCAGAAAGCCCCCGGGCCAGTAAATAGGACTTACCACCAGATAAGGGGTAAGAGATCTGAGCCCATTTTGTGTAGGTAGATGGTATTCAGGTAACAAATGCCACGAAAGTTCAGAAAAGGAAAAGGTCAAGGTAGAAAGATTTAGCCTTGAAATCTTCATGGAAGCTCCAGGACTGAATTGACCTTTGAAGGATGCAAGGATAGAGACAGGCAGAGGGGAAGGAATTTAAGAAGTCATCTTGTCCCCTTGCTTTTCAGGTGACAGAAATTCTGCTATAATTTTGGACTCCGCTATGAGAAGAGTGCTGACTCTGTTAATATGCCTATAATTATCTCTGTTTATATTTGACCTTTTTTTAAAAAAAAAATCCTCTGGTGCCTGAGAACTGGTTTTAAATATCTGCAATGATTGTGCAGAGAGGCAGGTCACCATCTGCCGCTTTTCCCACCTTGCTCCGGGATGAGTCACCACCCTAAGTGCCTGGCCTAACTCCCAAGCGTCTCCTCTCTGATCCACATGCATGCACAGTGATGAGGTTTCCATCTCCTGTGGCATTTATTATGCCAATTCAGGGCATTCCCTCAGGCAAGCTCCCAGGTGACAAGGACAAAATCATGTAAACCACCTGACACAACTTCAAGTGGGCTTGCAGTCAGCCCTGCCTTCCAACCAAGAAGCATGAGAACTCTTCCAAACAGGAAGGATGAGAAAATCTGTCCTTTTTCCAATGGGAATAGCCCATGAGAGGCAAAGCTAAAATGGGAGCAGGCTTCCTGGAGAACTGAGAAAAGTCATGCTGTCATATTTCAGGGCTGATAATTGAAACTCCATTAGGACAAGCACACTTCCATCTCACAAAACCTGTGCATGTGTATGTGACTGTGTGGTTGGGGGAGAAGGGGTGGTGGGAGGAAAAGAGGGAGATACATGAAATGAAAAATTCAGACCATCCTAGACTTAGTGATTTGAGCTAAACAAAATACTCTCAATGTGCATCAGATGATCAAGGAAATCACTCTAGTATTAATTCTGAAACTGGTTTGCTCCACAACTTTAGCCAGCTTTCTCTGTGCCTCTCTTTTCCTGTGTGCAAAATGAGAACACTGATAGAAGCCATCATAGTACCTCCCGGGAGTCCTGTAAAGCTTCTAAAGATACTGCTCAAGTCCTCTGAAAAAGGCACTGTACTATATATGATATGCCAAGATCTACCACATTAGTAAGAAAAGAAAAATGATGTCTGCATTTTAATAGTAACCTATTAATGCAATAAAAAGCATTAAAAATTGTTTATATAGATTGTGTTTAAGTTAACTCATGTATTCCATCAACATCGAGCACTAGAGCCACATGGGGTGGGTTGATTCTGCACCTGGGACTCACTGTGTCTGGAGCAAGATTGGGATTGTCCACCAGACACCACCACGCCCATGGCGTGGAGGGAGTTCACCAAGACAAAGCACCAGGCAATGCTGTCTGTCCCAAGGGTTAGCCATGACATTGTCACCTACATTGCTGTGTTCCAGATCTCTCCACTCCTCAAGGGCTACAATTTAAGACGATCACAGAGACCACCGTGGAGGTGCAGTGGGAGCCCTTCTCATTTTCCTTCGATGGGTGGGAAATCAGCTTCATTCCAAAGGTAACACTCACCTGTTACACTGCCAAACAGACTTATTTGGAATATTTGTACCTTTAGCTTGGAATCAGGGGCAGCAAGGAAAGTGCTACCCAATATCTCTCTCCATGCCATTAAAGACACAAAATGGCATGTTGTGGGTGTCTGGGATATAGAACATTTCTGTGACAAATATGTGGTAACGACCTGCTGACAAGAGTAGCCCTGAGCATGGCACCCTGGCCTTGCAGAACAGAGGATGTGGGAAGCAGCCACCAGCTCCAGCTCTCTGCTGAGATAACTCTGGGGTCTGATGAGCCATAGTTTTGGTGAGCATGAAAACCAGACCCTGAAAAAATTGAGGCTTCTCTTTAGGACATAAGAAAAGCCAGGCTGAATCCATCACATAATCAGCCAAAAGCTTCATTCTGTGCAGACAGATGCACCACAGAAAAGTCAGCTTGCATGGCATCAATCCCTAAAGGTTACAGACATAAAACAAAACACCTTGGCTCTCCTGGATTATTCATAATACATTTGTATCCTATTAATTTAGCAACTTTTTTATTAGTCTATGACTTTTAAAGTATCCTAAGATTCCTTTCTACTCTCTAAAGCAGTATTTTATTTATTTTCTTAATTCTAAAACTAACTTTTCCGAATTGCCACAGGTGTATGCCTGGCTCTAAATTTCCAGAATTTGTTGACCCTACCAATGTCCTCCCTAACTGTACCACTCATGAGGATATAAAGTTCAATTATACTCCTTCCCTCTGTCTTTATTCTTCAACATCAAAGAACATTTTTTAGCCATTCATCAGACTTAATGACAAATGACACATTTTTGGCTAACAAGACCATGATTTCACCATTCTTTTACTTCAAAATTCTTAGAGCTGTGAACTGTTGGAGTTACAAAAGACCTTCAAGTTCACAGGTACGACCCCTCATTTTACATCTAGTTTAGTTTAATTTATAGACACTACGATTCAGAAAACTTGAAGGACATCATACAGCTAGTTGGTGACAGGCTTAAAACGAGTACCTGGGTCCCCACCACCTATCCCGGGGCTCTGTTCACTAAATCTGTATGCCCCATTTTCTTATTTACAGTCATATTATAGTCACATCACAGCAAGGTAAATAAATCTAAACAGACATCTATACAAATGTGTCCTATTTGAGTTAAAATGATAAATAAAATGTGGCAATTGAGTTACATAACAATTGAAACGATCATGTCAATTGGAATGGAACATTGCTACCAATGTTTTTCAGGAAGAAAAATTACGCCAGGTTCTCCTGTTACCTATACCCAATATGTAAAACTCTAATTAAAAGAGAGGCTGACCAGGGAATGCCAAGGTCAAATGCATGGCCACATGGTTTAATAACTGTTGTGATCTGTAGGTTGAGGCCACTGGGGAGCATTCATCACACTGATTTATAAGAGTATGACTGTAAATTACATATAAGGCACCCTGGGTACCATAAATAGAGGCCAAAGAATAGGGGAGAATGGCAGTGCCCTCCAAAAGAGGCCCTCTTGTCTCCTCCATTTCTAAGGACACTCATAGAAAGTATATGGAGGGAAAGAGAGAGAGGGAACGATAAGATAGAAAGATAGATAATAAATCCTAGATTCAATTTCGTCAAGTTACTCTTTCTCATTCCCTCTCCCTCTTGTCTCCTTCTTCTCTTCTTTGTATTATCTTTTTCCAAGCTTCCTTTTTCCTTTCTTTGTACTTCATATGTGGTTGTGTCACTGAGTCCTAATTCATCTGGGTGAAGGGGAAACAAGACATCGACAGATTCACACCGAATGTAGCACCATGAGAAACTCCAGATATAGCAAAATATTAGCTCTGGCTCATAAACAATTATCTCATAGCAATGTCTTAGTTTGAAATGTGTTGTGTGTGTATATAAAGATGTTTACACACAAACACACATGACTATCCTCTCCTAAATAGCCGGGGGCATGTTCATTACGATAAATGCCAAAAACCTCTGATGAATGTTAACCGCAACCATCAAACATTTGATCTTTGGCAAGAGCCAATCTGCACCACCTCATCACTAATTTTTATTGGCAAACTCAGCAAACTCAGGAGTGGCCAAAGAAATGTTCTTAAAAATTGATCCTCCATTTGCCAAATCCTCATAGGGTGGTGTCATTCTTATGGAGTCTATGGGGAGTTATTTCTGGCCCCAGATACTCAGCTGTCAGCATGGAGGAAAGAGACATCGCCCCCATTTTAAATTCACAATCCACAATTAGTATTCCACACCTTTATCTTTCTCTCATCAGATTTCTCTCCCAGTGACTTTTCTCTTTTGCTCTCTGCTTCTCCCCACTGTCCAGAACAATGAAGGGGGAGTGATTGCTCAGGTCCCCAGCGATGTTACGTCCTTTAACCAGACAGGACTAAAGCCTGGGGAGGAATACATTGTCAATGTGGTGGCTCTGAAAGAACAGGCCCGCAGCCCCCCTACCTCGGCCAGCGTCTCCACAGGTGAGTGCCTCCAACCCTTCTCCCTAGAGCTGCCTACTAGGTCACTTGGAAAAGAACCACAGAATTGCCCAAGGAGTGGAGAGACAACAGAGGTGCTAGAATTTCTCCTAGAGCTGGGACAATTCTGGTACCTGGCAATGGAGCTACTCTACCAGATGCTTAGCTCATCATCTTCCCTATTACTCATCCTTACAAATACTGTCATCTGGGAGAGTGTTTCATGGAGACAATTCTTTTTTAATATTTCCATTGTATTTATGCTGATCTTACTCATGAAGAACACTCATTTGTCAGCCTCTGGTGTCAATGATCTTTGGAAGCAGCAAGAGCTGACTCATTCTTACCTATGATGATATTTGGAGAAAGTCATCTGAACCTTCCCAAACTTCAATTTATTTTACAAGATAAGCAAGAATAATTTATGATAAACAAGAATACCTTCTTCATTAAGTTAATATGAGGATGGGATTAGATAAAGCACACAAAGCAATCAGCTCTGTGCTGATGAGAGTGAGTGCTCAATACTTGGTATACGCACATATACTCAGAACATACTCAGAAGTGAAAGTGGTAGGAAACAAGTCATTCAAAAATAAGTAGGTATGGGTTGGGTCACTGTTCAAGGTGATGGCTTAAGTCTATTATTATTTCATCCCACAGATCACCTCATTCAAGATTATTATATTTCCAGGATTGATTCATTAATTGTCATATTTTGCCTTATTGTATCCTCAGCTAACAAAGAGTGTTCAACTTCAATGCTGTAAATTAGCTATTGTGATGTATAAATGTGTGTGTGTCCTCACCAAGAATGTCTCGAAAGTTATAAATAGCATCTGGCATAAGTTTTGGTTCTCATTTTATTGTTGATGGAGCTGAAACTCAGAGGCTAAGCAACTTTCTCTGTCAGTAACAGAAATTGAGATAGGTGACTATTGGTACAGCTTTATGTGTTTTTCATAAACAGAAATTGATGTACCAGAAAGCCAGTTTTAAGTCCAGGACAAAAGGCTGAGTTGACCAGAGATGAGAACCACAACACAATGTAATGAGACCACATTTATAGATTAGTGATTCATGCTCTGCTACTGAATCCAAACCAAACAGCATCAGGTGCCAAGGCTTAAGCTCAGTTTAGAAAACGTTGGTTCAGAACTATTGTGGCAGTAGCTTGTGTTCCATTAGTGCACCAAGGTTCTATGGCAGTGCCTTGAGGCTAGAATCCAGTGGAAAGCCAGACCTCTAATTACTCCCTCTTTCATGCCTCCAACCAGGACAGCTCCACTTTGATCTGTTTTATATTTTGTACATCCATTTAAGATTTTTGTCCTTTAAAAAATAAGTTTACCACCCAAAAAGCTTTCAAACCATGGTTCTGCTCTAAATAGTATGTTTTAGAAGAAACCCCATAACCATAAAAGCTACAGTGCTCTGTAGGAATCCCTCCAGAAGGCCGGTGGCTGAGGTTTTCCACAGCTCCAAGGTTATGCTGTAACCTGAAGAGTTGACATTCGATAACTTGGGGGCAGAAAGGTGTGATGCCCTTGCTCACCCATCATATAAGCATCACAACAACACTGCTATCACAAAAGACAGGTTAACAAGAGAAAGCGTAACAAATTTATTTAATCAAAGTTTCACATGACAAAGGAGCCTTCAGAAATGAAGACCCAAAGACCTGGGGGAAATTGTCTGTTTTTACGCTTAGGTTTGAGGAATAATGGACAGCCATGTAGAAACGTAATTGGACAAATGGCTATGATCTAATGGTAATAGTCTAAGGGGGAGACCCAGCAAGGCCTGTCTGCCCAGATTCTTCTTGGCCTCTCTGTGAAGCATTTCTTCTCCACCTCCTCTGTGGGACAAGACCTCACTGGAATGAGGGTCCTCAAGGGAGAAGGGAGGAGGGAAAAAGTTACCTTTCTAGGTTTTATGGCTTGCTTTGAGGAAAAGGAGTTCTAGTTTCTATTACCTGCCCTGAGGAAGAGGAATTCTGATTTCTGTGAATCACTTCAAAGGGAGAAGAAGGGTCAGGAGATGGGAGGACTGCAGATGGTCAGAAAGACCTTGCTTGCTTCCGGGGCTGTTTCTGAGGCTCTTTCATTCCTCTTTAATTCAAAGTACTCAGCACACCAAGGTGCCAAATTTTGGAGTGTCTGTGATGAGCCCAACAATAGCAGGTGCAGCTTCTCCTCTTCTGATATGAAATGTTACAAGGTGCCCAAGTTATTCCTGTGATTTGATATTAAGAAAGTATTAGTAAAAGACAAAAGGCTAAAAGGAGAAGATGGTTCATAAGAGGATAGAAAACATTGCAGTTGAAGAATATTTTTCTCCTAGAATATTGACAGAACATGGAGAAGGTAGTCCAACTTTGTCTTATAGTCAAACCACATTCTTATAACATTTGCAGTATTTTTTGGTTTGGCAGTTCCTTAAGTTTAAAATTAAAATTCCAGATCTAGAAATTTGTGGTAAAGCTAGGCAGAATTATTTTCATTTAAGAAAAAATGTCCTTAATATTTTGGCATCATCTACAGAGTCATGAAGAAATGGAAAGACATTTATTCCAGTTTACTTTTTGAGCAGGGATTGTGTTTGTTTAGAAATTAGGACCAAAGCTGAAAGCAAGTTGATACCTCCTTGATTGGAATGGAACATTGCTACCAAGTGGCCAACAAAGGGCAGAATCCAAGAGTGGCTACAAAATAGACGGTTGGCTCCCAATCCTGTGTGCTGTTTTTAGGAAACGATTGTTTAATTATTTCCTTCTGCTAAGGTCTGACCTACACCAACCCCCTACTGCGAAGCTCTGTGTCCTCATCAGGCACTCAGGCTGCCTTCTTCTAGGCAGGCCATTTTGTGAATGCAAATTACAAGACCTCCCACAGCTAAAACCCTCTGCGCTACATAATCACATTTTAATATGTTCAATCCATTATGATTCGGGTTTTCTGGATTTAAAGAGTTGAAGGACAAAAGCTTTTTGTGGTCAGTTGCATTTCCCTGACACTTTTTTTTTTTTCCAAAAAGCTCCAGTTTATTGAAATGCTTCCCCTTCTTTCTCATGGATAAAGAAGATTTTCCATTCATTTCATTTACTCGACACACATTTACTGAGTGTCTACTATGCTTCAGATATCATGCTTACACAGCAACTAGGAGGCCACTTCCCCCATTTCATAATTAATTTAAATTAAATGTGAAAGGCCTAAGTTATCTAAAACCACCAAGTGCAGCATGCTGAAAAGAAACTGGATATATTCTGTTAAATCACATTACTACCTCAAATATGAAAACCAGGACTTCATTTTAAGTCCAAACCAGGTGGCACCCAAGTGGTCTGGTGATTTTCATTTTAGCTGGTGCTGGACCAAAAGCCCTAAGCAGCTTAAGAGAGGACAGGACTAGGCTAAGACCCGGAAAGAGGGAGGGGTACCCAGGGAAAGGCTCAACCTTGAAAAACTGAAAGCCTCAAGGTCAGCCTAAGACGGCCCTGAGGGAGAAACTTCATTCTGGAGACAGAGTAGGAGGTGGGCCAGAGTGGACTGGTTAGAAACAAGTCTTAGCCAAGGCTCTCCAGTAACAAGGAAGAGAGACTTACTTAAACTAGCTGAAGCAAAAGAGAGAATTTACTGGAAGGACATAGAGTGCCTCATGGGAATCCCAGGACCAGAAATGCATCTGGGCCTCACAAAAGACTTGCACCAGAAAATGGAACATCAGGAATCAAGTTATTCCATATATCTTTCTAGAAGCTCTGCATGGCCACTGGTTTCTCTCTCCCTCTTTCCTTTTCTCCCTCTTTCCCCTTTTCTCCAGATCAAATGTTTTCTATATCAGTATCAGAATGGTAGAAAATGGCCACACCAGCCCTGGCTCTGCACGGTCCAACACAGGCTAATTAGAGAACCAGAGTTCTGGTTTTAGTTCCAAATCCTTAAAGAATATTAACATTAATAATCAGCTCCAGCCAGAAGGGTGTAGCCCCAATAATAAATGAAAACATGGAGGCAAGAGCATGTTGGCCATGCAGACATCCCATGAGAAGTTGAGAAGACCATTTCCTATTCTCCTCACTTGGCTGTTTCTTTTTCTTTCTTCTTCTACATTCCCTCACCTCCCCATTATCTAATTCAGTATGAACAGAACCTCAAGTGGGTGCTGGAGCCACAGCTGGTGGGCCCTGCAGGAAATCAACCAGCTTTCCAGGTGTTGCCCTGACCTGCACAGTGCCAGGGGCCAGGGCTTATGAGGGAAATACACTAGAGAACCTGGAAGAGGTGACTGCAATGTCCTTCTGCTGTAGAAATATGCAAGAACAGATGGAGAAAAATGACCCGTAAGAGGCTGTTCCGAAGCTGGGGTCCTTTTTATCCTTTTATCCAGAGAAGCAAGTTTACCCAGAAGGCATGTTTCATGTCCTCATATGCAAATGTCTGTTGGTTTTTAAATGGTCTTAGCAACTGTGTTGACTGTGCTGTTAGAGTGGCTGAGCAGGGACATCTTTTGAATACTCATGATGACCTCTTTGGCAACCAATCTGGAAGTCTTGGATGTTTAGGTGGGCTGGTCATTTCCTAGGTCTTTCCTCAGGGCTCAAAGAGGTGAGAGCTGAGTGGCAGACACACGCCAGAAACCCAGTTCTCAATTCCCTGTCCCATGACCTCCAGAAAGAAACAGGGCTGACTCTTTCAAGCCAGCAAGTGCCCTTCCCCTGCCCAGACTGGGAAGTGCCATCACCTGGAAACTACAGCCTGGTAAAAGAGCAGTTAGACCAAAATTCAGGGGAATCAAGGCAAACTACATGTCCTCAGGAAAGATATTCATCTTACTGTGTCTCATTTTCCTCATCTGTAAAATGCAGTAACAATACCCATCCTCTCTCTGACTCACCAGACTTCCATAAGGAGGAAAAGAGAGAGCTGACACCCAAGGCTTATTTCTCATTCAAACTTTTTGTTCTGTTTGATCCTTCTCACTCAGTCATTGACGGCCCCACGCAGATCCTGGTTCGCGATGTCTCGGACACTGTGGCTTTTGTGGAGTGGATTCCCCCTCGAGCCAAAGTCGATTTCATTCTTTTGAAATATGGCCTGGTGGGCGGGGAAGGTGGGAGGACCACCTTCCGGCTGCAGCCTCCCCTGAGCCAATACTCAGTGCAGGCCCTGCGGCCTGGCTCCCGATACGAGGTGTCAGTCAGTGCCGTCCGAGGGACCAACGAGAGCGATTCTGCCACCACTCAGTTCACAACAGGTAAGGCTGCGGTGGGGGAGAGACGCACAAGGAGGGAAAGAGGGGTGGAGCCAACCGGTGGTGTCATCACAGCAAGAGGAGTATTAGGAATGAGGCAAGGTGTGTCAGAGCATTGGCCTTGTCATAGACACCGCGAGAAGGAAGCAAGAGGTTTCCAGCATACAGGAAAAGCAGCGCTCCCTCACTAGGAGAGGAAAACTAGCTTCTCATCCTACCTCTACTGGCAACCAGATCTGTGCTTGATATAAATCCTTCCCCACTATGGGCCTCAGGTTTCCCGTTTGTAAAATGACAAGTTTGCCTTGAACACATGTAAGCATCCATATCGCTAGTCCAAATGGAAATTTTGTGAGAATTCAGGAAAGGTGTCTCTTTCTCAAGACACATTCTTACCATTTGCTGGAAATTATCATAATAATTCTATAAACCTACGATGACTACACCACCATGATGATGTGCATTGGCATTATGCTAAGCCCAGCCTGTACAACTCTAAGCAGAACTTCTGACCAATTCTGTGACTCACCTTGCCGTTTGTAAGCACTAGCAGTAAGGCTAATATGAGGCTGACTCCCACAGACAGGAAGTTCATAAAGCCCATATAAAACCTGCCTTGCTTTGATTACCACCCACCCCCACATTCTCAAGGCCATTGGGACTCTTAAAGAGCTTTGCCAACAGTTGGGAAAGGCCAGACCTCGGGGTGACTTGCTCCCTGACTCTCTCAGTGCCCATCAGTCTGGCCAGCTAGTGGGCTAGTAGGACAGGCACCATCCAAAGGACAGGCTTTCTGGCACCCTCAATTGGGTCAATAAGGGCCTGTGATCAGATTAGTGATTGTGTCTGTCTTCTGGATTCTCAGTCTCATCCTCTTTGCCTTGGGGTGGTCACATGTCAAATAATATCTCTGCCAACTCCAAGTTGACCCAGGGATCAATGAAAACTGATAACATCTGTAAGATCTAAGAACCAGCATCTTCAGATGGGATAAAGTTGGAGAATCACTAATTCAAGAATTCTACCTTAGACTGTGGCATAAGAGCCTGCTACAGAATGGAATGAGTCCAGGGTTTTCAAGAAGATTCAATAAATAAATAACACCCCTGTGTTCCGCTGGGTTTAAAATCAATTGATAAATAAGGGAAAAAGTGAAACAGATGGACACCAAAATGTCCCCTAGATTGCAGCATGTAACTTAGTGTCATGGCCAGATGGGTTTGCAAACTGGATGGCCACTGTGGACCTAGGCAAGTCTCTCCATATGGCAGAAATTGGGAGACTATCCAGGTTAGGACTTAGAGCATAGAGGAACAAGTAGGTGCCTGAACCCTCGGAACAGCCTGTCCCACGAGAGAGGGGAACAGAAGGGCAATGCCCAGGCCTTGCTGCAAAACTCACCATTTAGGTAAGCTCATTTTCTCCAGCAAAAGAGAGACAAGAGCCTTAGGAAGGAAACATCAAGGGCAGGGAAAAGCTTCCCCCTTAAAAAGGAGCAAGTACAGACACTGACAAAATGGAGAAGGCAAAGTTTATTTCTGAAAAATACTCTTTTAGGTTTTCTCTGTAGTGCCTGGGCCAGATGCCACCCTGTCACCCAGGGGGTGCCCAGTGGGATTTTTACTGAACATATCTTGGAATCCGGAGTGACCGAATGTGCATCTTGAAACAATGAACTAAATTCTGCCCATTTCTCTTCCCTTCTGCTTCCTCATTTAGCCAAAGATGCTCACGTCCCTTCTTGGTTAATTCTAGGTCAGCTTCTCATTTCCCACCCCCACAATACCACTTGCTCCGGGGTGTGGTATCTTCTGTGGACAATGAGTCCTGCATCCTTTTCTTAATTTCAAGATAGTTTTGTTTGAAAAGTGGTTTCTTTGTGCTCTGCTCTGATAAGAAGTTTGAAGCGGCAAAAAGGAGAGGAGAGCTCTTGAGCAGCATGATGGAAAACAAATTCTTGGTGTTCAGGTCGACAAGATGGAAGCAGGATTGGCTGGTGGCCCAGGAAAATTCTGATCAAGACAATTACATTCTGCCTCCTAGGAGCTCCCCATGAGTTTCAGTTCATTGCTACATGGCTTTCTGTTTCCAGTTGCCTGGTGGATTGGCAGCTGTCAGGCGGCTGACTTCTCAATACAGCCTCAGCCTACACCTCAAATATGCTCCCCTCTGCTGGAGGAGGGTGAGGGGAAAGAAGGGATGAGGAGATGCAAACAGCACTGCAGACAGATTCTCCAGGCCTGGGTTGGCAGGTGCCAGTTAAATGATGAGAGGGTACCCAGACCCTCATGATGAGGCCCTCAGTCATTTCAGAGCTCCGCTTAAATTCAAATTAACCAAAGTGCTTTTCCAGGTGATGGCTCCGACACTAGGAGTGCACTAATTGCACAGGCAATTAAAGCAGAGATTTGCTTCCTGCATGGTGAGTGGATATTTGCTTGGGTCTTAGAGCTGTTCTGAAAAGGAAAGAACCCTGAACAAAGTGCACCATGGCCGGTGATTGGAGAGAAGCCAGCCTAGAAAACCCAGAGGCCAATCTCCAAAACCCCTCCCTGCCCTCAGCAGCTCTGGTTTCAGTTGCCCTCAGGAGGGAACTCCTGGCACCATTTCTCTCCTCTGGAGGCCTTCTCTTTAAGCAGATCCCTCAATGTTCCAAGCACAGTCACCAGGGCATCTGGTCAACCAGAGGCTGCTGTTTTGACCTGAATACTCCAGATTTCTCTTTATTGCTATTATAGGTTGAATTGTGCTCCTTAAAAAGACGTTGAAGTCCTGATCCTGATGCCTGTGAATGTGACCTTATTTGGATATAGAGTTTTTGCAGATCATCAGTTATCATGAGGTCATTAGAGTGGGCCCTAAGCCAATATGACTGTGTCCTTATAGAAAGGGGAAATTTGGGCACAGAGACAGACATGCCCACAAGAAGAACACCATAGTGAAGATGAAGGCCGAGATCGGAATGATTCTTGATTCTTCCAGAAGCCAAGAAACGCCAAAGATCACCAGCAAATCACTAGCAGCTAGGAGAGGCATGCAACAGATTCTCACTCACAGCCCTCAGAAGGAAGCAGCCCTACTGACACCTGTACCTTGAGTCTGTGAGACAATAATTTTTCTTTTTTTTTTTTTTTGAGATGGAGTCTCACTCTGTCACCCAGTCTGGAGTGCAGTGGCATGGTCTCAGCTCACTGCAACCTCCGCCTCCCAGGTTCAAGCGATTGTCCTGCCTCAAGCCTCCCAAGTAGCTAGGACTACAGGCACCTGCCACCATGCCCAGCTACTTTTTGGATTTTTAGTAGAGATGAGGTTTCACCATGTTAGCCAGGATGGTCTCGATCTCCTGACCTCATGATCTGCCCGCCTCGGCCTCCCTGTGTGCTGGGATTACAGGAGTGAGCCACCGTGCCCAGAGAGACAATAATTTATATTATTTAAGACACCCAGTTGGTGGTACCTTGTTATGGCAGCCCTGGGAAACTAATAGGAACTTCCAAGTCCCAACAGTTCAAGCCCCTAGCTGCTTGGCAGTGATGCCGCTCTAGGACTCTTCAGGAAATTCTTTCACAATTTCAACCTGGATGATACTTGCACCTCAGCCAAGAATCTGGCTGCAAAGAGCAGGGTAGGACTTCCTGCTCATACAAGACCAGCACCCTCAGTCAAAGCTATCCTTTTTTCTGCACCTTCTCACCCCAAGCATTCTCAATGCTCCACAGCTGAAATATTTAACAAGACTTTTCTACAACTTGATGTGTGCTTATCGAACACCTACCAGGTGCCAAGCACTATTCTAGGCACTGAGGCTACAGAATAAACAGATAGACAAGATCCTGGTTCACATTAATTACATTCCAGTGGAGAAACTGGACAAGGCAGAAGAAAATAAACACCCAAAATTATTTTGATTATGAGTACTATAATGAAAAGCGAAATAAACGGTACAGAAGCGTGGCCATGTTGGATCAAGCGGTTTGAAAAGGCCTCTCTGAAAAGGTAACGTTTTAACTGAGACCTAGATGACCTAAGCCATGTGAGGATCTGGAGAACATTCCAGGCAAAGGCAGAAGCCAGTGCAAAGGTCCTGAGGTATGAATAAGCTTGATGAGTTTCAAGAGCAGAAAAAAAGCAATATAGCTAGAGCGCAATGAATAAGTTTAGAAGTCGTACATGGAGATATCTGAGAAGCAGGCAGGGCCGGATCACTCAGAGCCCTGCTGGCTACAATTAGGAGTTTGTAAAAGGAAGCAACAGAAAAGTTTTAAGCAAGGGAATTACTTAATCTAATTTATGTTTTAGTGGCTAGATATGTCTATTCCATAGTCTCAAGTCTCTCCACACAGCCTCCACTAGACATCTGTCTTTGCCTCGCTCTTGACTTGCTGACGTTGCAGGGAACAGCTCCCACCTACAGGGGTGCCCTTGGTGGCCCCAGTCTCCTAGAGGTCAGACTTCAAGGCCAGAGGGAGCAAACAATTTCACCTTGTCCTAGCTCTAACAACCACCTTTCCAGACCTCATTCTCAGGATTGACTTCTTTCAGGATCATTGACATTGGAGGTATCTGGTCCCTTCAGAGACAACACTTCCCCTTAATCTACAGACCACAACCCCTATGATCAAAAATACAAAACAACAACAACAACAACAAAAACCATAGTTTAACATTTCCAAGGCCTGGGTTTTTAGTTGTGAAGAGCACTAGGTAGAAGTCTCAACCTTAACCCTAAACCTAAATTAATTTTGCCCCAGTTCAGTTCTAGCTGCACACCCCAAGCCCAGTCCAGTCCCTTTGCCCAGCTTCTCCTCATGCATGAAATTTAGGGGCAACAATGCAGGGGCAGGTGTTCCTCCACATGCCTCTCTATCCAAGCTCCTCTCTCCATCCAACTGCTGGAGAAATAACACACATAACACGTCAAGAATACATAGTATCTGGCAAGCTAAAGTACAGTGAGTGAGGAAGAATTTCTCAGGAAAACAAGCTGCAGAGCCATAAATCTGCTAAAAGATTCACCCAATTTACATCGCTAAACAGAACACTTCTCACTCCAAAGCCTCTGCGCTCACATTGATTCACGGCATTTCAGTCTTCCACAAGAACAATTGGTGGAAACTTGCCTTGCTTTTGCATATTAAAACAGTCCACTCGAGGTTTTCTCACAATGAATGGCTAGTTCACTCCAAAGTTAAATTCAAGTGTCAAAGGCAAGAACTATTTTAAACGTTTTAAGTGACAGTTGTTCCGGGCAGCACGTTATTGCACTGCAAGTTGTTTATGCTGTTTCTGCCCAAAGCAGCTTGAGGAGATAGCCAGTCCTGGGAGAAAAAAAGCAGTGTCCCCGTCGTCTCTTTGTGGCAACTGCAGAGAACAAGCATTGTGGTTGATGGAACTCAGGAAAAGCTTCAGAGGCAACAGGAAGCCAGCCCAGGCCTTGGGCACCTTTTTTTTTTTTTTTCCTTTGGAGACAGAGTCTCACTCTGTGGCCCAGGCTGGAGTGCAGTGGTGTGATCTCGGCTCGCTGCAAGCTCCGCCTCCCGGGTTCACACCATTCTCCTGCCTCAGCCTCCCAAGTAGCTGAGACTACAGGCGCTGGGCACCTATTTTTGTACAGATGCCCATGGATTGCCTAATCCATGCAACAACCTGAAAATGTTGGTATGATTTGCCCCTTTTACAGAGGTGCCATCAAGGCCAAGCAGGGTTAAAAGACTTGCTCATGGTTCCATTACCAAAGATGTCAGAGCTGGGGATCAAACGGAAGCCTGACTCCAAAGCCTATATTATTTCTGCTACATCACATCCTCCATATATGTCTTACCTTTACAGCTGTGTTTATTCAAGTAAACACAGAGGAAGGCACCTTACACTTCAAAACCTTGAAATCAACAGTCTTCTTTTTGTTTAGTGGTCAAATTTGATATTGTTCTATTCCATCTCCATCACTCGGGAGCTGGCTCTGATTTTCTCCTCCTGGGGTTTCCCTTGTTTTGTTTTTAAGCTTATGATGTTGACTGGTTCCTTTTAAAGTTTCTAGAATGCCACTGGAACTCTTGAATGGAAATGGGGGAAGCATAAAGTGTATTGATCTTCAGCTCCCAAGTATCACTCTAACCTGCCCAAGGAATTTGTCACAGCAGACCAAAAAGCTAAGGGTAGCCACAGTGTTCATTCAAATGTGAGCCAGAGGGTCAGGGGGTGTGGGCTGTCACCACCAATCTTTTCAGAGTTCAAGATGCACCACAAATGTACATTACATTATCATGTGCGATGTTGGTGATGTCTGTCTATTTTTAGAGATCGATGCCCCCAAGAACTTGCGAGTTGGTTCTCGCACAGCAACCAGCCTTGACCTCGAGTGGGATAACAGTGAAGCCGAAGTTCAGGAGTACAAGGTTGTGTACAGCACCCTGGCGGGTGAGCAATATCATGAGGTACTGGTCCCCAGGGGCATTGGTCCAACCACCAGGGCCACCCTGACAGGTGAGTAAGACCTATCTCTTGGGGTTATGCTGGTTGCTGAGTCTATACCCTCACAGCTGTCTCCCCAACCTACACATCTTACAAACCCATGGCCAATTCCTATTGATCTCATCTCTTAAGTGCCTAGCACATATGTCTAGTACTATCCATTGTACTGCCATCACCTGTTCTAAGCTACTAACATCTCCTTTTTTTGAGACGGAATCTCTCTGTCACCCAGGCTGGAGTGCAGTGGCACAATTTCAGCTCACTGCAACCTCTGTCTCCCAGGTTCTCATCTATTATCTTAACCATTGCAATAACCCCCTCACATTGTCTCCTGGCCCACTCTTCACACCTCCTCCAGTGACTTTTTTTTTTTTTTTTTTTTTTGAGACGGAGTTTCACTCTTATTGCCCAGGCTGGAGTGCAGTGGTGTGATCTTGGCTCACTGCAACCTCTGCCTCCCGGGTTCAAGCGATTCTCCTGCCTCAGCCTCCCAAGTAGCTAGGATTACAGGCATCTGCCACCACGCCCGGCTAATTTTGTGTTTTTAGTAGAGACAGGGTTTCTCCATGTTGGTCAGGCTGGTCACAAACTCCCGACCTCAGGTGATCCGCCCACCTCGGCTTCTCAAAGTGCTGGGATTACAGGTGTGAGCCACTGCACCTGGCCTTCCAGTGACTTTTTCAAAGTACATTTTTGATTATGCCATTGCACTGTGCAGATATTCCAGGGAATTCCCACTGCTCTTAGGATAAGCCCAGACCCTTAGTGTGGACACCAGGCCCTGCCTGGTTTCCCCTGCCCTCTCCAGGCTCACCTCCCACCCATGTTCCCTGATGTTTTCTGGGCTCCAGGCCCACAAGTCTGCTTCTTTCCATTTCTCAAATACGTTTTCCCTCCTGCTATATAGGACTGGCAAATGCTGTTCCCTCTGCCTGATGGGAACCTCTTCATCTAGCCAATGCAGGCTTCCCTTTCCACTCCCAGGTTACTCCCCACTTTAGGGAGCTTTAGTGGTCAAATTTGATATTGTTCCTGAGAGAGTTCCATTCATTCTGTCCGGCAGCTTCATCTTGCCAGTTTCCATTCACTTCTTAGCACTCCTCAGGTTATCATTTTACATGTGTGGCATGACTATTTGACTGTCAGTCTCCACCCTACACCTAAATCTCTGTGAACATTGCACCATATTTGGTTTTGCTCATCATTGAATCTCAGGGTTCACCATTTCCTGAATGAATGAATGAATGAATGAATGAATGAAGCTGCAGAAGTTCACTATGACTTGGGCATGGATTGCAAGAATTCACTGATAAAATGAGAGCCGAGTCATGCCTTATGCACCCGATGAAAAGTTTAGGTTTATTCTTGAGGGCAACAGAGAGTCATTGAAAGATTTTAAATAAGGTGATGTAATGACTGGATTGTACAGAGAAGGGCAAGGTCAGAGGCAGGAAGACTGGTTAGGAGGCTGCTGCTGGAGTCAAAGGGAGATGATGATGGCATGGACTAAGGCAGTGTCCTCGGTCACCATGATACCTGGCTGGGAAGTGTTCCCTGTCCCCTGGGAATGTGAGACCCAGGCAACACCACTCCTGGGGCCTCTGGCTCACCCATCCAAGAAAACCTCCCTTCCCAAACTCACCAAAGAGTAGAAGACTGGAAATGGGGGTGTGGTTTTCAGATAAAGGAGATGCTGTGCAGAACAGTCATGGACCAGGAGCTGCCAATGTGCTCACAGACAGAGATTTTGTTTAATTTGTGTCTTGGATTCCTGCAAAAGTATTTGCTGTCTTGATAGACAAGGGATACACAGCAAAGAGTGCATACGGTAAACAAGGGCAGTATAATCAAAGCAGTTTTCCTCCCAAGTTGAAATCCCAGACCACCTTGCCAAACACAGCCAGTTAAAGTAAATATAATAAATGCCTTTTCCAGACAGACGCACTCCTAAAGGCACAGCAAGGAGATGAGAAGATATGCTGACCAAGCAGATTAACGGGGGTGAATTAAGCAGAGAAAGGATAGACCAGCTGGCATAGGGCCTCGCAGAGAGCTAGAAACAGTCACAAAAATTAAGCTAAATCCAAAAAAAAAAAAAAAAAAACCCTGAAATGATACAGGAGGGAACTGATTCTAAGCGCAGCCCATCCCTGCCTAGAGCCGCAGGCTAATTTGGTAATTAGCAGTTATATAAAATCGATGGCTAACTGTTCAGATGGAGGATGCGCCATGACATCATGAGAGAGATAGAAAACCCCACGTCCTAGTTATTATTTCCCTCTACCGGGAAAAAAGAAGATCCGACACTCACTGATCATCTCTCTTATTCCAGGAACTCTCATACAGTTATAGCTTCTTTAATCTTCACAACCACCTCATGAGGTGGGTATGGTTAGCATTCCCATTTTACAGATGAGGAAACTGAGGCTTGTGGAGTTTGAAAACCTGCCCAAGTTCACAAGGCTAGCAAGGGGCACAGCTGTGATTCAAAGCCAGTCCTTTCGAGTCCCAGTCAGAAGATTCCCCTTCCACAGCTGCTTCTGCTAAAGAAGTAAAATGTAAGGGACAGTCCAAATTTAAATGCCACAGACCTAGAAGCGATGGGAAAATTATTATTGAGTAGGGGGCTTAAATAGGTTGATTTTTTGTTACAGTCAGATTTAAAACATTTCAAATATATGTGTATATATATATATATATATAATATTACATTTATATATTACACATAATTATCTCAGGGAGTTCACTGCTGAGGAGATTTATGAGGCAAATAGCTTAACATAATTTAAGAAGGGATTATTGGCACATAAGGAAATCAAGTGTATTTGTACTCGCTGAGATGCTAGTTGCAAGGATTGTTGGTTCTCTTGCTGAGGCATCTGGGGGAAGAGAAGGGAGAGCCATGAAAAAGAGAAAGGGACAAAAGGGAGAAGTTTGACTCTGGCTCTAAAACATTGTGCTTTCTCACTCACTCTCCAACTTGGAGCGTAAAAAGTTAAGTTTTTCAGCCTCCAATGCCTGTGTTCAGACACAGTTTGATCTGAATGCTCTGCTCCATGCAACATGCTAAGAGCCTAGACTTTCAACTCTGTACCCAGGCTTGCCACTTGCTGTGTGATTTGGGACAGTTGATTGAATCTTTCTAAACCTCTGTTTCTTCATCTGTTAAAGGGGACTGATACCACTGACCCCACAGTGCCATCATGAGGCATTCATGAGGCAATACATTTAACGAGTTTAAGGTAGTGCTTCTGACAACAAACTACTCAGTAAGTGGATGACAGTGGTGAAGACGAAAGAGATGAGGAGGTCTGTGAGCTACTGGATGGTTTAGGATGTCCTCCTTTAGTCCATGTGGCCTAGTGGTTTAGAACCTTGCCTCTCACAGCGTGGTGCAGCCACCAGCAGCCTGGGCATTACGCCCAGAGATGTTGGAGGCCTCTTCCCCCGAGAACTACCAACCCAGAGCCTGCATTTTAGGACCCCTGCTTCAAGGAAATCTATGAGTGAGAAGCACTCACTTAGAGCACAGCTGTGGAAGTACCCCACTCAGGGGGGAGACCAGCTTCATGAAAAGTGCATCCTTGAGCAAATTTCTTAAATTTCCTGCACTTTAGTTCTCTCATCTAAAAGACATCCTATCTACCTCATTGGGTTGTAGCGAGAATTAAATGAAATCATACATATATCCCTATTCAAGAACTTAGGATGGAGCCTGGCACACAGTAAGCACTCAATACCCATTCAATTTTTTATTGGTATTAATCCTCACAAAGCTCAGACCTGAAGCCGTGGCAGCCTGGCCTTTGCTGGGCACAAGGTCAGGCCCCCTTTACTCTCACTGTTGACTCAACACTTAAAGCTCTATGGCACCTGTATTTGCCATTCCCTGCAGAAGCCGTTGTCTCTGAGGCCACCATTTTCCTCTTTGTTGTGGAATCCAGGCCCTTCCTGACTCTCCTGGTCTCTGAGACATTCCCAGAGCTGGCTGGCAGCAAGTACCCCCTCTTGACCTCCCTCTTTACAAATGTTGCCCTCTGCCACACAGAGTCCAGGCTGGTGCCCAAAATTCAAACACTCCCCCCCCATTATTCTCTGTAGGCAATGTCCAGAGAATTCCTTCTGGGATATGAATTTGTTTCTGAACAACAGACTCAATGTCTGCAATGACTTTTTCTCTCTGCTCTAGTGGCTTCTGTGTCCTTAATAAGTCTGTTTTAGTCTCAGTCACTTAGCCTGTATGATGTCTGTTTGGCCTGTGCACCATACCTATAGTCCCAAAGGGGTCCTTGAGTGTTACACATCTTACCAGCCAGATTAGAACCTGGCACCATGTAACAGGGTACAATACCATTCTGCTTTCTGGGCAGCAACAAAAAAAAAAAACAACAAATCATTTAGAAAACTCCAAGTGGAAGGAGGGAGGGAAAGAGAGAGAGAAGGGAGGGAGAAGATTTTTAGTTGCTGATTGCAATTTAGCGAAAAAAATCAACTTCCCTGACTGGGACTAACGCAAATTATAAACACTACTCTGGCCTTTGTGTCCAAGGTGACTGCTCTAATCTTTCATCAAAAAGGCATGTGGTTGTGTTTTAGCAGGAGGGGAGGGGGCTTGCCCTAAGCCATCCACTCTCTCTCACCTGGTCTTCCCTCATGAACAGAAGCTTAGGATCCGTAAGGATTCTCATGACCAGGAAACAAGGCAAAAGGAGCCAGGCCCATACGGTCACAGGAGCACCGTGCTCTCACAACCACCCAGGGCCCGTTCATCGCACCCCTTACCCACTCCACAGGGCACCTGCCTTAGGCCTCATGGTGGCATTTGCTAACCTGCTGCCTCTCCCTGCACCAGGACTATCTCTATCTCCAGTTGACAAGCTGAAAAATTGCCAACAGGGCCTAGGAAATCCAGAAGCTTTACAGTTTCTACAGATGTGATACAACATAGGACTGCAAGAAAACAGAGACTTACAGCCAGCCACACATGATGCACTCACACTCACCACATGCACACATGTACACACAAACACACCTACAGACTCTTGCACTTACACTTAAGCACATATGCACACTCACATGCACATACACACATACTCATACACACATGCACACACTCATAGTCATACACACCACACATGCTCATGCCCTCATACGTACACACTACACTTTCACATACCCTCACACGTACACACACTCACACACGCTAGGCTGATGCCTGCAAGTACGTCCTGATCATGCTTTGGGAGTTGCCGCCTTCAAGGTTTCTGGCCCAAATGGGGATCTAGTGGTGAGAAGGTCGGCTCCTCAGGGTACACTGGCAGGCCACGTGCTTGTCTGCAGGGGAAGAAATCTGAGACTCCAGAGGGAGTCCAGCTGGCAAGTCAGCACTGACCACGGCACTCAATGTCCACCTCGCTATGTCTGCACTCCCTGATGGGCCAGTGCACAAACACCAAACCCAGCACCAGACCTTCAACGCCCTGCAGCTCTTCTGAGGAGGAAAGGACCAGGCACAGGGCCTGGGGTCCCGGGCCAGACAGTGCTCAGCCTCCTTTGGGCGAAGTCACAGTGACCCCAAGTGGTCACTTTGGTAAGGCACCCTCTAAACATGGTGTCACCTTCCAGGGGCGGGAAGCTGGGGAGTGGGCTGCAGAGACCCAAGTTGAAGAGGAGGAAAGAAAGGACAAAGGCTTCCACATACCTCTTCCTCACGGAGCTGGGACATACAGGGCCTATTCCTTATTTGTCTTAAAGGCTGGGGATAAGGGGGCTGGGGGAAAAGCCAGGTGGGAATATTTCAGCTGCAGCTTCCACTCCTCAGCAGGGAGTACTTGTTCACAGCAACAACCCAGAATAGGGATGCTCCTATATGACAAGGTTGATGAGCTGTGTTTCTCATTAATTCCACCAGCAATAAGAAAGTTCCATCTGGAAACAGGCCTTAGAAGTATTATTTTTCTTATCAAAAATGGGCTTGTTAGGCCAGTCCCTTCCTTTAAATCAGGATGGAATTGGCTGCTTCTCTTGAAACTTGAACATCATGCACACCCAAAAAAGCAGGGAGATGGCCTCGAAAGCCTGACTCATTCCAGGAATCCTGAAGATGCACCTGTCATTATCCAAAGAGATAAGTGTGGGGAGGCTGACTGCTCAGATCTCCATTTAACTAAAAAGTAGATTGGTGCCTATCTGGTGTGATTTCAGGGGCTCTCCAAAGATATTCTCCACATATCTCCCCCATGAAACCTCTGGTCTCCAAATTCCACTGATGGGAAATTTCTCTATGAGGGACCCTATATTAGTCCCTGGGTTTTCATGAATTATTTTGCCAGAGCTGCCTTTGCATGCCCTGTTTCCTTTGTCTGGGATGCCCTCCCTGCCACCAGATGTCCATGGGTCCTTCAAAACCCAGTCCAGATATCCTCTCTTCGGAGTCTCCCCAACACTCCCCACCACCACCGCTACTGCCACCAGCACCATGCTGCTTCTGTGCATGTTTTCTCACTATACTACATACTGAAAAAAATAAAATCTTTGACCCAAAGACCTAAGAGTCTAGTGAGGAAACCAACATGAAAACTAACAATAATAACATAATCACTATAAAAATCGCAGATTGACTGCAAGTTCCTTGGGGACAGGGTCCTCAGTTTGTCCCTCTCTGTGAAGGTAGGCACCCAGTGCACTAGGGCCAATCACACCCCTAACCTCAGTTTCATAGACTTGAGCTTCACAGACACTTGGGAGATGATCTCAGGGATTTAAAGATGGAAAGGTCCATATTTCCTCATGTCCACTTGATCCCAACCAAGTCTGCAGACCCCAAGTATCTTACTCATGTTTTTGCTAGCAAGAGACAGCAATCTCAGTTCCTTGGGCCTCCTTCTCCCTACCACTTTCCCTGCTAGCGACAGCAGGCATGAAGAATAGGTTCCCAAAACAGGGCTAAGTGAGTCATTCTGCCTTTATCACCACAGTCCTTGCACTGCAGGTGAGAATGTGCTAACTCCTGTTCCTTTCTAGCCCTAATTAATCTATGAATGCTCATTATGCCCCATTCTGGCCACTAGAGAATTCCATATTTCCTTCCCTCTATCTTTCCTTATCTTAGCCAGCTTTAAGTTCCAACTCAAATGCCTTCTCTGGAAAGACTTATCTGACTATTACAGCCCATGCTGATCTTCTCCCTGCTGATCGTGTCCTCTTAGTCCCATGCTGATCTTGTCCTCTTAGTTAGCAGCCTCTGCTTTGGTCCTGCATTAGTCCATTTGCATTACTATAAAGGAATACCTGAGGGTGGGTAATTTATAAAGAAAGGAGGTTTGACTGGCTTACAGTTCTGCAGAGTGTACAGGAAACATGGTGCCAGAATCTGCTTCTGGTGAGGGCCTCGGAAAGCTTACAATCATGCGGGAAGCCGGAGGAGTAGCCCGCGCATCACACAATGAGAGAGGGAGCAAGGGTTGGGGGGAGGTGCCACACACTTTTAAACAACCAGATCTCACGAGAACTCACTCACTATCTGGAGGACAGCTCCAAGCCATTCATGAGGGATCCACCCCCATGACCCAAACACCTCCCACTGGGCCCCACCACCAACATTGGGGATGGCAATTCAATATGAGATTTGGAGGGGACAAGCATCCAAACTATAACAGGTACCAAATCACTCTCGAATTCCAAGTTGCTTACTCCACTCCTTCCTCCTGGCCTGTAAGACTCAGGGATGGGAACCATGCTATCATGAGTCAGAAAATAACAAGAGACTTGGGTTCCAAACCTAGTTGTATCATGTATCAGTTTTGTGACCTTGGCCAAGGAATAGACTTCTTGGAGCCCCTGTTTGCTCATCTGCAATACCCTATCAGTAGTGCTTCAGGGAAATTAAATAACGTGTGAATCTTTAAGAAGCTCAGTAATACTTGCATAACTCTTTACCATCAGACACTCAAAAAGTCTTCATTTTTTACTTCTCTTTTTCTTCCCTCCCCTTCGTCATTATTCTTTTCCATGTAGCTTAGTGCTAGGCATATTATGGGTGCTCACTAAATAATTATTTTACTTTTTTAGCACAGATTCCTTTTCACCCCCAAAAGGCAAGGCTAATGTCTTGTTCAGCTCACACCACCTTGTGTCTGACACAAAGGAGGCCCTTAATATTTGTTGAATGTATGACTGTGCTTTAGGGGTTCCAAGAAGAATGGGTGTGAGGTGAAAGAGTTGAGAAAAGCATCAACCTCCAAGTTGAACAAAGAAAGTTCTATAAGGAACAGAGAGTAGTGATTTCCTATGGGATGAATTTTCTGTGCTATTGTTAAGAAAGGGAACAGGGCCATTTATATGTTACCACTTGCAGGAGTTGGATGGAGAGATAAAGGGGGCATTGATAGAGAGCAATGGGGTCTTTAAAAAGTGAGAAATCCCTAGGAGTACTCAGAGTGCTGATATCTAAGTGCACTGGCTATGCCTCGGATACATGTGGTTTTTTTTTTTTTCCAGCAGAACTGTGTCTAACCTGCTGGCAAAGAGCAACAATTCACTTGTAGCATGGAAGAAAGCTGCTGAAAATCAAAGGAAAGCAGCAGGCACAAACCTATAAGCAAGTCCCACTTTTCCATCCTCTAGACAGAAAACCTGGGAAGAGAACACATTAAATTCTGCTCTGCAGTTTTCTGGGAGAAGATGATTCCATTGTAAATTATTGAACATTTCATTTAAGCTTCATAAATAAGAAACTGGGATGAAAATGTTACATGTTAGATCTGTTTGGCAACGTATAATTTCTGTCTTACTCCCTCCATCTGTCACCCTTCATCTATGTTGGAGAATTTCTACTTCATTATAGGCAATTGAAGGTCTTAATCAGTTGCCTGATAAAAGTAGTTTATGTCCCAAAGGTAATCTCATTTCTGCAACCAAGGATGTACCTGGAACTCACTGAACATATTGATGGAGATAAATGTGTGCTTCAAATGGATCAGGGGGTATTGCAATCACCCACTCAATCTAGAGATAGGTACTTGGCCCAGCCAGGGAGAAGGTCCTCACTGCCACCTGGACTCCCTGAATCACTGGTTTCCAACAGAGCCAACAGGCTAAGCCCCAGCAAACCAATAACAAGAAGTCAACAGGTGCACCCAGGACCGGCCTGTACTTGCCTGGGGCGGTTTTTGTAGTTGATGAGACCACTCACCAAAAAAAAAAAAAAAAAAAAAAAAAAAAAAAGTACTCAAAATCCAGGAATAGTTCTCTGTGCAAAGTAATAAAATACTAGCTACTACCGCTAAGATCCAGGCACTGGACTTTAAACACTTTGACTCATATAATCCTCATGATGACCCTCTGATATAGATGCTGTTTTTATTCTCATTCTTCAGAAATTGAGGTTCATAGATGTTAAGTAATCAAAATTACACAGGTAAAAAGTGAAAGAGACCAAATATAGATATGTCAGACGTCAAAGTCTGTCAAACTTCAAAGTTTACCTCCACTGGTGTTGCCACTTTAGAGAAAGAAAGAATTAAGGGTTGGGAAAGAAAGGGAGCTGGTTTAAGAAGAGAAAAAAGAGGGCTGATTCGAATGCCTACCCAGACAGGGCTTCGGGACTGCATTCCTGGGAGAGAAACTGGCCTGGTAAGCTCTGCCATGCTTAAGCAACATTTATTGCATGGACTCCACAAAAGCCTACTGAGGAAGGGGATGAAGAACCCCCTGGCTGCCAGGCAGCATTCCTCTTGACCAAGCCAAGCCATTTGTTAAAGGAATGTTGCTCAAAGTATTTCCGATCAAAATCAGGGATTCCAGAGAAATCACAGCTGCCCTGAGCGGTGGAAGGAAGTAATAGGATGTCCCATTCCTCCTAAAAGCCCTGAACTCTGAGACCAGAATCCGGGGGGGCATCTCTAGCTGGTCACAGACTTACTCCGTGCCACAGTTTCTTTTTATAAAAAGATGATGTACTCTGTTGAATAACAGTCCCCTCAAAATGCATGTCCACCCCAAACCCTTATTTCCAAATAAGGTCTTTAGAGATGCAGTAGAGTTAAGATGAGGTCATACTGGATTAGGGTGGCCCCTAAATTCAATGTGACTGGTGTGTTTATAAGAAGAGGGGAAGACACAGACACACATGTGTCTACAGAGGCAGAGACTGGGGTGACGCAACTACAAGCCAAGGAATGCCAGGGAGTGCTGGCAACCACCAGAACCTAGGTCTCCTAGAGCCTTCAGAGGAAGCATGGTCCTGGCGACACCTTGATTTCGGACTTCCAGACTTCAGAACCGTGGGAGGACACATGTCTGTTTTAAGCCACACTGTGTGTGGTAATTTATAACAGCATCCACAGGAAGCTAATGTAGATGGAGAAAAGACTGCTTATCCCACCTTCCTCCCAAGGTTGTGATGAGACTCTAAAACACAATCCATTTTGAAAAGCACAGATGTTATATAAATACAGAATACCATTCCAATCAGCCATGAGCCCACACAAAGCCCCAAAAAGAGCCTACCGGAAGGACTCAGACTGACCACTGGAGGCCCTCAGGGTGATCACTTGATTTTGTTGGGTTTTTTTGTTTTGTTTTTGTTTACTTGTTTGTTTGTTTTTGTTTTTTTGATACAGAGTCTCACTCTGTCACCCAGGCTGGAGTGCAGTGGCATGATCTTGGCTCACTGCAACCTCAGCCTCCCAGGTTCAAGCGATTCTCCTGCCTCAGCCTCACAAATAGCTGGGACTACAGGTGCACACCACCACACCCGGCTAATTGTTGTAATTTTAGTAGAGATGGGTTTCACCATATTGGTCAGGCTGGTCTCGAACTCCTGACCTCAGATGATCCACCCGCCTTGGCCTCCCAAAGTGTTGGGATTACAGGCATGAGCCACCGTGCCCTGCCTTTGTTGGGTTTTTCTACAACCCCAGTCCTAATAGATAAAAATGAGTTTGATGCCAGTTGTAATAGATGAAATAGCCCTCAAAGAATCCCCAGCATCTGTGAATATAACCACCTTACAGGGCAAAAAGGACTTTGCAGGTGTGATTAAGTTAAAGATCTTGAGAAGGAGAGACTAGCCTGTACTATCCAGGTGGGACCAACATGATCGCAAGGATTTTCATAAGTGGATGTAGGGAGGTCAGAGTCAGAGTAGATGCAATGATAGGAGCAGAAGTCAGACAGAGAAAACAGATTTGATCGTTTCAAGCTTCTGGCTTTGAAGATAGATTAAGAGACCATGAACCAAAGAATGCAGGCAACCTCTAGAAGCTAGAAAAGGCAGGGAAATGGATTTTCTCCTAGAGCCTCCAGAAGGAAGGCAGCCCTGCTGAACTACTTTAGACTGCAGACCTCCTGAACTAACTGTAAGAGAATCCACTTTTGTTGTTGTAAGTCACTAAATTGTGGTGATGTGTTACAGCAGCAATAGGAAACTAGTACACCAGTCAAACCAGTTAGTCTGAAAATAAATGTGAAAGAGGTCAAGGAGAGAACCTAGAGAATTCCAGATATTCTAGGAGGTTCTCAGAGATCCTTTGTAGTAAACCTCCCAAAGGATTTCCTCAGAGAAGCTTACACCCTTTAGTGGGACAGTTTTTGTGTCTCCTCTGTCTTCCTGGACTCCCCTGAAAGTTATTCTAAAATTAGATCCACAGCTTTAGATACCCTGAGGCCTGAATTACTGAACTTGGCGGGGGGCCTACAGCAACAGGACTTCTGCATGCTCCTACTCGACAGCCCTGTGCTTAGAAAAAAAAGTCCATCCACTGTTCCTCCCTAGAAGGGACCCAGGAGTCCCCATATGGCCTCAGCTCCTGTAAAAGGTGTAGCTTGGTCCTTGTATATAACATTCAAGGAATGCTTTTCAGGTCTATGTCCACACTGTCTCTCTTGATTACATACTCCCGAAATTCACAATTTAAGCAAGAAATCCTCTCGCTGGTTCAAGCCAACCTGAGACGCTAAGCATACAAGGAGTCCTTGTATACTTATGTGAGCACACCTCTGAAGGTCACTGACAAGGCAGCCTCACTGCCTTCCCAGAGAGCCTGCCTGCAAGAAGGAAGCTCTGCGTGGGCTGGTTCATCCTATTGACTTGGGATTCCTAAATAGTGAAATTGGGATTTCTTAATAGTTCAAATTAGGAGAGGATTCAAGGAGGACTAAACACAAGATATGAATAGGAGTCTAAGATCATTTTCTTCCCACTTTCAGCCTTCCTAGCCCTGCCCCATACACAGAATAATGTTTGTTTCTCCATCCACTGATAGATCTGGTACCTGGCACTGAGTATGGAGTTGGAATATCTGCCGTCATGAACTCACAGCAAAGCGTGCCAGCCACCATGAATGCCAGGACTGGTGAGTAGGAGGACTGCTGAGGAAGAAGACCAGGTTAGCCTATAAGCCTAAGGAGTCATGGAGGCTCGTCCCAGCAAAAATTAATCAGAAAGCAATGTCTTCCAGTGAACAGGGCTCTGGTGACAACTGTCAGCCTAGAAACAACATCCACCCTATGCCTAATCCTTGATCTCTGACAGGCAGGACAGAGTCACCCTCTTCCCCACAGACCTGTGCTCGGTCCCCCGTGGTCTGAAGAGCTGCTCAGGGCTGTACAGAGCAGAGGTGGAAAATCCTAAATAGGTTGATGCCATTGCAGGCCATATTTTTATCTAGACCACCCCGACAGCAGGCAGAATGGGGCATCCTCGCCCTGCATACACCACAGAGGTCCTCACAAACGCCACTTGGGTGAAGGTCTAGACTTGCAACAACCCATTAAATCTGAGGGCAGAAGAAAAGTCCAGCTGAGACCCTTGCTGCTCTGGATTCAGCAGTTTTGCTTCCAAATCCTGGGTAAATTTCAAAGTCATTTCAGCACCTATGGTACTAGCAGCCTGGGCTGGGCTAGGGATTTTAGACCAGTCCTTGTCCCAAGGTTCAGCCTCTCTAGAGAACCACATGGACAAAAGTCTCCAGGTCCTCAGATCTAGCTGCCTGCCTGGCTATGGTTAGAACAAGTCAAAATAGCCTCAGGGTTGGAGGGTGGTGCGCTTCTGTTGCCAGGAATGGCATATCCCTACTTGGTGGTAGCTACCATTTTATCCTTATTGGCTCATTGAGAAAGGATGGGAGAAAATGAATATGGCGAGCTTGAAAATCAGCAGCCAGCTTTGTCCCAGAGGTGGATGCAATCCAGTGGTATCAGAGCTCATCACGGCTTTCTTCAGATTGTTCATCTATTTGCCAAGCCCCTGGCCATCATTCAGAGGGAAGGTACTTAGCAAAATATTAGATAAGTGTCAGCAATGACAAGCTAGTGCTCATAGTCAGCAGGCCTGCTGATAGCTTGGAAACACACAAAGCAGGCCAATAAATACTGCCCTCCAGGGGAACACATGTAAAATAGGCCATTTATGTCAATCCACAGAACTTGACAGTCCCCGAGACCTCATGGTGACAGCCTCCTCGGAGACCTCCATCTCCCTCATCTGGACCAAGGCCAGTGGCCCCATTGACCACTACCGAATTACCTTTACCCCATCCTCTGGGATTGCCTCAGAAGTCACCGTACCCAAGGACAGGACCTCATACACACTAACAGATCTAGAGCCTGGGGCAGAGTACATCATTTCCGTCACTGCTGAGAGGGGTCGGCAGCAGAGCTTGGAGTCCACTGTGGATGCTTTCACAGGTACCAGAGCAGCAGAAATCCCAGCCAGGTTCAGGGATCAGTGGATCTCAGTGTGAGAAATTCATTCAGGCAAGTCACTCTTCCAATGTTCCATTTCCTTTGGAGAAAAGAGAGGTGGGTAGAAAAGGATAGAGTAAAAACTAATAAGTGCATCAAGAGGGAAGGGTTGGAAGTAAAGAGGGGAGGTGAGCAATAGTGTTACCTGCCTGAAAACTTGTGTCTGGCTTTTCTATGGCCTTGACATAGTAGTTGATTCTGTCCATCTTTCCCTGCTGCAGTAAATCAGTGGGAATTCAGAGGATCCATGGGATCATATAAAATTCATTCCAGGATACAGGCTTTCAATCCTGGTTCAGTATTATGATTAACTCACAGAAGTAGTTCTCATTTTAACAGAATCCATTTTCCTATATTTGGATTGGAAAAAGTGGAGTGAACAGCACTGGAGGGTGAGGAGGTGGAATCTCTTGGTTAGTGGGTGAAGGTGTGGCCCTTATTAGCAAGGAGAGCAGGTCCCTTTAGCCAAGAAGTTCTTCTAGCCCAGTGACCCATCTCCTCACGTGTTTCAGGACCATCCATCTCCTTTGCTTTGCAGGCTTCCGTCCCATCTCTCATCTGCACTTTTCTCATGTGACCTCCTCCAGTGTGAACATCACTTGGAGTGATCCATCTCCCCCAGCAGACAGACTCATTCTTAACTACAGCCCCAGGGATGAGGAGGAAGAGATGATGGAGGTCTCCCTGGATGCCACCAAGAGGCATGCTGTCCTGATGGGCCTGCAACCAGCCACAGAGTATATTGTGAACCTTGTGGCTGTCCATGGCACAGTGACCTCTGAGCCCATTGTGGGCTCCATCACCACAGGTGAGGCTGGAGGACTTGGCAGCAGGTGATGAAAGGGGTTTTCACAGTAGCCTTTGACAAATCAATGAAATTTTAAAAGAGAAAGACCCAAGGAGTAGGGGATTTCCTCTATGGCTAGAGAAAGTCTGTGACCTGTTCTGAAACAGCTACTTCCTCCAGTGCTGCAGAAGATGCATTAGATAAGAAACTCCCACTTGGAAGGTGGGACAAAGTCAATGTCTTGAGGAGGTCAAAGCTTGAATGCATTTGTCCAAAAGACCTCCCACTACCAGCTTAGAAGAAAAGCACTGGAGAAAGCTAGTCTCCAAGAGGAATCCCTCTACAGTGAAGAGACACCTGTTCCTATTCTGAAGAACCATCTCTTAACTGCCCAGAAAGTTCACTCGTACAATAATGCTTCCTTAGTCTCACATGGGACTAGCATGCAATCAGGTAGTGACCTGGCACTCAGAGAATGGGGTTGATTTGGATGTTGCTTAGAAAACACAGGCACTCAGAGATGAATTGGATCAGTCCCAGCTCATTATTCCCAAACACAGTTTCAAATATGAGGTACATGTGGGTGAAGATATGTATGTTTGGGTAGTTTCCTCCTTACTAACAAGAACTCACAAACTGGACAAGTAGATTAAACACTTAGCTGATCAACTCTGTGATCCCCTAGCAGTAAAAAAAAAAAAAAGCCCATAGCATAAATGAAATACAATTTAGGAAAATGGATTTGTTCTGGACTTGTGCTCTGAAATCCCTGTATAGTCAATAGGCAGTTTTTCAAAACTGAAACCAAAGGTGGCTGCTAAAGAATAAGAGATACAGGCAAAATTTGGTTTATCTTAAAAAATTACCTCAGAGAAAATGCCTATGTTTCTCCCAATTCAAAACAAAACATATGAACTTAAAAAAAAAGTTCCTAGTTGGCTTGCAGATAGGTAACAGGTACAGAGCTTGCCAGCTTGTCTTCATGTTGTTAAAATATTCTCCATGAACATAGCTTTGGTCATACCTACAAGGTTTCAAGTGAAACATCAGCGTGACCATGGTTTTAAGATACCCTATTACATGGAAAGATCTTGTCTGCCTTTGGGACAACATTGGCTTTTGGTCAACATAAAACCAGGGATGAGAATTTCTTTTTCACACTGTGCTTTCTGTCTTTTTCCCACAATCACTGGGTCCTTGTAGGAATTGATCCCCCAAAAGACATCACAATTAGCAATGTGACCAAGGACTCAGTGATGGTCTCCTGGAGCCCTCCTGTTGCATCTTTCGATTACTACCGAGTATCATATCGACCCACCCAAGGTAACAAAGTGATTTGATTTCTCAAAGATACTAGGATTTGGGTGAAGATTATGGGAGAACTAGCATATCCCGCAGAACATCCACTCCTGCCTGCGTTTTTCCTCTTCTCTGTGGCATGCTGCATCAGAATGAGAGTGGGCTGGTGAGCAGCCAAGAAACCCCACACTCACCAATGCCTCTTGAGAAAGGCTTGATTACATTCACCCAGAGAGCAGGCCCTTCACTAGCAGAGGTAACTGATCACCATTATCTAGGCAGTGTCTTGAGAAAAAAAGAGCCCCAAAAGAATCTGCCAAGAGCTTGGGTCACATGAATATTCCTACAAGAATGAAGTTCAAGACTAGGATCCAGAGGGATGGCTAAAGACCCAGCAAAGCCAGATGGAGCCTTGGAGGGAAGCACAGTGATGTGGTCCCATTTCAGCCACTCCAGACAAGTTATGAGTCAGAGGAAACTGGCCCAGACCTCACCTGCATCCTGCCAGTTCTTGCTGGTACATGTGGCATTTTTAAGGAAGTGGAGGGCACACTCACTTCCAGTGAGGACACAGGACAGCATTCCAGACTACACTGTCTCTGGACTGTGGGGACTGCTCCTTGCATCGGTGCCCTCTACACTGCCTTAATGTCATTGTCTTAGAGAAGACCAGCTTGTTAGAAAACCACTTAATAGGTAGGTCATTTTTCTTTGCTCCAAGGAGCCCATAAAATGAAGGAGTGAGACCAGTGTGCAAAGCCTCTTCACACTCCAACATTCCCAGCCCATGAACCATGTATCATCCCTCCCCACTGAGTGCGGAGTCCCACACCCATCTGTGCTTTATTGACATAGACTGTACCATGGGCTGCTTGGATGAAAGGGCTGCTGAATTTTAACTGTAGATTCTTCTCTTCTCCAGTGGGACGACTAGACAGCTCAGTGGTGCCCAACACTGTGACAGAATTCACCATCACCAGACTGAACCCAGCTACCGAATACGAAATCAGCCTCAACAGCGTGCGGGGCAGGGAGGAAAGCGAGCGCATCTGTACTCTTGTGCACACAGGTGGGAATGTCTCCCTGCTGTGTCAAGTCAGAACCCTGGCTGAAGATCTGGGTGAAGTTGTTCGGGCTTGTAGAAAGGTTCTGGAGGCTAAGGCTCCATTTCGGGGTGCTCCTCCAACTCACTGTGTCTTGCAGGGCAATTTGCAATTTCTCTCCCCCAATATTCCTCCCTAATACTAAACGTTTAGAGAGTCACCCTCTAGAAGTCTTGCTGGTTTAGGTTAGGAATTTTCATGGAACTTCCAACATAAACAGTGCCCTTTCAGACATATAATGGAAGTGAATTCTAAAACAGATATCTGAATCATTCATCTGATTTTGTAAAAGACTCAGATGAGAAAATTTCACCTCGAGAAGAAAAGGGTTGTTATTCCAGTAATGGAATGGGGTCATGAAATTCATCATCAGATATAGCCAGAAACCACCAAGAAGGTGCCTTTGCTCTTGCTTTGTGCTCCAGGGAGAAAGAAGGCACCAAAGTGGCCATAACTCCCTCACCCGGGACCAAAGCAGTGAAGGTGATGTGGCTCCGTGTGCATCCTGGGCTGCCTGCAGGGGCACCGTGTAGCTCATGTCTCTGACAGGCCCCCTAGTCAGATCCAGATGTCTTCTGCATCCTCCATCAGCTCCTACATAATGACCAGAGGAAGGGAGGTGCAAGGGAGAGACTGGCTTGCAATATGGGAAAGTGAGGAAAGGTAGTCCAAATCCCATGGCCTCCCTCTTGAAAACAAGCCCACGCAATGGGGCTGAAGAGAAGGCTCCTTTGCTAGCACCACTGCTCCTCCGTCTCTGGCCCCTCAGCAAGTACACCAGGCAGAACATGCAAAGATTCGCTGCAGAACTCACTAGCAGGCACAGCCAAAGTGTTCTATTCCCATACCCTAGACCAAACCTCCTAGTTAAGCCATCATTCCCACAGCACGTGGGAAAACATCCAGCTTGCCTCATTAGGAGAACACCTGGATTTTCTACAGTTGCTTAATTTCACTGGAGAATGGTATTTCCCAAATGAGGGAAATATACTTTAGAATTCCTTACTGCTTTCGTAGATGTTCTCGGAAGCTCAGAAACAGCATCTCTAAGGCAATGGGCCAAGAAATATTCCTTCACAAACACAAAAATTATTCTTCTAAAGACAGCGCAGGATATTCTGATCCTCCCTAGTCTCCTTCCAGGCTTATGACAACAGATAACACAGCCATTCAGTTTTGCCCTATCTATTAAATTACCTGTGACCATTAAAATATCAACAAGTGTTGGCCAGAAGTGAGGTCCAATACACCAAAAGAAGCCTCTATCCCACCTTCTTGAACCAAGAAATTCATATTAAAGAAATTAGCCTTTTTCCCATTGAGGACAATAAAATGTATTTCAAGAGCCTCCTATCCCCAAGATAAAAGAGACCAGCAACTTCAATCAAAAACTCATTTCTTTAGCCAGGCATGGATGCATGCACCTGTAGTCTCAGCTACCAGGGAGGCTGAGGCAGAAGGATCGCTTGAATCCAGGAGTCCAAGGCTACAGTGAGCCATGATCATGCCACTGCATGCCAGCCTGAGTGACAGAGCAAGACCTTGTCTCTCAAAAGAAAAAAAAATCCTTGGGTCATGAGCAGCTAGTATCTCTAAAGCAGATATTTGGTACACCAACCCAAATGGTATGCCCATCCAAACTGCCCTCCTTTAAGTCTAGGCAGAGCTATTTTAGCAACTTCCAATAACTAGATTGCCCCAGAATGTCTTATTTTGCTGTTGTATGTTTGTTGTGGTTTTACGTTGAGGTCTATGATCTTACAACTTTTGGAAGTGAGTGCTCCTTCAGGGTGTCATGTTTGTCTCGTGGTATCATGCATGTCTCAGATAGATCAAGCCAAGTGTAGTCTAAGGGCTGCATTTGAAGAACTCTTTGAACATGCAGATTATGGATACAATTCCAATTTTAACATGAAAATATTGTGCAGGTTGTTTCTTTGTGATAAAGGACATAGGCAAGTGAAAAAAATACTTTCAATTAGAGAATAGGGCAAGATCCACAGCAGATCTTGGTTCTCAAAAGTAAATTTTATGACACTTGGGTTGAGCTGATAACTAAACTGTTGTAATAACATCCACTTGTGATAAATTATAACCTGATGGAAGAGAAGCACAGTAATAAAGCAAAGACTTAGAGCATGGGCAAGTAAGACTAGGAAGATGATCCTATGACAAGCACAATCTTTTCCTCTAACAGGCCCTTTTGACCTACCTAAGCCTGGAAGAATCCTCTTGACTCTTAATGCAACAAAAAGAATACCAAGGACTCAGTCCTGAGTGAGACTTGTGAGCAGTGAAGCAATCATCCAATAATCAGATATGACTTTTGAGGCAACCTGACTGAGCCCACGCAGTCATTCCATGGGTGGATCTTCTATGTTCTCTGTCCTGGGGATACTCCTGCCCCTATGGAGTTGCCACCACACTTCCTGAAGCTCTTCAACAGAGATCTTTCCATGAGGCACACCCTTACATTTATAAAAGTGCAAATAGCCTGGGAAGTATGATTATCTCATTAACTAAAAAATTATAACAATTTCTGTGGGTTCTTGGTTGCTCCATCTAGATTTAAATGTTGAAAATTCATTCCAGCCATATCTTGAAATCCTCTTTAGTATCTGGCACAGTATTCTGCACATAAGAAGTTATTGAATTAATTAAAAGGAAGAGCTGGGGGCGACTGGGGGAGAACTGGATACTTGAGAGAAGGGAGGCAGGGAGAAATGGAAGAGGCTGATGGAACCAGAAGAGGAGAAAGGGAAGAGGTTTCTGCTCACTTCTTTGTTTTGTAGAGTGCAGCAGCAGTCTTGCACCATGAGTGGAACTTCTGAGATCATTCCCTGCATTTCTATCCTGCAGCTCCTCTTATCTGTAACTGATAATCTATTCTGTTTCAGCCATGGACAACCCTGTGGATCTGATTGCTACCAATATCACTCCAACAGAAGCCCTGCTGCAGTGGAAGGCACCAGTGGGTGAGGTGGAGAACTACGTCATTGTTCTTACACACTTTGCAGGTGGGTGTCTGCAGGCCTGCAGATCAGGCAGGTGGGAATGGTGGGAATTGGAGCTGCAGACCAGTATGATGTGAATAAACAAAACATTTTTTCAATCTGAAGGACAGATTAGAAAAGTTCCTACTTCAGGTATACTATGAAGCCCTCAAGATATCCCCAAACTCTATGCTGGGCATCGTGGCTCACACTTGTAATCCCAACACTTTGGGAGGCCAAGGCAGGCGGATCACTTGAGGTAAGGAGTTCAAGACCAGCCTGGCCTACATGGTGAAACCCCATCTCTTCTAAAAATACAAAAATTAGCCGGAAGTGGTGGTGCAAACCTGTAGTCCCAGCTACTTGGGAGGCTGAGGCAGGAGAATCACTTGAACCCAGGAAGTGGAGGTTACAGTGAGCCAAGATCACGCCATTGCACTCCAGCCTGGGAGTCACAGCAAGACTCCATCTAAAAAAAAAAAAAAAAAAAAAAAAAGAAGATATCCCCAAACTCTGCAAACTGTATCAAATCTAGGAGCTGAGAAAGCTGAATCTGAAAGGTACAAGAAAGGCATGTAACCAAGGGCAAGTACAAAAACAGAGCAATAGCCCTAGGAAGATGAAACTCAGAACAGAGCTAAGACTTGCCCCCAAAATGCTACAAACAAGAAAGCAGGCTTTTCTAAATATTCGCAGAGCAAGAAAAACACTGAAGATATAGGACCAAGTTTGAAACAGAGAGTACAGGCTAACAGGTGACAAAAGATTCAGGACTGCTAAACTCTTCCGTGTTTTTGTCTTCTCTATTCATATCCAGCCCAACAGGTTTAACTAACACGAAATCTTGAAGTTCACTGTCTTCTGTATCATGCTTGTTCACCTTACACCATTTGAAGTTGAACAGAACAGAGAAGCCCAAAGCAAAATAGAGTTGAGTCCTCCAAGTCTCTAGGCTTAGGGAAGTTATTTCCCTGCCTTCATCAAACATGTGATCACAGAATTGTTTTGGGTTATATTCAGGAATCCAGAGAACAAAGATACCAGAAGACAGAAGGCAGGCAGATGTCTTGGTTTTCAAAAATGACAGAGAAAGCTAATTCTGTGAGCTGCAAAGAAGTAAACTTATTGTCAAAGCTTAGGAAGGTAAAAACTAAAACAGACAATTAAACAACTTGGAAAAGGAATTAGTGATTACCATATAGCAGCACAGATTCACCAAGAATAAGTTTTATCGAAACTACTTTATGTCTTTGTTTTCATTGGCAAACCTGCTAGTACATTTGTATTTCAGCAAGGCATCAGAAAACCCCACTTATCACTTAGTCCTTAGTTAACATGGAAAAATACATGAAAGGTCATATTTGGAGGTAGCTGGGACTGTAGCTGAATGAATGACCCTCCATGAAGAAGGGATAGCATTACTATGGGTATGTCCTAACCCCTCTGTGAGCATGCACAATCCATCTCAATTCCTGTCACCCCTCCTTTCATAACATGATCCCGCATTTTTTAATTATCACCATGCTTTCTCAAGCCTCCATGCATTTGCACATGCTATTTCTTTCACCAGGAAACTCCCCCATTTGCCTGCCTAGAAAACCCATCCTTCAAGTCGTGGTTTCAACCCTATCTCTTCTGTCAAAGCTTCCCTGAAGGCAGTCAGACACATCTGCTCACAGACACTAAACACACAGCTCTAACAGAGCAATGAACTTCCATTCATTCCACAAATACTTTTGATGCCCTACCATGTGCCACACACTCTATAAGGCTATAAGGATTCAGAAACAAAAATTGAGCTCTCATCTTTATGGAACTCACTTCTAATGATGTTGCAGAGAAGTAAATAGTTACAACTTGATGTGAGCAGTGTATGCTATAGACATGCACAGAACACCATGGGCCATGTCCAGTGGGCTACTATGAATAGGGTCAAGGTGTGGAGGGAAAGAAAGAAGAAAAGTCTTAGATAAAGTGAAAGAAGAAAAGGAGAAGAAAGGGAATTTCAAGAAAAAGAGCAGACTGTGGGCATTTGCAGAGATGTGAGAGTGTAAGAAGTCTGAAGAACTACCATAGTTTGGTATGGCTGGAGCATTAATCAATGGCATGATGTGCAAAGGGGGACATTAAAAAGATGATATCCTTATACATGCTCTTCCAAAGCTTAAGCATTAGTTTGAATTTTAACTTGTTTGTATGCCTTTAGACCACAAGAAACTTGAAATCTCAAAGCCCTACCTATTCTGAAAATGTGCCTAGTAAACTGTTAAATATTAAATAATTTCCAAGTATTCTAATTGCCCAACAGAGGAGTTGGCCCTGAACTAATGAACAGTTTTATCAACAGCTTGAATGAATTCAGAGAAGACATGCTTACCAAATTTGTGTATAAAACAAAATTGTGATCAATAGAATCCAAGTTCAAAAATATTTTAATCAACTGAAACAGTGGCCCAAAACTCAATCAATGAGGCAAAATGCAATAGAAATAAATGCAAAGCTCTGTCCATGGGTATAAAAAATCAACTAACAAAATTGGATTGAGAGGTAGGGGGAGTGGTTACAAAGAAGATCTTTGATTAGCAATAATCTTGGCATGTGATAACAATATCACATGGCATTCCCAAAACCTTACTAATTAATATAAGTGGCACAAGCACAGACTGACCCTGTTTATTTCATTGGTCAGTACCTCTCCATTATTCTCAGTTCTCTGAGTTTTGGACTTTAGCAGGGACATTGATAAACTGTTACGTGTTCAGAGAAAAGTAGATAGGACTGTGAAGGTTTTAAAATTGTCACATAAATGTGATGGGAAGTGGGGGCTGAATTTTCTCAGTCTAGTGGAGAGAGAACTTGATTAGGAAGGGTGGTGGAGAGGAAGGGGTCATGTACACAAAAGACTAGATTTATCCTTAATAACTCCAGAGACACGAATAGAAGTTATAGAGAAGACAATTTGACCTGCACATAAAGAACACTTTTTTTCAATTATGATATGAGATGAGAGGGGAATCCTTGCAAAGAGTAAGATACTAAGCTAGATAACCTATGAAAGATTTTTTTCCAAAATTCTCTAGTAGTAAATCCATGTGAAATACCTTTGGATTTGGTAGATCTTTCCTAAACTGAGTAGCCTTATTCAACCCTTATTCATATTCATTTGAGTTCAGTCGCTGGAGAGACCATCCTTGTTGACGGAGTCAGTGAGGAATTTCGGCTTGTTGACCTGCTTCCTAGCACCCACTATACTGCCACCATGTATGCCACCAATGGACCTCTCACCAGTGGCACCATCAGCACCAACTTTTCTACTCGTGAGTACATGGTCACCTACATACCCGTATCCCTGGGGACTTTTGTGGAAATGATCAGCTTTCTTGTGGTGGACTAGATTATCACTTACAGGCTTTGGACAGGGCAGCTATGAGCTGTTCTTATTTGGACTGACTACAGCCCAAATTCAGTGAAACTAAGCTGCAACTTTTGGCCAGCAGAGACATGTCTGTTTTCTGCTCTCACCCTGGGTGACAGCAGAAGAACCAGGTCAAGAGAGGTCTGTACTCGGAATGCATCTGCCCCAGAAAAGTCTGATGGATATTAAAAGGCTAGATATCTAGGAAAGAGCTGCTGAGTAGAGTGATGAATAGGAGAAAGTAGACATAGGTAATATGTGGAAACGTAAGTTCACGAGTGAACAAGCAGACATGAGAGTTTATCAGGGTCCAGATCTCAGGCATAGAAGGTCAGTGTGGAAGATGTCACACCCAAGCCTAGAGGCCCTGTAAGGGAAGGGGAAGTAGCTGCAAGAATGATCGTGGCACTGAATGATTATCATCTGACCCAGGAGCACCCTTTATGCTCCTTTCCAAGCCAGAGCAGGGGTCAGCATGTGAGCAATCCTGAGACCAAAGAGGTGGGCAACAGATACCCATACCTGAAATCAAGCAGGGGGAGGAGCTGGAGAGGCAGGCATGCCCTGGCACTTTCTCCTCTTTGCAGTCCTGGACCCTCCGGCAAACCTGACAGCCAGTGAAGTCACCAGACAAAGTGCCCTGATCTCCTGGCAGCCTCCCAGGGCAGAGATTGAAAATTATGTCTTGACCTACAAATCCACCGATGGAAGCCGCAAGGTGAGATTTTGCTGGAAAGGGAAAAGACCATTTCTTCCAAGTGAGGCCATGTGGAAACTGACTAGTGGAGTGACCACAGGACATTGGAGGGAGGGGGAAGGAAGCAATCCACAAGGATTGCTCATCAGCTTCCCATCAAGGATACCCAGCCTGCTGTTGATGAGAGAGCCCTAGTCTGCAAGCCAGAAGATTTGGATGATAGTCCTAGCTCTACTGCTACTCTCTACGTAAGTTGAGGCAAAGGACTAAACCTCCTCAAGGCTTGCTTTCTTCTCTAGCTAATGAAGGTCTCTACCCCTGCAACTTCACTGGGTTGTGCTGGTGCTTCCAATACAATGACACAAAGCACATTGGAAACTCCCAAGTACATGATATTGGAATAGTTTTTCAACAACAGGGCTGAGCAAACATGAGCTGGATACCAAATTCAATAGGCTTTTATGCCTCTTGATAAGCATTATAAAGGTGATATCTGTGTAGCCTACAGTAAAGAAACAACAAATTTTTGTTTTATTTCATCAGTTGAAACAGTTCATCCAGAACACTGATTTTCAAGTTTTTGTTAGTGAAGCAACCTCTTTTTAAAGGGAAATCATATGCAGAAACCAAAAGCACAGAATACATTTCAGCAGAGTTAGTCTGCTTGATAGAAGTAAGGAGGCCTTAGATCCCACTTCCTCAGCTCTTTCTCTGCTCTCAAGCAAGTACAGTGCAATCTGAAGACTTCTAGATTCAATAATGCAGGTACCTAAATTTATCCCAATGTGCATTCCTGAGATAGGAGCTGGCCTAAATCTCACATGGGAGCTCTCCTCTCTGCTTATTGGTGCAGTAATCCTTATTGTGGGATGGAGAGGATGACAATGGCCATTGCAATACTGACCTAGCTGCCCATGGGATTTGGACTTCCCTTCCCTACTTTCCCAAATTGCAAGCCAGTTGCTCCCTTCCACCACCCTTCCTTTGGCTCATTATACAGGAGCTGATTGTGGATGCAGAAGACACCTGGATTCGACTGGAGGGCCTGTTGGAGAACACAGACTACACGGTGCTCCTGCAGGCAGCACAGGACACCACGTGGAGCAGCATCACCTCCACCGCTTTCACCACAGGTGAGGGAGCATGGCCACTTTGATGCCTTCTTCTCCACTTCCTGATGTTTGGCTCATCAGCAGCCTCTGCTGAGACTTGCTCTGGGAGCAGTTTATCAAAAAAGCTCAGTTGCCTCCTCCTTCTTTTCCCCTGTCCAAGCCCCTACCAGGAAACCTCTCACTAACAAGGTAACCGCAGGAACCAGCAGTACAACTCCCTGATCCACCCGGACCAATTAAATGCACCAAGTAAAGACATCAGGTTCTGGCTGGGTGCGGTGACTCACACCTATAATCCCAGCACTTCGGGGGCCTAGATGGGCAGATTACCTGAGGTCAGGAGTTTGAGACCAGCCTGTCCAACATGATAAAACCCTGTCTCTACTGAAAATACAAAAATTAGTTGGGCATGGTGGTGTGTGCCTGTAATCCCAGCTACTCAGGAGGCTGAGGCAAGAGAATCACTTGAACCTAGGAAGCAGAGGTTGCAGTGAGCTGAGATCGTGCCACTGTACTCCAGCCTGGGTGAAAAAGTGAGACTCCGTCTCAAAAAAAAAAAATAAATAAAAATTTAAAAAATCAGGTTCCTTCCAGTTCAGGTTTTCTGCAAGTGGTTTTCCAGCAAAGTTTATCTTTCTCTTCCTCCTTCCTCTGCTACCTGTAATCAGAGACTCACTTAGTAAAAGCAGCAGTAGTAAACCCTCAACATTAAACCTGCAGCTCTTTTCCATACACAAAGGACTTTTGCATTCCTATGATCTCACTCAGTTCTTATATAACAACTGGTCAGGAAGGCCTATGATCCCCATTCCACAGGTGATGAAACCAAGGGGCACAGAAACCAAAGACTTACATGGCTAGTAAATAGCTGAGTCAGACCTTGAACCCAGGTCTTCTACTTCTAAATGCAGCTGTTCCGGCTGCCTTCCCTCCTTAAGTCAGCAGAAGATACTTGAAAAACGCTGCTAAAGGATAAAAAAAATTCCTAATCTCTATAACAGGAAATAACCTAATATCTGACTTTTGAGAGTTACTTGCCAAGTACTGTTTAACTGCATTACATGTATTACCTAATGTAATCCTCACAACAGCCTATGTGGTATGCACTATCATCTCTATTTTTTACAAATGAGGAAATTGGGCCACAGAGAGGTGAGGTAACTCACCCAAGATCCCATAGCTCTTAAGTAAGGGAGCTGGAATTTGACGCCAGATGTTTCAGCTCTGGGGTCTGTGTTACTAATGTTTCTCTCTACCACCTCCCACTGTGCCTCTCTACAGTCCATAATGTAAGGCTGCCCAGCCCCGACTTTGAATTCTCTCCCTGGCCCACATTATGGGGGTGTGGGTGCATACATGTGAGGCAAACCTGAGCATGTCCCATATACTCAGCCACATCCTGCCTGCCATGTCAGAGCACCAGAATGACTGGATTCCCGTCCATGCCTCAGAGCCTCTTCCTCCATCCCCAGAGAGGTGAGAGAAAGTCCCCCAGCCCCACCAGGTGTCTCCCCCACTGCACTCGTTCTAAATGACAAAGCAAGACACTGATCAGATATGACAAAATATCCCCAGTGGTTCTATAGAGTGCGGAGATTGTGAACGAGTCCTCTTCTCCCTTCTTTTTTTACACTTTTCAATACATCACAAAGTATCTTAAATGAGCACATTAATCAGAGAAACAAGTGTTTTAATTAAAAAATAAAAATAAACCTTGGGTACACAAACAGACATGAATCCAAGATGTATCTTTACCAAGTGGAACTTAGAAGACACTTGATCTCTTTTATGGGGCTGGAGTCAATTATGCTCCCCCTCCATGCTCTTGCAAAGGTGTCTGATCTCAGAACTAAGGTGCTACCCTCTTCTTGTTAAGCCCTTCCCTGCACATTCGCAGGTTAATTAAAGAGGGCTCCATGGTCCTCTTTTCCACGCTACCACTTAAAGACCCACGGGTTGGAGCTTTCCATTGAATTAAGAATTTCTTTTCTATAAAAAGGACACAGATGACAGACACTTAAACTGAGCTCCCAATTTGCATATTTATTAGGTCTAAATTAATCATTTTATCCCCAAAATGCATGGGTTTCAATGTTTGCTCAGTGTAGTATGGGCTTTTAATTCCCACACTGATGATGCCACAGCTAGCAGTTGTGAGCAGTATGACAATGTGCCTCAAGTCTCTGTGGCATCTTACAGCTGTGCCTCACTCCAGACCCACCTGGGCTGTAAAAGCAAACCAGCTTCTGTGCCCCTCACTGCCCTCTCTTAGATGCAGCTGCGCCAAGCAGTGTACAGTTTTTTGGATCTGGGATCCCAAATCCACCTGGGGCCTCAGTAGGATCAAATAAGCAGAAGATTAACAACACACATGGAAATCTGGAGAGGAGGCAGAATAATGGCTTCATTTGGTGGACAGTGCAGGGGACTATCAGGATGTATTTAGGTTGTTTGTTTGTGTTTACAAGACTCCAGTTGACACCAGGCTCTTGGGGCATGACCAATACCAGCTCAGAAAGGGGAAAACAGAAGAGCCCAATTTCCTATGCGGTGAGTGTAGCTACTGACTGAGCTGTTCCATGTAGAGTTTGTATTATTACTTCTGTGGTACATGGCAAAGATATGTCTGTGTTTGGAAGCTTTCGCAGTTTTACTGGAAAGCTCAAATTTAAATGTAAGTCACTCATGTATACCAAACTCTGCTGGCTTTGTCTTGGAGATTTATCAGAACCCACTGAAATGACTGGTTGCAGAATGAAAGATTCTTGGGCAGAAATAATGCATGTGAAAGTATCTTGCACAAAGCCTGGCACATACCAGACATAATAGACACTGGTTAAATTGAATAGTCAAATCTCAGCTGCAGAGCACAGAAGAGGGGTCTCTGATAAAATAAAGCCTAAGGCGATTTTTAATACCCCTTGTAGGGATAAGACAGGCAAAGAGGTATAACCTTCAAGAGTATGATGTGATGCCCAAATTCCCTCTAATTTCAGGCTCTGTCAGCCACCTCAATGCAAATTTCCCTGAATAAATTCCACTAGGCTACATAGTCATTTGCATGGTAATATTAATGAGCTCTCGTTGCCTGTGCCACCTCTCTACCCCAAAGTTTTCTACCCCTGCCCAAGAGCAAATTTTATTAAGGAGGAAAAGAATACAAGGGTATCAGCTTACAAACTTGGTGAGGTGGGATTGGGGACATTACCAATAAGGAAAAGCAAAATTGAAGAGCAGTGTATCTTCACTTATATGCAAGACTGGAGTGCTGCCAGTCAGGACCCCACAGACATGAATTACTCTTGCTGAGCAAGAAGTCTGAGAAACACTGGAAGCCTCCCAGGTGATCGCAAGCCAGGGCTAATGGATTTAGAGGCTAATTTCTTTTTAGCAATTAGCATCCTTTCCAACTTCATTGACAGTACCTGACTTTCCCACTTAGCAGTATCCTACTCTTAGGATGGGTTGATCTCAGCTCATCATTCTGAGTGTTTTCTATGCCTTCTCTGATGGAACAAGAGAGCTTAAAGTTTGGCCCAAAGTTGCCTTTATCCACGGATAAACCCTCACCTTGTCCCAAGTGGACCATAAGAGGTTCATTGTAAGCAAGATGCCTACCTGATGGCCTGGAAAAGAGTTAAGATGTCAAAAAGTAATAATAAAACTAAAAAAGAGAAGAAAAGAAAAGAACTGGCACTCACAAACCCTCAAAAACCTCCTTTGATCAAGATGTCTTCCCTTGTTGTGTTTCTGCCACATAACATAAGTCCATTTCATTCTTTCCTTCATGTTAATAGCTTCCTGTCCTCTTGTCTCTGGTGTTTGCACAAGACTCTGGAGGGAATTAAGTACAAGTAGTATGGAAGAGAAAAAATATGGATACATTATTTATAATTTACTGTCGCCTGAAATTTCATCCAAGGTCTACTTGTCTTTTAGAGATATGAATATAAATGAGGAAACAAATATTCCCCACAGAGCAGCCAGGACTTGGTGAAATGATTGTCTGAGAGGCAGTTTCATTGTCTCTTTTAATACTATAAAAAGCAAACAAGGTTCTCACTAAAGCTTGTCCTAAGAGACAGTGAGCACTATAAAATAGGTTGTCTTGACCTTGAGGTTAAGTAAAGACAATCATTTGCAGAGGTACCCAGAGATGGATAATAAGAAGTTTTCTTTTATTACCTTTGCTCCTGTCCCTGCCCTTCCACATCCAGGCTGAGCTGTTCTGTGGGGCTTTTTAAGAAAACTTTGGAGTCTACTCTAACACAAGCTTCAGCTTTTGAGGTTGTGAAAATTAATGAAGATTGGCAAACACCACACTCTGGAACAATAGATGGCAGATCATGGAAATTCACATACTTATCAGATAGATATTCTAGTTAGAAAGGAAAGCCTCATGATCACTATCCACGGCTATCTATCCTCAGATATGCCACAAATCCTTTTCACCAAAGTGCAGAGGTGATAGGGCTTCTCTCTGCTCCACTATTTAGAAACAGCTTGAGTTCTTGCTTTATTATAAGACAAACAAACCCCTAAAAGGAGAAGTCTACCTTCTTTCTTTGGGACCTGGCTGTGGAGAAGGAGGTAGGGCACTAATTATCCCATTTGAACAAACCATTTCCATGCATGTCCAAAATTAATAGAAGGATAGGTGTCAGATCAGAGGTTTCAATTAATCACACTGCACAGTTTTTCACATACCACCCATGTCAATCTCCAGCAAGGTCCCAGTCTGTTTTTACTCATTTATTTCCTTTTACCCTCTTCTCTTCTTCCACCTTCCATAGGCAGGCATTTGATACATTAAATTTGTGTCCTTTTGTTTGTATGTATTTTTGAAAAATGTGTTCTTGTAAAATTACTTTGAGTATAAATATTTTAAATATATGTAAGCGGTATTGGGTTACATAATTCATTCCCTATTCTCATAGTTTTTGCTCAGCACTGTTTTTCAGACCCATCCGTGTTGTCATGCATCTATATAGTCTTTTGCTTCTAATTGTTGCAAAATACTGCATGGTGGGCACCCATCTTATTTTACCTCTCCATTCTCCCAAAAATGGACATCAGATTGTCTCCAACCTCCCACCACCACAAATGGTGCTGCAGTAAATACTTTGTACATGTCCACTTATGGATCACTAAGGTAATGCCTTCTGGAATATATGCCCAGAAGAGGAATTGCTGGGTCATAGGGGATGTGTTTACATAGTTTAACCATGTACTGCCCTCCCACATGGCTGTACTAGTCTACACTCCCTCCAACAGTGCACAGAAGCTCCTATTTCCTAACGACATGCATCATTCCAAATGCCTTGACATGGCCTGGCTTTGTCATTTTTGATAATCTCATAGAGATAATTTATATCTCATTTTTCTAGTTGAATGTCTTTAATCATTAGTTTGAGTTTAAACATCTCTTCATATGTTTTTTAGTCCTTTGAGTGTTATTTTCCTCTAAATTTCCTGCTCATATAGTTTGTCAATTTTCCACCGGGTTCCTGTACTAAATATTAGCTATTATTATTTGAGCTTTTGAAACCTTTCTTAAGAAGTCTTTCTTTGCTTTTCAGCCAAAAGGTTTTCTTCAATATGTTCCGCTATTAACTTTCTAGATTTATTTCTCTATATTTAGCCTATTTTATACTGGTATTAGTTGAGGATACAGTTTCATTTTTCTTTCTATAGTGAACCAGTTCTCCTAACATCATTTATTAAATAATCCATCTGTTCTGTATTGGTTTGTGGTGCCTCATTGTATATTAAGTTCCCATATGTACATGGATCTCTGTTTGACCTCTGAACTCCCTATTCTACTCTCAGATCTGTTTTTCCATATGGTATTCCATAAATACCACATTGTGCTTTTATAGCTATAACTTAATACATTAATATATGGTAAAACAGTTTTCCTTAGTTTTCATTTCGAGGTTGACTTACCTAATTGGTGACCTTTATTTTTCCAAAGGCATCTTAGTTTAACAAGTTTAGTTTATCAAGTTTATCAAGTCCCCCCCTCAAAAATTTTAACTTGAATTTAGATTGAAATGACAATGAATTTATAAATTAATTTGGGGAGAACTGACATCTTTGTAATACTACAGTCATCCCTTCTGAAGGCCTATAATGCATCTTCCTTTGTTCAAATCATCCTTATTTTTTAATAGAGTTGTAAGTTTTTCCTTTATATTCATAACAAACATTCTATATGTTCTTGGCTAATTTCTGAACATTTCATTTTGTATTGCTGATAATTTTTGTCTAACTTAAAAATATATATTTTCTAGTTGGTTATTACCAATGTAGAAAAATACCATTAATTTTTTATATCAATCCAGTATCTAGCAATCCTGCTGAACTCTCTTATTGATTCTAAGTATCTATTGTTTCCGTTAATTTTTTTAGGTAAATGTTTTATGTCATCTACAAATAATGGCAATTTTATTTCTATACTTCTAATTCTTATACCTCTTATTTATTTTTCTTTTCTTATCACATTACCTAGGACCTCCTGAACTATGATAAATAGTGACAGTAATATTAGGTACATTGACTTTAGTTGCATTCGCAAAAGGAATGCAACTAAAGCATTATCATGTTGCATAATCTTTGCTAAATCTTCCTTTTTAAACTTCCTTTAGATAAAAATTAAAATGTAAATTTAAATTAAAAAAAAAACTATTTAGGCCAGGCGCAGTGGCTCACACCTGTAATCCCAGCACTTTGGAAGCAGGCGGATCACTTGAGGTCAGGTGGTCGAAAACAGCCTGGGCAACATGATGAAACCCCATCTCTACTAAAAATACATAAGTTAGCTGGGCATGGTGGTGCACACCTATAATTCCAGCTACTCAGGAGGCTGAGACAGGAGAATCGCTTGACCCTGGGAGGCGGAGGCTGCTGTGAGCCGAGATGACACCACTGCACTCCAACCTGAGCAACAGAGCAAGACCCTGTCTCAAAAATAAATAAATAAATAATAAAACAAACAAACAAAAAAGCCTATTTAATTTTTTCTAAAATAAAGAAAATATATAATTGGCTAATCTTGAATAAACACAAATAGTGTTTGTTTAGATTTGAGGTTTAAAACATTTATCAAGGTATAGAATTTTCTTCTAAGTTAAGAGTTTTTGTAATAAGCTTTGTTGTTAAACTTTATCAAATGGTTTTTATAATACCTATTTAATTTATTATATGACTTTTATCAGTTAGTATACTAATGAGGTGAGTTATATTAATAGCTTCTTTCTCGATATATTAATTACAATCCTTAGAGAAATCTCTCCTGAATATGATTTGTTAATGCACTGTTATATATGGTTAGCTACCATCCGTTTAGACTTTTCACATCTACAGTCATAAATGAAACTGACCTGTATATTTTTTTCTTGTGTATACCTCTTTATTGGGTTTTGAAATCCATGTTCACTAATCTCACTCTAAAAAGAAACAAAAAAAGCTAGACAGCTTCATCTTTCACTCTTTTTTCTTTTTTGCTTCTTTTTTTTTTTTTTCTTTTGTGGAATAACTTGTTCAGGACAGAACTCCTCACTAAAACCACCTGGGCACATTGTTATTGTTTTGTTTGTGTCTTTTCGTTTCTTTGTTTTTGGAATAGGAAACATTTGACTACCACGTCTAAGTTTTTTAAAATAATTATCCATCCATGCTCTTGCTTTCTTCTTGTACCAGTTTTGACCCTTTATAAATTTTTGGAAATATATTCATTTCATCTGATTTCCAGAATTTAGTAGCATAAAATTCTTCAAAAGACTTTTCATTGTTTTATTATCTCTACTGCATCTGTAGCTATTTTCCCTTTTTCATTTTATTTTTTTTCATATTCTGTCTTTACTTCTCAGTCTTCCTAGTGATATATTTCTTTTATTAATATTTTCAAAGAACCAGACTTTAGATTTCAGATACATAGTCCTGTTTGTTTATCCCTCCTCCTTTCTTAAATGTGTCAATATGGCATCTTTGTGTAACAATCCAAGTACTTGAGCACCCTCTCAAATCCCACTAGACTCTTTCCTCCCTACCCGCTTCACCTCCCCACAAACAAGCTCTGTCTAGGTTTTGGCTCTGGATTCTTATGGATAGGCTTTCTCTTTTCTCTCTGTTAATTATAGCCTTTTATTTAAGACAATATAAATAAAGTTTTTCCAAGTAGTTAATCATTCTTACTTTTCACATCTCTAGAACTTGTCACTCTTATTTGTGTTCTCTAAATTTTCAGTAATGGATTTTGTAAGGCAAACCTTCCGTAATTTCATATGCCCAAGGAACTTTTGTGGTTTTTTTCATACATTGAAATTGTAATTTAATCAGATATCAAATACTACCTAAAAATATTTGTTCCCATCATATTTAAAAATACTATTCCATTATCTTCTCAAATGCAGTGTTGCCATTGAGAAGTCGAATGTTAATCCGGTTCCTGTTCTTTTGTAGGTGATCTGCTTTTTCTTTCTAGAAGCTTTAAAAACAATATTTCTTTTATTTTTGCAACTCTTACACTTCATTATATGTCTTGAAGTTCATTTATGTTTTTATCTCCAGTTTCACACTCTATACACTCTTTAAATCTGATCTGTTTTATCTTTAATTCTGAGACATTTATCTTTATTTTTATTTAAGCACTTTCTCCTCTTTTATTTTTCTTTTCAGGACTTTTGTTAGCTAGATGTTGAAATACATAGTCTATCCTCCAAATACCTTAGCTTTTTAAATGTTTTCTTCCTCTTTATTCTTACTTTTTATGTTCTCAAAGAGTTCTTTAATCAGAACTTCCAACTCACTTGCTTACTCTTTAGCTTATTTAAATCCCTTATTCACCCTATCTGCTGTATTCTTACTTTAAACTGTTAATATATTAATTTTTATTTATTTGATTTTTAAAAAATCCTTTTTTATATTGTTAATTTACTTACCTCCTTAAATAAAGTTATTGTGCTTAATTTAAATTCTGTTCTAATAATTCTGTACCAGATGATCAATCTCATAATGGTTGTGGTCTTTCTTTCACAGTAGTCTTACTCTTCAGTGAATGGATATTCTGGCCTGTGAGCTCGTGTCCCTTTGGGGTTATCGGCTCCTCTGCTTGGTAATGCAGGTATTAGAAAAAGGCCACAGACATGTGAAGGATTGGCAGTGATTACTCCATGGCAATATGAAAGACAAGCAAAACAGACTTTTTCAAAACTTTCTTCCAAGCCTTCCTCTCTCTTTTTTTGGTGCTGTTTGGTTTTGTGGGGTTTTTTTGTTGTTGTTTTGTTTTGTTTTGTTTGTTTTTTTGACAGAGTCTCACTCTGTCACCTGGGCTGGAGTGCAGTGGCTTGATCTCGGCTCACTGCAACCTCCGTCTCCCGGGTTCAAGAGATTCTCCTGCCTCAGCCTCCCGGATAGCTGGGATTACAGGCACCCGCCACTACGCCCAGCTAACTTTTTGTATTTTTAGTAGAGACAGGGTTTCACCATGTTGGCAAGGCTGGTCTTGTTTGTTTTTGGTTCTGTTTTTGTTTTTTTATCAGACTAATGCTGGCTGCAATGAATGAGTTGCGCAATGTTCCCTCTTGTTCTATTTCCTGGAAAAGAGTATATAAAATTGATGATTTTTATTCTTTAAATTCTTGGTAGAATTCACAGTGAAGATACCTAGGCCTGGAAATTCTTTTTCTAGAGATTTTAAGCACAAATTCAATTTTTAAAAATAGTTTCATCCTATTCAGGTTATCTTTTCATTTTATCTTGCACAACTTTGGGGATGTGGTGATTTTCAAGAAATTGGTCCATGTCATCTAAGTTACTGAATTGATTTCCATAGAATTGTTTGTACTATTCAATAGGACAGGGACATGTGATCCCCCACAGGGAGGCAGTGAATCTTGCCAAGCAATAATACAACCTACTATTGAGGCAGGAGAATAGGGTCTGGAGGCAGGGAATCTAAGACCAATTCGTGCTGACTTCCCAAAGCTGGATCAAAAGGAAAATACCTGGGTATGAAGGCAGGAACCCTAAGGCCAATTAGTGTCAACTTCCTAAAGTTAAACCAAAAGAAAAAACCCCATCTCCCCATGCCTAGTAACAAAGGTTCAAAGCCTGCTCTCCCTACAACTCCCCGCCATCCACCACATCTCAGATGGAAAGGGAAAGTGTCCTGGATTGGCCACCCTAAGCACCGGCCATCCCTTCGTCTGCATTCAATTCACCCCAGCCTTTAGTTAGCCACAAACCAAAGCCTTCATTCAGATAAGGGGTAGCCGATAGAGATCTCAAAAGGAGTACTTAAAACCCAGGAAACTTTGTAAGCAGGCCCTTGAGCCACTTGCCCAGGTGCACTCTCACCTTGTGGAGTGCTTTCTTGCTTTAATAAATCCCTGCTTTCTCTGCTTCATTCCTGCGTTTCATTCCTGTGTTACTTTGTTTGTGCATTTTGTCCAATTCGTTGTTCAAAAACGCCAAAAACCTGGACATCTTGTACTCGAGGCCTGCCTTCCAGTAACACCATGGGTTGAAGGTGACATTGTGAATGTTACAGCAGGACCTTACATATTACTATATACAGAACTTGCTCTGGCCTATTTTAAATTGTGTTGTCCCAAATGTTTTCAGAAAATCTAATTTTAATTTTCCTTTTCATAACCATAGGGGAGGGATAGGATATAGTGCTCACATGGCATCATACATTTAACAAATACTGATTGAGCACCTACTTTGGGTCAGACACTGTTCTAAGTGCTGAGTGATGAATAAGGTAAGAGCCAGATGATTATACTGTCATGGAACTTACATTCAAGGGGATGAGGCAGTGGGAATTGACCAAAAGCTAAGTAAATAAATAAACAGAGTAATGGAATAGGGACAGTGTAAAGAGCTGACTTCTAGGACAGCACCTATAGTAGGAAGTCTTTCTTGATTATCACTTGCCACTTCCTCCACCGATCCCAGACCCTGGTCTCAACTAGGGTCGTCAGAACAGGTGTCTCTTTACCTGAGACCTGTGAGCCAAGACTTGAATAATGAGAGTGAATCCACAAAGAAGAGCATTCCAGGCCTAGGGACGAGTAATTACTACACCCTGAGGGAGGAGTAAGTTTGGCCTTTTCCATCTGTTACAAGAAAGCTAATGAGGCTGAAGAATAGTGAAAGTGGGGAGGAGTGCAGGACAGAGACGGAGCGTACAGGGCTTTGTAGGCCATGGTAGGGATTCTGGATTTTATTCTAATTGCAATAAAGAAGCCATTGAAGGGTTTTGGGCAAGTAAAAGATAGGATGAAATCAGATCACATTCACACTATAAAAAGGTCACTCTGGCTAAAGTGTGGAGAATGAATGCAGGTGGGACCAGAATGGCAGCAGGGAGACCAGTAGGAAGTGTCATCAGGACCCAGCCCTCCCTTGCCATGTTGAATCAAGAGCCACAGACAGGGGCCAGGCTGCAACTGCCAGTCTGTGATCAATCTAATCTGCCATGAAATTGGGTCTTCTGATATAAGTGGATCAAAGGAATAATAAGAGAAATGATGTCAGAACATTCCTCTAGTACTAGGATGCCTTTAGCTGACCTGTGAAGGGAGGATTTAGATGTCTTAGATGTCTGTTGCACTTGCCCTTGGGCAGAAGGCAGGTGGTCTGCAGAGCCTGATGACCTTCTTCCGGAACTCTGTTGAGGGTGAACACATCAAAGCTGTCTTGTTCAGTTAATTCTCCACTCACTCTATTACCTCCTTAAAGGCTATTGTCACTCTCCTCCTGGGTTCCCACCACTACATCCTGAATGGAGTCCTGCCTCCAGGCTCACCCCCATCTAATTCATTCTCCACATTGCACTGAGAATGGTCTTTCTAACAAGTTGAGCTTAAAGTCCACCAAAAGACTCTTCCTCCAATTGCCTCCATAAATGACATGATCCCATCCCTGCTTACCTCCCCAGCACTCTCTTTCCTCCATCCCACCCAATTCTTGCTCTGTCTCCTGCTAAACCTTCAACTTCTCAAAGGGGCCGTACTTTTGCACAGGTCTGGAACACCCTTCTCCACCAATTTGTGGCCAGCATCCAGGTCAGTTCCTAAAGTAACTTTCTGATTAGCAGTTGTCACCCTTTGCCCTATCCCGGGCCCCCACTTCTCACCCTGTCCTTGCCAGCCAGGCATCATTGCACGCCCACATCCAGGTTTTGCCAGCCCACAATGTTTATCTCTTTCCCAGAGCACTTAGAGCTCAAGGTTATATTTGTTTCTCCCACCACAGCATGAGCAGCCTGAAAGGTTGTGACTGTGTCTTTTCCTTCTTTATATTCCCATCTTTTAGCCCAGTATTTAGAACCCAACAGACACTCTGTTATATATTTGTTGAATTAGTAAGAGTATAAACAGGTAAATATACTGGAAGACGCTGTGAGAAAGCCAAGTGGCTCACCCCATGTGGGCTGAGCAGGTAACCTTGTCCTGTTGGCAGACTTAGGCTGCCCCTGACAGTCTAGCCAGCTACTCTGCAGATGTGCGCCATTGATTCTAACAAGGGAGAGTCAACCACAAACAAGCTTCTGGGAAAAAGCAAATCTAAGTGTTGATAACCAGAGGTGGCCGCCTGCACTTCTATGGCGCAACACTGTGTTCTGCGCTTACAGAGAAACCTGCTGAGGCTGTTTTCAGAGACAAATGCTGACATTGTGGCTTCAGTCCTGATGCTGAGGCCAGAAAAGTGGACAGACACTTGCCAGGGCCATTAAAGCTGATCATTTTAAAGGAACACCCAAGAATCCAAAACAAGTAAAGAGCAGGGCCAGGACAGAGAAAGTCTGTCCCAGCAGTGGTGGTCCCCTGACTGCACTGCGTGTCATGTAGCTTGCTCCACTCCACTCAGCATTCAGCCTCCACTTCCCAAAACAAACCAATTTCAGAGCAATTCTTCTGGTGAACGCCATGGTCCCGTTGATCTCACAATTACATCTAGAAACACTTAACTATGAGACATTTCAGTGTACCAAGCACTTGTTGTGGCTTTTCTCTTAACTTAGTAATCACCACAGCCTGTGCTAAAAAAAATAAAAATTAAAAGATTCTCCATCGGTCTAGGCTCCAGTTATTGCACCAAAAGGAAGAAAAACCTTCCAGTTTTGCTCTTGGTCTTAAGATTTTGCTTTGGGAAAAATTACTGAGCTGATATATGTTGGGGTCAGAGGCGAGTTTCTGATAATATTAAATGGTGTGACATCCAGAGAGCTAGGAGGGCCTGAAATTTGCCCTGACAGTCTCCTAAAATGTATAAAGCCCCAGTACGTTCACATTGAATACAGCAGAACAGGAACCAGTGTGTTCTTTATTATTAGCTAAGCAAAGTCCAATAACCCCCAAAGCAGAACAAAACAATAAATACTAGGACACAAAGCTTAGACTCCAGGCTAAATGCAATCTCTTATCCCCTCTCCTTCCTATCGCACTCAATCCAATTCTTGGAACCAGCCCACTCAAGACATACCTACTGGGAAAGGGAAAGAGGGGGAGAGGGAAAGAGGAGGAAAGGGGGCAAGTGGGAGAGAGAGACAGACATTCAATCTACAGTATTCATCCACACAGCCACAAGGATCTGGGCAGAGAACACAGACCACAGGGCTCCTCTGAGGCATTGCTTAGTTTACCAATTCCACTTCTTGGCCTCTAGAGAAGAGGAAAATGTGCCAGACAAAGAGAAGGTTCAAATCTAGCTGGTCTTCAGACTTGTCTGAGAAGCTTCAGTAAAACACTGATTCCCTGCGCCATCCCCTGATATTCTGATTCAGTGAATCTGCTATGGAAACCAGGAATCTGAATTTTAATAAGGTCCCAGTCTGAGAACCATTAGTGAGCCTCTGCCTTCTCTTGTCTGCAAAAAAAGGAATAATATTTTGGACAAGGACTAGAGTTGCAGGCTGAAGCAGGTTGAAAAGGAATGGTTTTGCTGTAAATGTGAGGTCTTCTCCAAGTTCCGAAGATGTGAAAATCCCAGGTTGCTGCTCTTGATAGTCTGTGTGAGCAAAATGCTTGTTGTCTTTACATTAATGCCACTGACTAAATCACAGCAAATGGAATCTATAAACAACCAAATGGCCTTGCAATTTGTCAAAGGGAAGGCAAGCGCACCCAGCAACGATGCATCATTGCCTCATGCACATCTGGGGAGTACCCGCCCCCCGCCACCCCACCAACCAGCTCATTGCCGGCCTGGAAGGAAGAAAGCATGGTCCTTCCTCTCCCAGGGTGTAATCTGGGACGTTTATCCCATCCAGTGTTTGGCACCCCTTAGAAAACACTTTTTTCTTAAGATAATTTTATTCTTATTTTTCTAACTTTAAAAAATGAATCACTATTTTATATGATAGCCATTCAGGTATTCAAAACTCCCCTTGTCTAAGTCATCTCAGTTTACTGTATTTGTCTGTAGGTCTAGCTTTAAAGCAACTAATATGTTTGAGCCTTTAAAAAGTATCTGTAATATAAATATTAAATCAATCTACATTATCAATATGAAGAAGCCTGCATGAGATCGTTTGTTTCCCCATTCTGATGTTTAGATTTATATGTGTATTTGTATGAGACTGTCATTTTGAGATTTGTGGGGAGATGTTTTGTTGGGGATACATTGGATATTGGAAAGAAATTTGGGGTTCTGGCTCCTTCAAGAAGCTGAGTTTATTGCATGAAGAAACCTTTCTTCAGGAAAAGGGGCTATTAGTGCATACCTTAGGAGTAAGCTAAAGACCAAGGGCACTAATTGCTGATCTTCTAAAATGAGAAACTCAAACAGTGAGATGAAAGGGGAGAAAGAAAGGCAGACAGGCTGGTTGTTCCAGAGGCCAGGTCAAGAATGAGGAGATAATAGCAGTGCTCCCAAATCAGCAGGGAAGGAGACAGAGACAGCTCACACCTGTCTCCTGAAATGTAACTGTAGCCTCTAGGGGTAGGTGGGATCAGGAACTATGAAGAGTTCTAGGACACTCTGCAGATGACAGTTAGCTTTTCTGCAGCTATTAAGGAAATCAGTTTGAGAGGGTATGGATATTTGATTTGAACATAGAAATTTTTGAGATCTTTAATCTTTGGGGTTTTTTTGCTTGTAAGATAAATGCAGGTATTAATTAATCCTTTGCTGTATGCATAGATTTCTATCTTCAGTAAATTCAATCATGCATTATATTTCCTGCTTTAGTAGAGTGCAAACAGCACTTAAGCCATCTGAAAATATGAGTTCCAGCAATCTGAGTCATGTAATCTTTCTGAGTGCAGTTTCCTTCTCTGTAAAATAAGTATATCTATACCAATCTGCTGTCCTCTCAAGTTTCTTGCAAGAATTAAATGGAAATAAAAACACTTGGTAAAGGATAGGTTCTATAGAAATTTATTGTCATTCCCTGGTATAACCATGCCTGCAGTAGGCAATGCCTTTGTTCTAAACTACGTTAGGCCAGTGCGCCCTCGACGGGTGTGTGGCAGCAAGTTGAAGGGCAGTCCTGGTGCGGGGGCAGTTAACACATCTCCAGGGGGGCCTTCCATAAACCGACTCTAACCACCTCTTCCTGACACAGGAGGCTTCACTGGTGATCTATGATGGGGTCTTAGGTGCTCAGGGTTTTCAGTGAGGTTGCTATGTTGCCATCCTTGGGTAGGTGCTGTCACTTACTCTGACCCACCAGCGGGCCCTGTGTCACACCTGTAGTGCACCGGTTCTGCCACTAGGGTATACTGCAGTAACTGACACGTGCGGTCCCTCCCCAGCCTCTCTTCCTGACTGCAACAGTTCAAGGATGCAGAACTAGATCAATCGCAGCATGCTCTTCATCAACCCAGAAGATCATACTATTTACAGAGCACCCAAACCACCCTTTCCCACACAGCAAGCTCTGCCTTTAGCTCACTCTAGCAGCTCCTGCAGTTCAGAAAAGCTCCTCCGGTGGGCTTTCTGCTTCTTGGCTTGCCTGCTCAGCATTAAAATTTGCCCTGAAGCTAAGCTCTTCAAGACACAGGATTTAAGCTCCTCTTTCAGCTAATTAGATATTGTTCTACAAATTGGGCTGTTGTCTCTGAAAGATGAGCTGCAATTTACTTCCCCTGCCCTCTCCTTAAACTTAAACTGAACTGTAAAACATGGCTACTTGATTGTTTAGTCCAATCAGGATGTATTTTGTACAAGGAATAGATAATTCATCTTCTTGCTAATGCCGAGCTTGTTTGGGCATTCCTTAATGGCTACTGTAAAGATGACAGAAAGCTTTGCTCAGATGCCTCTCATTCTTTTGAAAGGTGGAGTCTGCAGTGATTTATTTTGGCCCATGCATCTGTAATCATTGCCTGAGTAACCAATCACTACCTGCATTAACACATCTTTGCCCTTCAAGGGGGAGACTTTTATTATCCCCATTTTACTGATAAGAAAACTGACGCCCAACTGATTTACTTAAAGTCAAATAAATAGGTAACTGGTGGAGCTAGACCATGAACACAGACCTTTAGTTCTCAGATCCCATGAAATTGTATGTTGTCTGATAAGTCTAACAACAGTTGTGGAAGGGAAATCCAAGATGATGCCAAGTCCCCACACCCACACCTTGAGCTCCGTTGAGGATTTCTTACAGCTGTTGATGATGTACCAGGAGGCCTGCTAAGACCTTCTATGATCCAAGGAGCTCTTGTGCACTGTGAGAGAAAGAATCCTTTCTGGACATTGTCTATTTTCCTTGCAGGAGGCCGGGTGTTCCCTCATCCCCAAGACTGTGCCCAGCATTTGATGAATGGAGACACTTTGAGTGGGGTTTACCCCATCTTCCTCAATGGGGAGCTGAGCCAGAAATTACAAGTGTACTGTGATATGACCACCGACGGGGGCGGCTGGATTGTAAGTACAATCTGTGCTCTCCTTGCACAGAAGCGTCCTCAGTGTTCTAGTCTACCTAGCTCAGCACCTGCCAAGCCAACTTCACCATCCTCCTGGCCATCCTTTTATCACCCCCCACATGTCCATCTTGGGGCTCCTCATTGCCCTCAAGGCCCATGTTCAGAGTCCAATCATATATCTGGCCAGGCAGGGAAAGGAATAACTATATCTGTCCTCACAGAAGGAGGAGGAAAGGACAGTTAAGCAGGAGAGTGCTGGGGAAAGGCAGTCGCGGGTCTGTTGGGCCCAAGGATCTTGCCTGCTGAGAAATGCATCTCTAATAAAGCAGTGGAGGTGCTGGGCAGAGTGGCTGATTCCTGTAATCCCAGCACTTTGGGAGGCCAAGGCGGGTGATGACTTGAGGCCAGGAGTTCGAGACCAGCCTGGCCAACATGGAGAAATCCTGTATCTCTACTAAAAATACAAAAATTAGCTGGTCATGGTGGCACATGCCTGTAGTCCCAGCTACTCTGGAGGCTGAGGCAGGGGAATCACTTGAACCTGGGAGGCGGACGTTGTAGTGAGACGAGACCATGCCACTGCATTGTAGCCTGGGTGACAGAGTGAGTAAGACTCAAAAAACAAAACAAACAAGCAAACAAACAGGCAGTTGAGGAAAACTATTTCTCTATGAGGAGGTGATCACCACCACAGAGAGATGATCAGAAGCCTCCAATTGAGGATTGCAGTTGGGAAAGCAGATGAGGCCCCAAACATGGATAGCTGGCTCCCCTTCCCCATTCTTCCTGGGGTCTCCCTGGTTCTTCCCCAGAGCTGACACAGCCTTCAGGGAGCACCAGTGGTCAGGAAAAGAGAGACACTGTTTCCTGTCACCACCCTCCTCCCATGCCTGATAGGGCAATACAGAGTGAGGGAAAATAAGGGCAGCCTCCTTAATGCAAGCCGGTCGGAGCAGCCGGGAGTTCCCACCACTTGGCCCTAAAGCAGCCCAACATTAGCTGGATCGCTTTAGGATGGAAAACCAGCCCCTCCGCCCTTCTTTGGATGCCCTCTCTCGCTCTGCTAACAGTGCTGGATGTTTCCTGGTGCAAAATGGGTAGGTTTTGAATGGTGATGTGCTCATAACAGCTACTCTTGGGAGACATTTTCTTTTATGTTTCTGACATATGTGTGCCTCCTTCTTAAAGCATAACTGGAAATTGAAGCCAAGGCTGATATATTGGAGGCTAAATAAAATAAGCACTTAAACAGCTCAGAAAGTGAATGATATGCAATATTGCTTTGCCTGCAATAGGACGATGACAGTTACTAGCTGATTTGAAGTTGGTCCTGTTCTTTTGGTGAGAAATGCTTTCTACTGCACTCTGTAGTGCAAAAGATTCGTTTGAGAGCCAAGCCTATTTCCCCTGATATTTAGGGCTTGATATGTATCCTGAGTCCTTTCTACATTGCAGGGGTGCAAATTAGTGTCAACATCACACTGGAGCCTATTCATCAGGGGCCTCTACACTTCAAGAGAAATGCTCTGAGTGTCTCCTACAAAAACTGCTGTGTAAATACTGAGCTCTGCTCTGAAATGTTCCTTCTTTGGACATCTTTGTCATTGCAGATATAAAACCCAGTTATATCAATTTTACTTATCACAGTTTATTTTCCTTAGCATCTCTTTGGGTTTTGTTTTTTTGTTTGTTTGTTTTTTGTTTTTTTATTTCCTTCATAGGTATTCCAGAGGCGGCAGAATGGCCAAACTGATTTTTTCCGGAAATGGGCTGATTACCGTGTTGGCTTCGGGAACGTGGAGGATGAGTTCTGGCTGGGTAAAGCCTCCTTATTGCTTTCCATTGATGTGCTTCTCTGGCTTTTTGTCCATCTCTCTCCTTTTTGTGTCCATCTGAGATTATCAGAAACCCTGTGTTTGTTGAGAAGCTAACAGCTCCTGAATTGCTTTCAGAACCTCTTGCTCTGTTTAGCTTCACTATTGATCTGTTTTTATCTTACTGTGGTGTTTCCCTCTTTTCTCTGTCTCTTCCCATCCTCATTAATAGTCTCTTATTCTGATGGGTTTTGACATGAGGCTGCCACAAAGGGAGTGAGCTGCCTGGTCGGTGAGGGGCACAGGGAGCAACAGGCTGCCTGGCCATCTCCCAGAAGCAAGGCAACCAGCCAGCCAGCCTGCAGGTCAGGGGAGAAATGAGGACAGCCACTCCGCTTAGTTCCTTGGAGAATGTTATTACCTGACCTGGGAAAGAAAAGGGAAAAAATGAAAGTGGCATTAGAGGTGACTGGCAATTTCCTAGAAGTCTGACACCGGCAGGAAATATAGATCGAGAACCAAACTGGCGTGAGATGGTAAACACACATCCAAGCCAGGCAGATGGTGGTGGTGCCAAGTTCTGGAAAGTGGTCCATTTATTATGACCTGTGTCCCCCTCTTAGTTAGATTTTCATAGTGATGGATAAAGGGAGGTAGAGGAAAAGATTATCAAGTTCCATATTTGTGGTCTCCTCTCTGTCTTCCCTGCCACTATCTCATCTCATCTTCTTCTCCTGGGTGCCTAGATAACAAGCTTCTTACCGGCCTCTCTGCCTCTAGGACCACCCCATTGTCCACATGGCTATAATCACCCAACAGGTTCTTCTTGTCTTTTGCACAGATAAACCCAATTCTCTGAGACAGCATTATTGCAATAAAGAAAGAGTTTAATTAACACAAGGCCACCAAGTGGAAGGACTGGAGTTATTACTCAAATCAATCTCTCCAAAAACTCAGAAGCTAGGGTTTTTATGGATAATTTGGTGGGCAAGGGGCTAGGGAATGGGTGCTGCCAATTGGTTGGGGATAAAATCATAGGAGTGTGGAAAATGGTCCTCGTGCCCTGAGTCTGCATCTGGGTGGGGGCTGCAGGCCCAGTTGAGTCATGTGTCACTGGTCCAGGTGGGGTCACTTCGTTGCCTGAATGCAAAAGTCTGAAAAACATCTCAAAAGACCAATCTGCAATAGTGCTGTTATCTATAGGAGCAACTAGGAAAGTCACAAATCTCTGGCCACATGACCCTGAGCAGTAAGGGATTATAGAAACTATGCCTACATTTTAGCAGAACTCAAATCCCTCCGTAATCCTAATCTCTTGGCCTTTCGTTAGTCTTGCAAAGGTAGTTTCAGTCCCTGAAAAAGGAGGGGAGCAGTTTCAGGGAGGACTATTATCATCCTTGCTTTAAAATTAAACTATAAACTAAATTCCTCCCATGGTTAGCTTGGCCTATGCCCAGAAATGAGTGAGGAGGGCAGCCAGCCAGTGAGGCCAGAAGCAAGGAATCAGCCATGTTAGATTTCTCTCACTGTCATGATCTTTGCAAAGGTTGGTTCATGACCACTATAATGATCTTCCTCACACCCCAAATATGGGCGATGGCTAATCCCCTTTGTAAAACTTTTCAATGACTCCACATTACCACCAGGAGAAGGCCCAATGCCTTAGCCAAAGTACAGGCCCTCTCTCACCAGCCTCTGAAGACTCCTCTACACCCTAAGTACCTCACCTGCTCTTCCCCCGACTCCTCTCCAACACCAAACTCCACACATGCAAAACCCCCGATGCTTCCTCTGCCAGGAGCACTCCTAGCCAACTGTCCTCCTTTCCCCACATTCCTTGTGTGGTGAGTGCCATCTGTGTATATTCAGAGACACAGCTAAGCACCTTCTCCTCCACAGAGCCAGTCCTCACCAGTTTTCTCCCCTATTGCCTGTGGGAGAAGTGGCCACTCCTTCTTTTGTGGCACAGATCATAGTGTCCATTTTACTTCCTGTCTGTCTCTGCTATGTGAGCTTCATTGAGGGCTGGGACCACCTCATATTTATCTTCTAACCCCATTACCTATGTACCTATGACAGTGCCTGAGAGATAGTAGGTACCTAAAATGTAGATAATCAATAAATCAATCAATGATAAGAATTAATGGAATGCATATTAAATCCACAGATTTGTGTTTGCTGATATAGACAATAAAAATGTAAGGTAAATGCCATACAAAAACATTGACATAAAAGTCAAACAAATTGAAAAATATTCTTACCTTGAAAGCATCAGCAAGCAACTTGGGAGACAAGTGTAATACCCATGAATCGATACATCCATAAGCAGACAGGACTCACGTTTCCCAAAGCTGAGCTGCTGTATACCATTTTCACAATTTGTGTCATATTTTCTGAAATACATAAACTATCATGCACTTAAAATTTCTATAATTACTCTTTAATTAAATCTATTTTTAAAAGAAATGTTATAGCATTGCCAAAAATAGAAAGCTAGTTATCATGTGCCATAAATAAAAAAGAAAACCTCAAAAATAAATGCAATTAAAAGAAACTATATTAATAGTACTAAATGAGAGTTAAATACAGGGACTCCAAGCCTGTTGTTGCTGGCAGTGGTGGTGGTATTAAAAATGGAGATTAGGAAGTGTTTCATGCTTTTCATGCTAAACAAACCACTAAAACACTAGAACAAAACTGAGACTGTGAGTGAAGGTTAGGATCAGGGTTAAGGTATCTCCTTCTTCTATTACAAAAGACTGAGATTAAATTTGGAAATACCTTTCTTCCTATTATTCAAGGTTATTTAGTGCCTTATATATCTCATGTCATCAGAGATGCCATCCACACTGGGTAACACTGTTCTAACATAAGAGTCACTGAAATGAAGGCCACAGATATTCAAAGAAGGAAGAGACCAGCTTCCTGGAGAAGGCATTGAGGGATGAGTCAGTCAGAAGAATGGAGGAAGGAAAGGGATGAAAAGGAGGGAAGGCAGGAATTCTCCTGACAACTGCAAACTTAGGCCAGGGAGGAAACCCAATCCCAGTGAGGGAAAGAAAACAATGAGGTGAGTGGGTTGAATAGAGGCACAGTAGGGAACTTAAAAATCAGAAAGAGAAGTCTTTACTTGATGATGTAGGTAAGAGGGAGACAGGGAGGGCTCTTGAAGATGCTAGGCCTGGTGTGGTGTAGTTTGGAAGCAATACTCAAGTTGGGGATAACACTGTGACCCATAGTTTATGTACTATATGGGGTTCTCTAGAAGCAGAGATCAAAACAGGGATTCTTGTTCAAGTGACTTACTGGGGGACTTCACTGGGGAGAAGGGAATGGGGGAACAAAAATAGGGCAGAGAAAACTGCAAAAATGTGGTTTTGGCTGGAGACTCACTTCAGTGTGATCCCTAAGGAAGCTTGGGAGCATGAATTGCTCCTCAGAGCTGGTCACCACTTAGACAAGGAGGCCAAGCTTTTGAACCTCTCCACATCAGTCACTGATGGAGGTCTGCTCCAAGGCATGGTGGGAGAGAGCTTAGCTTCCAGGATGAAGTGACTCCCATTTGCTCAAGGGCAATTTTCCAAGAAGAAGGCAGCTGCAAGTTGCTAACAGCCAACACTTGTAGCAGCCTGGGGGATGGATCTATCTGCCAATTAAAGACATCCCAGCAGAACAACATCAGCATCTACTACATCTGCACAAGCACAAGTCTAGGGTGAGTTGTGGGTCAGCAACTCAGTCAACAGCAAACAGCAGTCAAACAGCCTTTGACTTATAATCAAGGTAAAGCTCTAAGTCTCAAATGGGACAGGAAAGCCAAAAGATCTGGATGACCTTCAGCCAATCATTTCACCTCTCTTGGACTTTAGCTTCCTCTTCCGCAAAACAGACACTGGCCTGAGTAACCACTAAATTCCCTTCAGTCTCTGCAATTGTTTGATTCTAAATCACGGCATACTCAAGTAGAGATCAGATGTCACAGCAAAGCAAGGGGACTCTAGTTCAGTAAGCAGATAAAAATTAGGACTCAGAGAAATTACCAGCAACACAAGATGAATGGTTCAAAGTTTGGGCAGGTAGATCAAAATTGGAGAGTCCCAGGGCATGGCTAATCATGACAAGCAGGCAAGAAAATGTATATAAGAAAATATCGGCCAGGCACAGTGGCTCACGCCTGTAATCCCAGCACTTTGAGAGGCTGAGGCGGGCAGATCACGAGGTCAGGAGATCGAGACCATCCTGGCTAACACGGTGAAACCCCATCTTTACTAAAAATACAAAAAATGAGCTGGGCATGGTGGCGTGTGCCTGTAGTCCCAGCTACTTGGGAGGTTGAGGCAGGAGAATGGTGTGAACCTGGGAGGTGGAGCTTGCAGTGAGCCGAGATTGTGCCACTCCACTCCAGCCTGGGCAACAGAGAGAGATTCCGTCGAAGGAAAGAAAGAAAGGAAGGAAGGGAGGGAGGGAGGGAGGGAAGGAGGGGAGGCAGGAAAGAAGGAAGGAAGGAAGGAAGGAAGGAAGGAAGGAAGGAAGGAAGGAAGGAAGGAAGGAAAGAAAAAGAAAGAAAGGAAGAAAGAAAGAAAAGAAAGAAAGAAAGAAAAGAAAGAGAGAGAGAAAGAAAGAAAGAAAGAAAGAAGGAAAGAAAGAAAGAAAGAAAGAAAGAAAGAAAGAAAGAAAGAAAGAAAGAAAGAAAGAAAGAAAGAAAGAAAGAAAGAATCACCAAGAGGGATCTGGACTCTGCCTAACCTGGGGACTTACAAAGGTTTGCACCTTAAAAGAATATATTAGACCAAGGCCTGGGAAGTTTAGAGGCAAAGGAAGAAGCAGATGAATGAGGGTAACTGGCTGAAAAGGCCAGTGGAAAGGTAGCAGTGCAAATGTAGCAGGCAGATTAGAGAGAAAGGGACTGGAGTCAGGAGGCAGAGAATAATATTCTATGACCTGGCTATGGAGCCCCAGGAAGCCTAGGCTGAAGGCAGGAGAGGCAGTGTAAGGAAAGTTCGACAGAGCCCTTCCTACATGCTACTAGGAGATGTTAAGATGTTCCAGATGCTCTGAACTCCTCTAATCAATGTTTTCACCTCTTGCTTTCGATCACTCATGCCCAAGGGCTCACATCCATGTAATACCTCTTGTAATTTTCTTCTAGTACCATGGTTTGGCAGAGGAGGTGAGAGGGGACAGGGCCAGGAATCCTGAGGCTCAGGGCTTGTCAGTTACTGGGTCAAGAGGAGGTATTAGAACCCCTGAGTTTCCTGTGTTGGAAACCCATCAGCAGACCTGGACTGTCCTCTTTGCAGGAAGAAATTCAGTCTGGCAGGGTCCATTTGATAACAACCTGTGAAGCACCAAGAGCAAAAGCAATCTGGAGTCCCCTCCTCTTCCCTGTAACATGTTTTGAAGCCACAGACGCATTTCCCTCCCATTTTCCAAAGCTGCTGGGGGCCAGTCTCAGTGCATTTTCTGCTCTTCTCCACAGGGCTGGACAATATACACAGGATCACATCCCAGGGCCGCTATGAGCTGCGCGTGGACATGCGGGATGGCCAAGAGGCCGCCTTCGCCTCCTACGACAGGTTCTCTGTCGAGGACAGCAGAAACCTGTACAAACTCCGCATAGGAAGCTACAACGGCACTGCGGGTACCTATGGCTCCTGAGCAGACCCCAAGGACAGTGGGCATGGGACAAGAGCCCCCAGATTCTAGGCGTAAGCTGCCTCAGGAAGCAGCAGCACCCACAGAGTTCCAGCATTCGCTGCTGGCCAGGGAGAAGAAGGGCCATGCCACTGGGAACCACTGGCACTGGTCCCAGCTCTCCCTGACCAGTCACCTAAAAGCAACTTTGCAGGACTTCAGTTTCATCATCTGGAAAATCATAATAAGGATGCCTGCCCTACTTCACTGAGTAGTCAGAAAAAAATCAGTGGAGTGATTGTACTTTTAAGGTTTAAAAAAGATGCAATGTGAAGATGAAGAAGGATTGTTTTCTTTGTCTAGATTAGTCACTATGGGCTCTTATGCAGTGAGAGCAGAATCATCTACTGTCTGGGTAGAAATCTCCCATGCAATGACATCCAGGAAAACCATCTTTGAATTAGTGCAAATCATACAGATGTCACCCCTCTCTGAGATGCCCCTAACACCCCACCCTGTCCATCAGCGGTCATGCTAACACCTAGTCAAGGAGCAAACAATGCCACTTACCTGTTCCTCATTTGCCATGTTTCTTTTCATTCCTCCGCAAGAACCACATAGACGGTCAGGTTTTCTGTGTAGATTTTTACAGCATTTCTACCAAACAGAACAACCATCCCATCAAGCTTGGTTGCATTAGTAGTTTTTTCAGAACATAACACCCAGTCTGCTTCTTGGGCTTTGCCAATCTGTTTCCCATGTTCTATTATAACACATTTCACAAAACCTGCTTTTTCAAATATTCTAATGTTTGATACTTGGCATTATTGGCCCTTTCATTAACACCAATTCTAGGGTTAAATGCTGGTGTATAATTTTAACAACATTTTTATGACTCTTGAAATTAAGAAGAGCATTAAGGTGTTGTCCTTCCAGTTACTGCATCTGTTCAATTATTTCTCTTCTTAGCCAGATACTCCAAAGAGAAGACATGCTTTCCTTTATTATGCTCACATCTGAGATCATTTCCAACAGCAATGAGATCAGCCTGAAGTGCCCCCAACAAAAGGCCCAATTTGCCACACTTTGGGCATAAAATAGCCATTGAAATGGAGCATATTAAACAAGATGCCGGACTAAATCATTTAAAAAATCACCTGACGCTATTCACTTCTAAGATTAGAATTGTGCCTGTAGAAAAGCCATTCTGATTTCTCCTACAGGAAAAGAAGCCAGCCCTCCAACTTCCCTACAGCACCCCCTCCCTCCCTCCTCTTCATCCGCCTGTGCTTTCATCTGCCTTGCTTGGGCCTGGCCCTTGCTCCCTCTGTTCCAGCTCTGTCTTGCTTCTGGGCCTATGGAGGCCAGAACAGTTGGACTGTGCGCTATTCTCATGTCTCAGAGGCAGATCCTGCCAACAGTTTGGCTGTTCATCATCAGCTAATTAGGGTCTTATCTCTCACCTCGAATATTCAGTTCATCTTCTTCAAAAGATGAAAAGCTAGGCTTCCGTTAGGCTGCCATCCCCTCTAGGCAACACCACACAATGGTTGTTCTTTCTAGATCAGAAGGTTTCTGGAGAGGAAGAGCCCATCCCCTCTCTTCTGGCATTTAATATTGCCCAGTTCTCCTGGACCTTATCTTTAGTAGTGGCCTTCTGAATCAACCCATCTCCAGGGCCTCCGATCCAAGTTCAGCCTTTTCTCCTGCTCCCCATTTCCCAAGGCTGCAAACATTCAAATCTCTAGGATGCTACTTGGATCAGAACTGAAAATTACAAATTAAGTTATCAATCAGAGGTTGTTGAGCAGCTCCTAAAAGTTTATTGTGCAAGTTGTGGGGACTCAAAAGAAGCATAAAACATGGCCTTTACAAAAACTAATCGTCTAGTTTTAAAAAGAAACAGGAAGTAACTCATCACACAATCAATGGTACTCACTTCTAGTTTTTTCTGTTTTTGTTTTTGTGTTTTTGAGATAGAGTCTCACTCTTTCACCCAGGCTGGTGTGCAGTGGCGTGATCTTGGCTCACTGCAACCACTGCCTCCTGGGTTCAAGTGATTCTACTGCCTCAGCCTCCTGAGTAGCTGGGATTACAGACACATGCCACCATGCCCAGCTAATTTTTGTATTTTTAGTAGAGATGGGGTTTTGCCATGCTGGCCAGGCTGGTCTCGAGCTCCTGTCCTGTGGTGATCCACCTGCCTCGGCCTGCCAAAGTGCTGGGATTACAGGTGTGAGCCACTGCATCTGGCATCTCATTTCTAGTTTAAGGGGTGTTTGTGGAAGAGGAGTCTGGGTGGTGGAGGACGGCATCATAAAGGCAGCTGCATTCGACTGGGATTCCCATGGTAAGGAAAATAAACCCTGGAAGTTACAGAAGGAGCAGATGCTGTGGAGGAGGGGAGGCTGTGAAGGGACTGGCAGAGCAGGGCAAAATGTAAATTCAGGAGGAATAGAGAAGATTGGTGAGGCAGGTAGAGCCAGATCCAGAAGCTGGAAAACCAAGGGGCAGAGGAATTCAGTCTTAACATGGTAGCACTGGAGGGCCATTGTAGGTCCCAAGAAGAAAAATAGAAGTGGGGTTTAGGAAGATTCCTGTGACAGCCACAAACAGGATAAAGTAAGTCCGAGCGAAGAACATAGAGCGGCTGATGGCTGCTGCATCAGACCTAATAGGAGACAATAGGAGTCTTGACTAATGTTGGAAATTAAGAAAAAGGTATTATAAATCTGAACAGTGGTTTGAGAGACAGAAACCAGGACTTAATGTGTTAAACACATGAGGTGGCTATATGAGGCAGAAATGGGAAGGGGAGCCAGGCTTTGGGAGGATGTAAAGACCAACACTGGGAGCAATCTGCGACAGTGGAAGGCAGCCTCAGAGTGGAAGCTGGAGAGAACTGCTCCAGGGGAATAATGAAGACAAATTCTAGATGACAGAGGGAGACGCAGGGAGTGAGAAGATAGGATGTGGGTGGAGACCGCATAATCAAGGAACTGATAGTGAAAGAAATAATCATTAAGGAGTAGGATTAATCTAAGAATTTTTAAGACAAAGGATATAAATGTAACTTAAGGTGAGAGGAGGTGAAAACTTAAAAAAAAAAAATAGAAGTAAAAGGGCTGGGCTCACACCTGTAATCCCAGCACTTTGGGAGGCCGAGGCGGGCAGATCATGAGGTCAGGAGATCGAGACCATCCTGGCTAACACAGTGAAACCTCGTCTCTACTGAAAATACAAAAATTAGCTAGGTGTGGTGGTGCATGCCTGTAATCCCAGCTACTTGGGAGGCTGAGGCAGGAGAATCGCTTGAACCTGGGAGGCAGAGATTGCAGTGAACCAAGATTGTGCCATTGCACTCCAGCCTGGGCAACAGAGCGAGACTGTCTCACACCAAAAAAATAAATAAATAAAAGAAAAAGGAAAAAGTAAGCAATATGTTTTAACTTTTCCAGGATCTGGAAGAGATGGGAAAGAGTGAGTTGCAGATGGTGGGGTTAACTCTAGATGGGCATAAAAATCTGAGTCCCTGGAGACTGGAAGGGGAAGACGAAGAAGACGGAATGAAGATCATGTCATGTTGAGTTAGGGCCTCCCCAGTGAGGGCGTCAGCCTTCCCTATAAAATAAAGGTCAACCTCCTGAGAGTTAAGTTGTGGTGGGAGGCATCAGAGGCATTGAGTGGCCCTGTGAGCCTGGACTCAGAAGCCACAGAATCAGAATAGGTCTTTCCTCGCTTAACACAAGCTCAAAAGCACCCAAGACCTCTTTCATTCAATAAGTAGCATGAGCCCCCTTCACAACATCCTGAGCCACAAATCCTGATCCTGCTAAAAGTTTTATAAACTGTTATAATTTAATTACAGTCTGATCCCTCACCTTAAATACACAATTTACCTGAGCCCCCTGCACAATATCCCCAAAAGAGAACACGCAGCCTGTTTGCCCCTCAGAATAAAAATCTCACCACCTCTTTAAGCAGTCTATTCCACTTGTGAACACCTCTAATATTTAGGTAATTTATCCTTGTATATTTAGCCTAAATATGCCTCTCTTTTTTTATTACACTCTAAGTTCTAGGGTACATGTGCACAATGTGCAGGTTTGTTACATATGTATACATGTGCCATGTTGGTGTGCTGCACCCATTAACTTGTCATTTACATTAGGTATATCTCCTAATGCTATCCCTCCCCCCTACCCCCACCCCACAACAGGCCCTGGTGTGTGATGTTCCCCACCCTGTGTCCACGTGTTCTCATTGTTCAATTCCCACCTATGAGTGAGAACATGCTGTGTTTGGTTTTCTGTCCTTGAGATAGTTTGCTGAGAATGATGGTTTCCAGCTTCATCCATGTCCCTGCAAAGGACATGAACTCATTCTTTTTTATGGCTGCATAGTATTCCATGGTATAGATGTGCCACATTTTCTTTATCCAGTCTATTATTGATGGACATTTGGGTTGGTTCCAAGTCTTTGCTATTGTGAATAGTGCTGCAATAAACATATGTGTGCATGTGTCTCTATAGCGGAATGACTGATAATCCTTTGAGTATATACCCAGTAATGGGATGGCTGGGTCAAATGGTATTTCTAGTTCTAGATCCTTGAGGAATCGCCACACTGTCTTCCACAATGGTTGAACTAGTTTTTAGTCCCACCAACAGTATAAAAGTGTTTCTATTTCTCCACATCCTCTCCAGCACCTGCTGTTTCCTGACTTTTTAATGATCGCCATTCTAACTGGTGTGAGATGGTATCTCATTGTGGTTTTGATTTGCATTTCTCTGACGGCCAGTGATGATGAGCATTTTTTATGTGTCTGTTGGCTGCATAAATGTCTTCATCTCCACCTACTAATCCTCATACTTCCCCACAGAATTTATTTAATTTTTTTCTCAATAGCCCATCAAATATTTGGTGACAGTGATCACAGGCCATGTCTCCCTCTTGAAGTCCGCTCTTCCCCAAGATACAGCCCAGATGTCCCAAGCACTTCTCCTTTGACATGGTTATGTTTTTTTCATCATCCTGTTTCTTACGGATGGGAATTCTAATTTGCTGATGCCCCTCTTCCCATGTGGCCTCAAGTTCAGAATGCAGTTTCTTGGGTGTCATCTGAGCAGGCCTGGTAAGCCAGGGAGAAGCCAGGCTGAGGCTGCATGGTGGTGCCCTAGAATGGCCCAAGTCTGCCTGGCTCATCACCATCTCCTCTGAAGACAGGAGGAACCATGAGTGGCCTGTGTCCACGTACAGGCTGGGAGGAAACAGCTGAGGGTTGGGGGTGGGGTGGGCAATGAGATGGGGTTAAGTGGAGAAAATTCTCAGCAAAGGTGGTCAAAGGGATTAGGAAGTGGGTTGGAGAGAGTAGCATGGAAGTGGTTGGCCCCAGGGGTAAGGTGGAGTAAGAGTTCAGCACAGCCACTCTGAGAAACTGGGTGGAAATGAAAAGGTTCCATAAGTGGAAGCCAGGTTTGCTGGAAGTGGGTCAAGTGTCCAGAAAATCCTGATAAAGCAGTGACAAATGGGACAGCCTAATGAATGTATCTTTTTTGCAGGGGACTCCCTCAGCTATCATCAAGGACGCCCTTTCTCCACAGAGGATAGAGACAATGATGTTGCAGTGACTAACTGTGCCATGTCGTACAAGGGAGCATGGTGGTATAAGAACTGCCACCGGACCAACCTCAATGGGAAGTACGGGGAGTCCAGGCACAGTCAGGTAAGCGATGCTCCACCTCTGCTATGAATGAGCCAGAGCTGTGGAATCCGTGCTCCCTTAGCTTTATATTTTAAAAGCACATGTGAGTCCTTCATTTCCCTTTAAAAAGAAATATTTTGAGTCTTGAGAAAAATAATGCAGACAATGGGATAAGATCAGGACAGAGTAGAAGCCAGAGGAAGGAAAGGAAAGGACCCAGGAGCCAGAACTTACCCAGAGAAGCCCTTGGATCCAGAAGATCCCATGAAGAGAGCTTATCAGTCCTGGGGACAGCTTCACAGACTCAACTTTACCCTAAAAATGGTCCCAGGAAGGTAGACATCGAAAATACCAGTGTGAACTGGACAATCTTTCCCTATCAGAGACCACAAGTTTATAGGCTAAGCTGGGTGACAGGGAGACCACCATGACCAACTAGACTTTCTAAGTGTTAACACTGAAACAGCCCACATCAGGGAAGCCCTTCAGTTCTAGGCAAACCAAAAGGGTTTGTCACCCTAGGTAGAAACCGCCTAAGTCTCCCATTAGGAGTGAGCAGTCAAACACAGTTATTCTCTTCCAAATGCTTCCACCCTGTTGGGATTTCACAACCATCTACTGGTGCATGCCACTCCTGGAAGCCAAAAACAAAGCTGGCAATAAGGAATGACCTGCAACATGTTCCCTGGAAAGACCCAGGCCACCGGCACATTTAAGGAGAAAGCTAGAAAGAGACTCTGCCCCTTTCACTTTATTGGGAACTCGGCCTTGAAGCTTCATGTTAGCTGAAAATAGCTAACCCCACATTGTGGATTCCCTGTTCCCATAATTACCCCTTTTTTGAAGTGGGGCGTTCCATGGTGGGGGATGACCTGACATGCTTATCTTTCTCACGCCCAGGGCATCAACTGGTACCATTGGAAAGGCCATGAGTTCTCCATCCCCTTTGTGGAAATGAAGATGCGCCCCTACAACCACCGTCTCATGGCAGGGAGAAAACGGCAGTCCTTACAGTTCTGAGCAGTGGGCGGCTGCAAGCCAACCAATATTTTCTGTCATTTGTTTGTATTTTATAATATGAAACAAGGGGGGAGGGTAATAGCAATGTGTTTTGCAACATATTAAGAGTATGTGAAGGAAGCAGGGATGTCGCAGGAATCCGCTGGCTAACATCTGCTCTTGGTTTCTGCTGCCCTGGAGCCTGACCCTCAGTCTCCATTCTCCCTCCTACCCAGGCCTCCTCAACCTTCACCTCCTTTCCCACCAAGGAGGAGAAGTAGGAAGTTTTCTTAAAGGGCCAATTCAAAGCCAAGTCGTGGGGTGCAGATTGTTATGGTGACAGGCACACACATTTTTCTACCCTTCTTCTGAGATGTCCTCTGCCTTCCAGGTATTTGTGATTTTGTCACAGCCTGACATGGCCAGGTTCTCACACTGGCCCAGAGAAAAGAGCCTCAGCAAGAGAGTTTTGCCAACAATTCCCCTTAAAAGGAAACAGATCAACTACACCGCATCCCAACAACCCAGGTTCTTTTCCTTCCTTCCTTCCTTCCTCCCTTCCTTCTTTCCTGCCTTCCCTCCTTCCCTCCTTTCTTTCTTGACAGTATCTCACTCTTGCTCAGTCTGGAGTGCAGTGGTGCAATCTCAGCTCACTACAGCCTCGACTTCCTGAGCTTAAGTGATCCTCTCGTCTCAGCCTCTTGAGTAGCTGGGACTACAGGCATGAGCCACCATACCTGGCTGATTTTTCTTTTATTTTTTGTAGAGATGGGGGTCTCACTGTGTTGTCCAGGCTGGTCACAAACTCCTGGCCTTGAACAATCCTCCCACCTCAGCCTCCCAAAATGCTGGGATTACAGGCTACAGCCACTGCATCCAGCCCCAAGTCCTTTATAATGGGCCAAAGATTCTCATCTTCTGACACTCTTATTATACCAGCCACATGTCCTGTTACCTTTCAAGAACAGTGGCTCTTTTCTGGCCCTGATGGAGTCTTTTGCCTAATCCCATCCTGTCTTAGACCCCAGAGCCTCAAAAGCCCAACCAGCATTTTGGAATCTAGTTCCCAAGGCATTGCCTGCTCCTGGCCCTGGGTGGCACAGTGGCTATGTGCCTGTGAGTCATCAGCCACTGCCCCCACCCTCAGGTCAGACAGACAGTCACTTTCTGCAAAGGTAGGAGGGGGAGATGGTTGTAGTTTTTAGCACTTTTGGGTCAAGCATTGAGGAAAGGACTGAAGAAGTCAAAATCAGGGCACTGCCATAGAGATTATAGTTTCCATGGGAAACACAGATCTTCCCTAGCCCTGTTTTCTCCATTTCTGGTCCTATTTGTCACAGATTCTTTTTTTCTGAATTGCAAACCGAAGGCCTCATATCTATCTTCACCCAAGCCCTCCTTAGTGTAGGTGGCTTAATAAGAGTCAGGAGAAGAAGGTATATGCCCAGAGAGCTATACCCCTGACTGATAATCCTGGAAAGAGGTTGATTTTTTTTTTCTTTTTTGGTCCTATGGGAAACAGGAATGACCTTCTTAATGAGGTGAGATCATGAGAAGCCTTTCCATCTTCTTTTATTATTCTGCCTTGCAAAGGAAAAATGACAATAGCCAAAGGAAATTACATCCAGAAATCCAAAGGTGAATAGGTGATAACTGTGGGCCTACTTCCCATTTTATGAGATGCACTGTCTTCACTAGCACAATTTGATCTTAAGCCCAAGAGAGCTAGATGCTCTAGAAGCCGTGACCTTTCAATTTCTCCTCCAAATCCAATATCAGCAACCATCCCCGCAACATCTGCCCAGATCCATGCCCAGTTCCCTGAGCTGTCTTCTCCCTTTCCTCTCCCATTCCTCAAGGCCCAGCACCATTTTCTGTAGTGCCTATGTTTGTCTGACCAGAGCAGTGTGTACCTTTGCCAACCAGTTACTGGATGAGCCTTAGTGTCGGCAATTTTCTAATGGAAATATCCTCACTCTTACCAAGCTTTGAGAACCAAGATGAAAAGTCCCTTGGGCTGACCATCAGGCCTCGGACCTCATGGGGATGCAGCCAGCCACCATTGAATGGAGGCGCTTCCCTTGCCGCAGGCTTCTAGGCTTTGTTCACTGCGGCAGTGTGGATGTGACAGGCATAACCCTGAAAAACCTAGGCACCACTTGCATTTCTCAGTTAACCATGGGCTTCAACAAACTGGGAGGAGGAAAAAACAGAAACAGATCCTTTCAACAAGCATGTAAATTACAGAAGACTTACCTAGAGACGGGGCAACAATGAATAGTAGGAAGCACATTGCATGGGAAACTTGAGGGCCGAGGTACAGGCCAACAGCTGTCATCTTAGCTACGACATGACATCGGCTGGGTTGTTTCACCTCTCTGGGCCAGTTTCTTCATCTGTCAGATGAGAGATTAGACTAGAATGAGTTCTAATTTCCCTTTCAGTTTTGACGGTCAATGATGCTAATCTGTGATCTGAAAACCTAAGTAGAAATTGGCATGGTGGGACAGCACAATTAGGTAATGAAAATTCACTAGACTCCCTGTTTAATGAGGAAAGAAGGAAAGAAGGAAGGAAGGAAGGAAGGAAAGAAGGAAGGGGAGGGAGGGAGGGAAAGAAAAGAGAGAGATTGATTCAGGAGTCATAAGTAAAACACACACACACACACACACACACACACGAAAATACTGCAGAAAAGATCATGCCGAGTGAGAGGCTGAACTCTTTTTGTCCATAAAAACAGAGACCAGGTACCTGGGTGGTGCCAGCACGCCCACTTCATCAAGGAAGTTGAAATGGAAAAAGATTATGTGTTGTCAATTCAGGTGAAAGTCAAGAAACATCAGTGGAAACAAAAATCTTCCTTTTATTGAAACCATTCTACACTATGGAACATTTTTATAAATAGTACCAGCGGCATTGCATAGCTTTATTTTGAAGCAAGAAAGAGACTTCAAAGATCAGCTTATTCAACCCTCTATAAAAGGATTTATAGATTCCTTTTATTTAATAGGGTGATTTTCTCATGAGTTTTCACCATGTTTAAAAGACACTGTGCCCCACTCTCATCCCAAGGTCTATGGTCAACTTGACTCAATGCTCATAACTTTCCTCGCTGATTCCTGCTTATCCTGCTCCTCCAAGCACAACTGCATTTCCCAAAGGTAGATCCAGTAAGCAATACTCTCAAAGCACCCACCCTATGCACACCAGTTTCCCTCAAGGGACTCAAAAGGAATCGAGGTAGACCCTTCTCAGAGGCTGTTTAACTACAGACACATCAGGATATGTACTAATACCCAAAACCAAAACCACCACCAATGACTGCAATAGATTCACTGTCTAGACCCAAGGTCCAGGCAGTTTCCCTTTTTTGCATTTCCCCAACATATAAAGATAATTTCCAACATATCAGATGCACATTCACCAGGGTTATTTCTGGAAGGTGAAGGGGTCAGGTGTAGAAGAGGTGGCAAGAATGACAAGTCTGTGGAAAACTGTTGGCCTTGAGACCACAGTGAACTGGTGGAAGGGGACTTGCTAAGTGTGGCCACAAGGTGGCAGTCACCTCCTGAAACCCCGTGTGAAACGTCAGCGGGGTTGAGAAAGGCCACGTCTCCAAGTTTCCAGGAGAGCCAAACCAGGACTCAGGAAAACCGGCCAGCTGATTTGTATGGGAGATTGATTTGTAAAAGAACAACAACAACATATGGCAGCAAGGAAATGCAAAGCAAACATCTACAAATATTTGAATCCACCTGTCCCTCACCTACCAACTTCCCCCTCTACTACTCATAAAGTGGTAGGACTCCTAATGCCCCGCTTCCTTCCACCTGAGAACCAACCAGCACCCTGATATTTCAAAGCCAGACCTAAAGAACCATGGTTGCCAATAACCTCAATGCCAAACCAAACAATCCTAATCACATTTTTACTTTTCAAATCCAGTCTCAGAGCAGAGCTGTAGATTAAGGGACAAAAAGTCATTGTGGAATCTTTTCAAATAGCTCTTGTAAAAGCATCAGTTGGGAAAGAGTTTATGAGTTCCTCTTTGTCCTCTCCTCTGGAGAAAAGACAGAACATGCAAGAACACTAGATACACCAAGCTATGGGTGTTGAAATAGACTAGCTGGTGACCTGGATTTGCAAATACCCTAGGGACATGAAAACATTTTTTCTTTTTCTTTTTCTTTTTTGTAACCTCCACCCAGAATTTCAGGAAAGGTGGGGCCACATGCCCAGGATATATGGTATTCTACTGCTTGCTTTCTTATCACCAGAATACTAGTCAATCTGATTTCTTAGTTCCATGTCTTTTCTTCCAAGGAGGTAGGGCATGGGGTTGGGGGACACTTTCCGCCTTCCTTGCATCTCACTGTCCACTCTTAAATTTTTATTAAGAAACCTCTGAAAGATTCAAAATTCAGTTCAGTTTCAATAATCCCAAAGAAGTTGGGATAATTTGTTTTCACTTGCTTCAAACTTGCCACGGCTGCAGGAGGAGTCTCAGGACCTCAGAGGAATGGGGCAGATGTGTGAAGTCTGGGAGTCTGCCTCCCACCCAGATGCCAGGAGCTGCATACTCAGCTCTGCCTCACTTCCCTGATGGTCTGCTTTCATCCAGGTTACCATGACAGAGAGGGTCTATCCTCTAAAGAAAGCTGAGTTACAGGCTGGCCCCTGGGGTTGTTCCTGTAGCCTCTCTTTGACCACATTCCTGAAGATGTTTAGCTGAATGCCTCCTCAAACCTTTGCTTCTTCCATAACCCAATCCTACACATATGTGATAAAGCTTTCTTCAACAATACTGGGTCATTTGGACACTACCAGTCCAGATGAGAACTCACAGACCAAATGAAAACTTTCAAAAGCAAGCAGGGAAAGTAACTCCTATATGCTTTAAGATGATGTATTGGTGTAGATTCAGGTCCAATTTGAAAAAATGTCTCTGGTTCTTTCTAATTGTATCCACTCTGGATTTGTTTATGCCAGTTCTACATTCATCAAGCCTTGAGAAACAGGTGGAAAGAAGAAAAATATAAAATTAAGAAGAAGCTGATGGATCATTGGAGATTCAAAACAAGCCTTCTACCGGTGGCACCACACTGAAAGGCAGAGACAAGGCAGGAGCGGCCATGGGAGAGGAAGCAGCATTGGCTTCTCACGTTCTGGCCTCCAGCCTCCCACCAGAGCTTCTGCCATTCACCCACTTAACTTGAGGAGAAACTAAGGCACCAAGGCCTGTCACTGCACCGAAAACCAGAAGCAGAAGGACTTTCTTTCTTTGCTCAACCAGTTCTGCCTGGATCTGACTTTTGCGTCACCAGTAGTCACAAGCCTGATTTGTCATCTCCAGCATTCTGTTTATTTTTTTAAGGTCAATCTTTGCCTGAAACATGACTTCATTGCACCTGCAGCACTTCATTGTCCAAATGTCCTTGGCAAACCTCACAGTCTTTGGACAGTGTTGCATTTTCTCCAAAGGGGAAATCCTCTCTCCTTCCTCAAGCTTAATAAGGCTCTTGCAGTGCATCCAAATAACACAGCTCTTGTTCCTCAGACACACTCAGCCCCCTCTGATAACTTCATAAAACAGCTCCTTATTGTCTGGGCCATGAAGCCAGGCTAATGCTAAAGTTCCAGTTCAAAAACATTTAACTCTATTATCCTTATGAGGCCAGCTCTCCTGGGTACTGGCACTCACTCACTGGCACCATGGATTCAGGTCAGGTGGTGCAAACATCTTCCCTGAGAAGCAAGCCATACACCCAACAGGTCTAGAACACCTAGGTCACAAGAAAGGGTTTCAGTCCAGATGCACTGTCAGTAAGTGAACACAAGGACAAGAATGCATGAACTGTTATTTTCTTCCCATCACTGGTTTAGCAGCCCCTAGGGAGACCCTGTGTTGCTCTTTAATATTCTGACATGGAGCACTAATATGCTCAACACTGCCTCCAACAGGCAAATGTTGGAAATACACTTTCAGAGCTGGATGGGACTCAAGATCATCTAATATAATCCTCTCATTTTATTTCCTCTCAAGGAAACCAAGGGCAAGAAAGTTTAGGCAATTTGCTCACATTCACACAGGCAATTAGTAACAGAGCTGAGTTCGGGTCTGGTATAGGCTTTTTAATTTGATTCTCCACAAATGAACACTAAGATAAATAGCATTTATTGCATACCCACTATTTACCAGATACTGTGCAAAGGGCTTTACATATATTACTTTACTAAATCCTCACCATAAACTTTAAGTCAGGTTTAACCATTTTATAGAAGAGGGAAGGGAGGGCCAGGAAGGTTAAGTAACATGCTCAAAGTCACACAGCTACTAAATAGAGCCATAATCTGAACCTTTGTCTAATTTTGAAGCCCTTGATTTTTCCACTTCATGAGGCTGCTCTTTATATTTATTTAGCTGAGTGACCACCATCTTGGATTTTACTAATATTCTTACAAGGGGGCTTTGATGCCACTTCTTCTGACTTTTAAGAAAAGGAAATTCTTGCATTATTTTTGCCATGTACTCCAGGGGACCCTCAATCTCATCATCATGGGGAATAAGAAACATTCTGACATCTCTTTCCTTTTCTTTCTTTTTAAATTTGGTAGACGAGGGAGAGGGTCCCCAACAGAATGAGAGGGGGAAGATAAGAACCAGAACATAAACCCAATACCCCCCACCCCACTCTTTTGGGAACATCCCAACATTAGAAGAGTGGGATATCCAGTCATTTTTTTCAAGCTGGAGCAGGCAGTGTAGCCAGGATTGAGGAAGGAGAAGCCACAGAATAAACATGGCACATGTTCTCAGAGCATCAATTTTACTCCAGAATTTGGGAAGAAAGGATTATATTATTAGTGTATTCAAACCAGTATGGATAGCACAAATGCAGATATCCTATAAATTTTGAGGCTAACTCCAGCAGGTTGTAGACTGATTTAGGCTACCTCCTTCCAGACTCCCAGGGGTACAAACACCTTCACAGTCCCCTGCGGGAGTACATCAGTGGAAATATTTGGGGAATGAGGCTAGAAGGCAGGAGATACATTCAGTTTACTTATCCCCCTGGTTTCTTTTCCCCACTCCTTACCTGCCCCACATCCCTAGTGGGTGGGAAGGCATCAGAAGACAGTTGGCTACAATATCAGCTTTCTCTGCTACTTTGGGGAATTTAGAAGGAAATCAGTACTTGGCAACCTGGTATTTTTAGCTGCCAGGCCAAAACTCCAGACATAAACCCCTTCCCTTTAATTGAATGATGTTTATATATAAAGGAATAGATCTCCCCAAGAAAGAACCCCAGAACACTGGTTCCATTCCAGTGTGGGGGCTGCTTGGGCAGCAGTGACACCTGTGCATTAGATGCAATAGACACTTCAATTCCTGCAAAAATGTCGGCCAACTAAGTGCTCCTTTACCAACTGCGGAGGCCCAGACTCACACCATGGTCCCACAGACTCAAGGTTTAGAATCTATGTGAGTCTATTTTGGTTAACACACAGGCTCCTCCTTCCAATCATTCACACACACACACACACACACACACACACACACATGCACACACACACATGCATGCACACATACACAGGTGCACATGCACAAACACACACATCTAATGATTCCAACCTCGAATACTCCCCAGGCCCATGGGGATGCCCAAGTACCCTAAGCAAATCACTGTGACACTGAGGGGGTCATTAACTGGGGCTCCGAGCAGCTGAAACCCACCCTGGTGGTCTCTAGATTGTTGTTCTGAGAAATCATAAACACCAAATCCTCCAATCCCTTTGAATTTGAGTTTGTCATTTTAACCTTTAACAGCCTTTTCAGGTAAAAATAACAAAGACCAATTTATTGACTTTGTAGCTACAATGAGCTTGAAAAAGCGCTTACTTAAAAGAAAGACTGGAAGGAAGAAAAAAAAAAGAAAATGGAGTACATACTCCTCAGACGATGCACACTTTAATTAGCTAAAATAAAAATAAAAATGTACAGAGGAAGGGAGAGGAAAAACCAACTTCTCTGATCCTTTCATGGCACTGTAGCTCAAAGACTGGAATCTCTGCTTGTTAACCATTGTTAACTAGTATTTTTAGTCCTGGTTGCTTTTAGCCTCTGTATAGTTCCTTTTTTAAACACATTTTCTATACGTTAATAAAAGATCCTGAAAGAAAGATGCGTGTCTTCTGAGTCCTAGGGGCACTGGGGGGCATGCCTGTCTTAAGAATGGGCCTGGCTTCTTTTCTCTGGGCCTCCCCTCCTTAACATTTCAGTCCTGCTTCTGCCAGCCCATCTTCTCCGCATCACCCTTTGGGTGGACTGTTCTCCCCCATGGCCCTGCTCCCCCTTCTATGCCCCTTGTCCGCCCTGTTTCTGTGCTTTCATTATATCCTAAATATCTCAGCCCCCTTCCTCATTCTTCCCTCCTTCTTCTCTCCTCTTTTCTACTCTCCTGCTTCTCTCCTCTCTTCTACTCTCCTGCTTCTCTCCTCTCTTTGCATCTTTCTCTCTCTCTTTGCATCTTTCTCTCTCTCTTCCTTTCTCTTTCTTCCCTACCTTCCACCCACTTTGAGGAATCGTAAACACCAAATCCTCCAAACCCTCTGAATTTTATTTTGTCATTTTAACCTTTAACAGCCTTTTCAGGTAAAAACACCAATTTCATCTCACCCTTTGCTTTTACCATCAGAAAAGGTCACCAACGGGTGGTGGTCTCTGCTGCCCTAGCATTACCAGACAGGCCTTTTGTACAGTTTTGAGTCCTTGATCAGCCACAGAGACGGTGACTCACTGCCTACCTCCTTCCAGTCTCGTCTCCTGGCTCCCTCAACCCTGAAGTGCCCAGGGGTGGTCTGATCCCCAAGGCTCTAGTGCCATCTGTGGGTACTGCCAGAGAACATTTGACAGGCCCGGTGTGCTGAGCCAGCCTGCCCTCCACTCCGTCAGCTCCTCCACTGCCAGGTTCTGTTGCTCTGCCTGGGAGCAGCTCCAGCTAATGCACCATTAGCCACTGCCTCTCAGCTTTGGTCACTTGGAAAAACCTTTTCCCTTTCTGTCCCTTAAAAATGGACCCAGTGCATAATATAAGATCAACTCTCACCACTGGGTTACATTAAGTAAGACCCCAGTCAGGGAACAGCCCCAAAAAGAGAGTCGTGATGGGAGCTTCTTCCAGTCCAGTTCCAGGAGCACAGGCAGTCAGGAAGTGCAGAGATAACTGAGTAACGGTGTAGGGTAAGCACCGCAAACCCAGACATGCTCTCCCATGCTGGAGTGGGCAGGGGGATATTAGGAGCCTGTCTGGGGGAGGTAGTATGACAACAGAAATTATCCAAGGGAAAAAAAAGAGGTGGGAGGGAGCCTCATGAACCAGGGTCGGGGGCATGAAACGGCAGAGCCTGCTGGAACGGGGCCAGGTGTGGTTTAGTACTCATGTTTGCTTGAAGTTCAATAACAGAGCCAGGAACAGACTGGGCATTGTGAAGACCCAAGACCACAAAGGAGAGACCTTTCTCCATCTTCCATGTTAAAAGGGAGAAATAATGAGTGCTTTAAAGAAGGAACAGAATCCCAACCCTGGAAATAAATTTTTAAAAAGGCTTGACACCAGCAGGCTTCTTCACACCCCTGGGGCCATGTGTAAAACAGGGACAAAACTCCAGCCACATGGCCATCTACCATAGAAGGCACCCTCGCAAACAGAGCAGGCAAAGCACCTTTCCTAGCCCTTGCCCTGTGCCGCATTTCCTCTTTTTCTCCTCATTTCCTAAAAAAAAAAAAAATTCTGGAATGTCAGACCAAGGTGGCCCTTTAAAAACAGCCACATTTCCTGGTCCTGTTTTAAATAAGCCATTCTGGAAACCTATAGCTCAGGATTATGGGACTGGAGGAGTGACTGCTGTAATATTGAGATAAAAACCTGTCATTTGTCCTGTACGTTGTCTTGAAAATGAAAATGGAAACTAATGTGATACAGTGAAACTTAAAGGAACTTTAGTAATTAGTATTTATTCCTGAGGTTGCTGAATGCTAGCATTATGTTCTAACTTAAATGGGTATAATTCACCCATTGCTTAAGACCTCTGGGTGCATTTACAACCAACTGAACACAAATTTAATTATTGTTGTGTTATGGGAACGAAGAACTGCCAGGGGTAATATTAAAAGTGGATTATTAAGCAAGAGAAATGTTAGCAACATTAGTAATCAGTGCAATTACCCAGTAGCATCTTCTTGCCCGTAATACCCCCAGTGTCCCTGGGGATGTGTGCTTTAGCAGTGACCCCTTTGCCAGTCAGCAATAAGACATCACCACAAATTAGGGCCCTCTGGGCCTGTATCTTTCCACTCATGTGACATGTACAATATTCCCCATTGCCCAGTCTTTCAAATAATTATAAAAAGAGTATGCGTTGGACTTGTAAAGCTACACATAAACGAGTCTCTTGTTCCTCTTCACTCATCTCACCATCCACATTCAATAGTTACCTACTATATACCAGATCCAATACTGATTCTGGATATACAAAAAGATGAAAGGCCTGCACACCCTCTGCTTCTCCCAGAAGAGATTTGGTCTCTCTCTGTCTCTCTCTTTTTCACAGTTAAAAAAAATTCTTTTATTTAAACTTTAATACCAGTATGTATCAGTCAGGATTCTCCAGAGAAACAGAACCAATAGGGGATTTACATTATGTTTGCGTGTGTGTGTGTGTGTGTGTGTGTGTGTGTGTGTGTGTGTGTGTGAGAGAGAGAGAGAGAGAGAGAGAGAGACTTATGAGGAAATGACTTATGTGATTATGGAGACTAAGAAGTCCCACAGTCTGCTGTCTGCAAGCCACAGACTCAAGACACCTGGTCGTACAATTCAGTCCAATTCCAAAGGCCTGAGAATTAGAAAAGCCACTGTTGTAAATCCCACTCAAATCATTAAAGAAGGACAACATTTCAGCTTAATAGGTGGGCAGAAAGAAAACAAAAGGCAAATTCCTCTATCCTCAGCCTTTTTGTTCTATTCAGGTCCTCAATGGATTGGACGATGCCCACTCACATTAGGCAGAGCAATCTACTTTACTCAGTGCTCCAATTCAAATGCCAATCTCATCCAAAAACACCTTTGCAGACACACCCAGAAATAATGTTTAATCGGGGCACCCTGTGGTGCAGTCAAGTTGACACATAAAATAAACCATCACACAGTTGCAAGGCAGTAAACAAACCAGATGTGGTTCCTTTCCCAGAGACGTTCCTGCTGGTGGGGAAGTCATTCTCTAGAAAGAGATTCAGCAATCCATGGCCCGACGGCCAGACATTTATTCTCTTTTTGACTCTTTCCTTTTCCACCAGTTTTTACCAAACTCCCTACTCTCTTATTCAGATATTTCACACATATGTAAGGCTCCTTGCTTCAAAGTTTTTAAAATAGAATAAAGTAAAATTTCCAAACTTATGTTTATGTGTTCATGAGAAAATGGAAAGAGATACACAGTGAAAAAACTCAGTTAATTAGATGAGCGTTGTCATTTCAACACTGACAATATTTTTTTAAAACTCAGACACATTTCAAACACTTCTAACACTAAGAAAAGTGGCAATTAAGGAGGCTCTTGAATCCAAAAAGTTGACAGAACCTTCTAAAAAGAAACTGATTACTGTAGAATTTTCCCCGGGGGCAGGGGCCAGGGGCCAGTGGAAGGTATGGATCAACTTTTAGATGTTGATGCCCTTTAATGCTTTAAATAAAAATTGCTATCATCAGAGATCACTGCTAGGCATTCATTCACAGCTGTGCTCTTCATGACAAACAACAAGCTCTTCAGAGGTTTCTGGCAAATATGTGTAAATTATAAGAAATGCAGTAGCAATTATGAAAATTCAGTATGCTAGCTGTACAGGAAATTTAAAGATCCAAGATAAACAATGAAAACTGAGGAACGCATATATTATGCCTGCATGCCGGTAATACCTGGCTTGATTTGTGAGCCCACTCACTGTTTATGATTTCTCCCCCCACAAATAAAAACCACAAAGTAATAACCAAAGCTTGTATTTACAACCAAAGCTACACTGAAACGATTGGCAACAACAATAACAACCTGGGTTGCAATTAAAGGTAACCCAGTTGATTTATTGACTTGGAAAAGCAAGAGATGATTAAAGAAGTCAATGTGGAACGGCCTGCCCTCCTATCCTCCCCAACCCCCAACCAGTACCATTTAAAGAAATTGAGACATATTCACATAAATCTGGTTTTATCTTTCAACGAAATGACCTAATGTTAACTCGGTTTGAAATGTCCACGCTACAAAGCAGTGTTTCAATACAGCAGTACTATTGACATTTTGGTCAGATAATTCTTTGTTTTAGGGACCTGCCCTGTGCTTTTACCCACTAAATTCCAGTAGGACCCCCGCCTCCCACCATGTTGTAACAACCAAAAATGTCTCCAGACATTGCCAAATGTCCTCTGGGGGAAAAAAAATCACCCTCAGTTGAGAGCCACTGTTACAGGGAGATTTATCACAGAAAGAAGAGATAACTTCAATCCAGACTTCATGGAAGCAAATTTCAAAAAGCTTCAGGCTGGTTCATTTCAGCCCAAAAGACAAAAGGATCGCCCAAATGGAACATTGTTATAGCTTTTCTATTGAATTTGTCTTTATATAGTTTATAAATGTTTGAAAAGCTTATATCTGTGTTTTATTTTAGTTTCATTTTGTCGGAATTACTCTGGGTATTTTTGTGGTATGAGATTAGATTCCAAGGTAGAAAGTGGAATTGATAAAATGACACTTACAGAAAATGAGAGTTTGTCTTACAATGGTTCAGTTTGTCATGGCTCCCTAGGAATCATTTAGATTTCAAACCAAGAGTCACTTGTAAATTAGACCTTTGGCTCTGTTGCTTCACCTGATGGACAATAATAAATGGTATCGATTGTTTAAGATCCCCAAATACCTCACAATCTCATATGTCCTAAAGGTTTCTTAAGAAGAAAGAAATACAGGGTAATTAGGCACTAAAGATAGAAGGAAGAGAAGATTTTGTGCCACAATTCTACCTAAGAATGATATTCAGGTCCAGGATTGCAGTCAACAGAGCAAGGAAGGGCAGTATCACCACCCAAGCTCCCCAGGAGAATGTGAATATCTAAGTCGCATGCCTAAGGGAGTGTTCCATGATGTTAGGGAAAGCAAAGGGCTAACCAGCTGTAGTCTCAGCTTGTGGCAGAGGAAAACACCCTCAGCTAAACCCCTTTACCCAATTCATCCTCCCAGATAAGAAATCCAGTACACAGAAAGGAAGCGACTAGGGGCAGGGGAGGGTGGGGGCAGATGTTCACCTCTAGCTTTTTCAGAGATGTTTCAATGCTGATTTTTCTTTCCAATTGTCCTGGCCATGACTGTTGGGCTACATGGTCCAGTTTTGTTTTAAACAAATGTAGTCACCACAGTAGGTCTCTGTAATGGCATGTTAGTTGTGAAGGTCACCTGGGATCGGGTCAACATGTGAATGTGACTGGCATCAATGGTCCTCACATCTACTTCTCTTGGCCAGACAGACAGATCAGTTCAGTCTCTCAAGAAACGCTGATAAAGTCCCTTCCTGCAAGGGTGGACCTTACCACAGAGCTCACAGCAAAGAAGGACAATTCGAAGTTCACCTCTTGGTGCTAAAGGAGGTATGCTGCTCTCCGTCATGATCCTGTTTATCACAGGGTCTTCTTTCAGATCGAGAGCCAGTGAAGCATCCCCAAACAGGTCTCTCCTATTAGAGCCTGGCTGCAACCCACTACCAGATTTGCAGAACCATTTATTTCTCTTCCAAGACAAAAACACCCTGAGGAGGAAAGACCTCCAGCTTGGCGGAGTAAAGGGTTTATTTTCTTTCCAAAGGGCTGGAGAGGATTGGGAAGCAATTGGGAAAGCACCGGTGAGAAGAGAATTCCCATCATCTGTGAACTCTTTAAGGGAAGAGCCTTGGCTTTCCATTTCTATTTCCAGTATTTAGCCCAGAACTCTCTTTGGACTCAGTATAGAATTGATGTAAACTGAATTGAATCAACCGTATCTTCCGTCTATGAAAGAAACTCAATTAACAGCTTTTAGTACTGTAAAATTTAGGACAGATCCATAAAATATTCAAGAAGAGCAAATATTAAGATTATCTGAGGAGCAGAGGAAAGAACATTGTATTTGACGTCAAAAGACCTATATAGTTGCATAAGTTTGTTCTCACACTGCTATGAGGAAATACCTGAGACTGGGTAATTTATAAAGGAAACAGGTTTAATTGACTCAGTTCCGCATTGCTAGGGAGGCCTCAGGAAACTTACGATCATGATGGAAGGCAAAGGAGAAGCAAGCACCTTCTTCACAGGGCGGAAGGACAGAGTGAGTGAAAGCAAAGGAAATGCTAGACATAAAACCATCCGATCTTGTGAGAACTCACTCACTATCACAAAAACAGCATGAGGGAGACTCCCCCGTGATCCAATTACCTCCACCTGGTTCTGCCCTTTACACGTGGGGATGATGAGGATTACAATTCAAGGTAAGATTTGGGTGCAGATACAGAGTCACACCATATCAGTAGTCAACCTCTTTCTGCCTCTTACTGGTAGTGTGCCCTAGGATAAGTCCTTCTGTCACTCAGGAGCTTAGTGTCCGTATATCTGTAAAATGGGATTAAGAATAATGTCCTTCCTACTTCACAGACTATTGTGAAGGGCAAACTATAAAATGGGCAGAAAAATGCTTTACAGCAGATGTTCTTACAACTTGAGAATGTGTTAACTTGGTAGAAGTTAAAAGGTGTTGAAAAGCAGCCTTATTATCTTCATAACAGTGTTATGGCCTGAAATTTCACTCACCTGGTTCTCCAAAACAACTTATTGCCTTAAAGAAATGCTCTGGGCAAAATAAGAGCATCAACCTGCTATCAAGGGTCAGCTGATAGACACCTGAGAGCAGAAAGGGGACAAGGGTGGGGTTGGAGCCGAAGGGAACAGAGGACGCAGGAGTGGGACAAAACCTCCACATCTGAGGCCAGCCCCACAACGACTCTGCTGGGGAAGAATGGTGAAGAAGACCAGGCTGTGTGCAAAAGCCAGCCCGGTATGTTTCAGAGCCACAAGCTCTCTAAGGACAGTAGTCAGGTTCCGGTCCATTCCTCCACCACCTGTGCTGCCCCAGGCCCTCAGCAGCCATTACAAACAGGTAGTTAATGGCAATCCTTCAGATGTGTGGGTTGAGGGCACCTCACTATGAGCCCTTGTATTTTTCAAAACTCTTCCCAGGAGACCACGACACTAGTTGAGAGGCCTGCTGGGTTCTCGAGTTAGCCCAGCAAAGGGCATGCTTTACTAGTATAGATGATAACTTCTAGGAGGGGGCTTTTGAGTAGCTCCTAAGGATTGTGGATTTCTGTTGTGTTGAGTGGGCTGCCTGGGACCCAAGGGACAGAGAGGCAGAGCACTGCCATCAGCACCTTCCTCATATCCCCCTTGTAACTACAGTCTTAGCCCCAGTTCTACATAGATATGAAACAAATGTTTAAAGAGTTTTCATTTGAAAAGGCAGCCATTATTCTAAATACCCACATTTCTCCACCCGGCTTTGCCCCCAAACTTTGCACAATAGCCCCACATAGGAAGGAATATCTGCTTCTGCCCCTTAGAACAAATCCAAAACTTCCCACTGACAGAAGTGTGGGCTATCAGAGAAGGTCCCCCACTCCACCCCACTGACTGTGAGCTAGGAGCTGGGAACTCTCTGTCCCCCAGCCTCACCCCGGCGGCCTGGGATTGGGGGAACAGCCTGTCACATCCTAGCCCTGATTCTGCCTGGCAATATAAAAGAGCAAAAGGCTCATAGCCACCTTGAAAATCATTCACCTCTCCCAGCTCCCAACCTATAAAAAGAAAAGGAACAGAAACTATCACATTCACACTCACTCCTGCTTGCACCCAGGTGGTACAGACAACTTGGCAGTTCGTTGAATTTGTTGCTCTCACTCTGGAGGTGTTGTGTGGGCTGTGACAGATGTGCTGGGGCAGCGGGGCCTCTCTGCTGCAGTTTCTCCATCAAGGCATGATATTTACACACTGAAAGCAAGACAGCACCTCCTCACACATAGTAAGGCACACACTGCCGAAGAGAGCCCTGGCAGGTCCTAACAGGTGACCATGTCCTTCAATGCATCTCCACTGAGCCACCTAAGTACTCCTGACCTAGGGCCTTTGTTTACTGTACCATTCACTTGTTCATTCATGCATGCAAGCATTCATTCATTCAATAAAGATTCCAGAACACACTCTGCCTCTTACTGGTTGTGTGCCCTGGGGTAAGTCCTTTTGTCACTTTGAAGCTCAGTGTCCTTATCTGTAAAATGGTATAAAGAATAACTGCCTTTCCAAGTGAAGGTGAGGAGCAGGCCATGATGAAGAACCAGAGTGGCTGAAGCACAGATGGGTGGGGATGGGTAACACAGGTGCAGCTGGGAAGGACGGCAGGACCTAATCAGACAGGGCCCTGCAAGCCATGCTTGAATCTTCATCGATTATAAGAGTGGTGGGGCTGGGCACGATGGCTCATGCCTGTAATCCAAGCACTTTGGGAGGCCGAGGCAGGTGGATCACAAGGTCAGGAGATCGAGACCACCCTGGCCAACATGGTGAAACCCTGTCTGTACTAAAATACAAAAAATTAGCCAGGCATGGGGGCACACACCTGTAATCCCAGCTACTCAGGAGGCTGAGGCACAGGAATTGCTTGAACCCGGGAGGCGAAGGTTGCAGTGAGCTGAGATTGCACCACTGCATTCCAGCCTGACGACAGAGTGAGACTCCATCTCAAACAAACAAACAAAAAAAAATAGTGGTGGGAAGCCATCGGAGGTGCCCAAGCAGGAGAGTGAGATGATCATGTTTGCATTTAAGAGAGTTGGCTGTGGCTATTGTGTAAATGGTGAAGGGGTACACAAGATTTGGGGGGAAATCAGGAATGGTTCAGATGAGAAATTAGGATAAGTTGAACTCAGGTGGTTTTAGTAGAGCTGGGAAAATATATATCCTCAAGAGATATTTAGGAATTAAATGGACAGAACCAAACATGTGGATGAGGAAGTTATAATGATGGTGTATAGAACTCTGGACAGCCTGACTGGGTAGGTGGTGGCTGCCCAGCTAAGGAAGAGACACTGGGTGAGAGCCAAAAACAGGAACTCCATTTGGAGCATCAGCTAGAGATGCCTTCAGATATCCAGGCAAAAGAGACTGGCAGCTGCATGTGTAGGACTAAAATTCAAAGGAGTGGCCCAAGCCAGAGATACCTGGGGATCACATACATGGCCAACTTCATGGGCTTGTGACCTGCACAGTCACAGAGGGCCTTATGCTAGAAATGTCCCATGTGTGATTTAACACTTTGTTGTCAGCACTTGAAGTTTTTGATCAAGAAACTCCCACATTTTTATTTTGCACCGGGCCCCCACAAATTATGTAGGTGGTCCTTAATATTTCATAATATCAATAAGATACTGACCACAATGGAAGCTACAGGCATGAAT